>NC_000003.12:40919090-41222121 GCF_000001405.40 Homo sapiens | reverse complement strand
TTAGCCAAAACTTACCAATCACTTCAGGAAAATTTTTTTTTAAAGCAACGAAAAAACTGACTCCATAGAAACTGAGATAAAACTTGAAACTAGGGATAGGGTGGAGAGAGAAACAGAACACTTCAATTTAGTATCTCCATAAATACTGGAGAGAATAAATAAAAACAAAAAGTTGAATAGAAACTAAAATTGAGAAAACTGCCTAGAGTACAAAAAAATGACAAAGACAAAAAATACAACAGAAGAAATCACGATCAATTCAGGAGATCAAAGGTCCAACCAGTAGACATTTCAGAAAGAATTATGAAGAAACAAAAATGATAAAATCCACTAAGTACCAATCAAGAGGGAGGAGTGCTTAAAAATTATGAAGTACAATCATGCACTGCATAAGGACATTTCAGTCAAGATGGACTACATATGCTACAGTGGCCCCACAAGATTTTAATTCTGTATTTTTACTGGATCTTTTCTATGTTTAGGTAAACAAGCCAGGCGAAGTGGCTTGTAATTCTAACACTTTGGGAGGCGGGTGGATTGCTGCAGCACAAGAGTTCCAAGACCAGCCTGGACAACACAGCGAAATTCCATCTCTACAAAAAAATGTTAAAAATTAGCCAGGTGTGGTAGTATGTGCCTGTAGTCCTAGCCACTGGGGAGGCTGAGGCAAAGAGGATCACTTAGGAGTTCAAGGTTATAGTGAGCTATGATCACACCAATGCATCCAGCCTGGGCAACAGAGCAAGACCCTGTCTCTTAAAAGAATTTAAAAAAAAAAAAAAGGATACATAAATACCACTGTTTCAACTGCCTATAGTAACACGCTATACAGCTTTACACCCTAGAAGCAACAGGCTATACTATATAGGCTAGGCATGCAGTACACTATGCCATCTAGGTTTGTATAAGTACTACGCTAAATGTTTCAAGACACAGATTATCATTAAACTACAGACTACATTAGAATGCTGTGTTTTCCAACAGCTTTATCACCACCAAGTGATGTTTTGACAAAGAGGGGGCTAGCCAACTTCTCATGTATTTTCCATCCAGTCTAATGCATCCATGCATCTTTTTTTTGGCAATATGAACATAATACTCTTTCCAACTACAAGGATACTTCAAAATTCACCGTGCTATTTCCGATTTTAACCCTATAAATGTCTCCAGTCAAAGTCAATGGGAGAAATCTTGCCACAACTAATATATAATAGATTTCACACTGAAGTTATTTTTCCTCTTCCCATCAGGACAGAATTATCTTAATTACCTTAGTTTTCAGTAAGTTTGAGTATTATTAACTAGGAGTAAATCTGCTACATAAAAATATAAAGCAGACATATTTTAAAACCACAGTTTTATACTAGCAATTCATAATTCACTTTTCCAATAATCAAGATCCAAAGAATTATTCCCCGTTTTAAAGTTAGAAAGTGCTACTCTATTTCATAAGCATGATAAACTTTTGATACACCTTCAGGGATTTTTAAAAAGTTCTTAGTAAAATTTGTAAATCTAAAAACACATGCATATGCATTTTCATTAACTGTCACCAGTAATACTTTGCCATCTAGAAAATGTATGCAATTTCCTCAAATCTTCCTGTTTTAACACACTTCATGCAACACTAACATTTTAAGTTACAACTCACTCCAGGTTCTTTTCTGCTTTCTTCCTTCACAGCTTTCTTCGGGGAGGGGGGTGGGGTGGGTGGGTGAGGGTGTGGGTGTGGGTGTGGGTGTGTGTGTTCTCAAGGTGTCTTGTCATCCTCGAATAGTCAATAAGCATCAAACATCAAATGACCCTTGGTCCTCCAAACACTAAAATGTATGCCTTTGGTACTGTCTTTAAATAGGTACACAAATGGTTATTAGAAGTATGAAATCTTCTCAGGTAGGAAACAGAAGGTAAATGGAAAAAAAAAAGAAATAGGAAATCTCTTTATGGCTGGGAAAAATTAGTATGTTTCCAGAATGAGCTGTTCTTCATAACTGTCTTCCTTCCTCAGCCATAAATATATGCCTCAAATAAATTAATATTTTTATTTATCATCTCCATCATATGAGTCCACCACACAGTAAATGATGACATTTTGGTATGTTTGGTATATTAAACTCACTGCTATGTATTTTTAAAAATAAAAATATAAAATTCCTTGTGAAGACTATTATAAAATATTATCATCTGGATTGTATCGTATGTCTATACTATAAGCTACCTCCTCCATTCTGAGCTTGTTCTTCCCCATTTTGTCTATTATTCCAACAATGCTGCAATAAACACCTTTGCATATAAATAATTCTCTTAATTTCCCATATCACCAGAAGTTCTAGAAACACTGTTACTGAGTTTAAGGGTAAGAATTTTAAGTCCTTTCATGCATAGCTCCACAATACTGACAGATCATAAACTGAGATAATTTTCACAGAACATATTGAACATGCTGCCATCTTACCAAGGGCTTGTCAGCACCAGCTGTTATCTGACACAACTTTTAATAGATATGTCCACACATCTAACATACATACCATCACCCGCCCATCCTACAGGGTTTTAAATTCCAATAAGTTCATATGCTTATTTATTTGCTACATGTAATGTAGGCTTTTGGCTTGCCAGATTTTTGATGTCATCCTTTTATATTTTTGTGAAGTACATGTATACAGTATACATAAAAAGCCCCTTGATAGTCATTGATATAGCACATATAGGCCAACTGGATGTCTTAGAATATAATTTTACTGTTTAAAATAATTAGATTATGGTAACATCCTTTGCATGTGTGATTTATTGTTAGTCTCACCAATGAGTAACTCCACACAGCATCTTTGATCAGTAACATAATCCTAAAATAAATACTGGTACTTCAGGGGAAAAAAAAGACAATGTTTTTAAACAATCTTTCACTCCATCTCCAAGAACATATTATCACAAAAAGCAGACTGTTTTTCTCCAACTTATATTAACATAAGCAGCCAAAAAGACTGATAATGTTAAAGCACAGCTATCTCCTTTAAGATACATCCTGAATAGGCTTTATCTCAGAGGCACATTTTCTAAATAATTTTCACAGAATATACTGAATTTCCAAAATATAATTTTATACCAATTAAGTTAAAAAACAGAACAATGCTTCATATAGTTTATGAAGTAAAAGTATGCAAAGAATATACACTAGCTTCTTAATAGCGGGCTATCAATACAGGAGGCCTGGGGGCAGCAAAGGGAATAGGATGGAAAAAAGTATTAAATATGGCTGCAATTCGGCAAGGTGTGGTGGCTCACACCTGTAATCCCAACACTTTGGGAAGCCAAGGCAGGTGGATTGTCTGAGTCCAGGAGTTCAAGACCAGCCTGGGCAACATGGTGAAACCCTGTCTCTACTAAAAATACTATTTTTAAAACTTATTTAAAAATTGGCTGGGTGTGGTGGCATATGCCGCTGTAGTCCCAGCTACTTGGGAAGCTGAGGTGGGAGAATCATCTGAGCCCAGTGTCCTGCGACACTTTTATACCCATTTTATGTGGATTTTATAGTATGATAAGGCTGAACAGAAAACAACTCTTAGTTTAACCAAATTTTTAATAAAACTGGCCATATCACAATTACATACAAAAACTATTTTCCTATACACAAATAGGACAGATTTCATTCATAACAGTAAAATGAGATACATACGAGAGTAAATGGGAAGATATGTCTTGTTCTTGATTTAAGAAGAACTATAAGGAGGAACCAGTTCCATCACATTTATAATGTTATCATTAAGATAACATTATAAATCAACAACCACAGCAATTCAAGTATTGTATTATTAGGAAAGAAATGGGTAAGAGACTGTAGTAGGCAGAAAAACACCCAGATATAATGTGGCAATTTCATAAATGAAGAAGGTAATATTTCAATTAGTGGATTACTTGATTAAAAGTATTAGGAGAAATGGGCTTGTAATTCCAACTATCATTTTTCATCCTTATTTTACATTAAAATTAAACCTATATTCACCAAATATTTACACGTAAAAAAATAAAATGAGATAAAATACGGGTATATATTAAGAATAAAACCATGCCCAATCGATGAACTGATTAAGCATGAGTCGAAATTGAAACCAAAAAGGGAAACATGAGATAATTTGTGTATGTAGTTTTTAAAATCTGAGCAACAAATCACATTTGAAGTAATTCAAAAAATAACATACTAGAACATCCGTAACATAATTAAAGGCTAATATCCATAGTACACAAAAAACTGGGAACAAGTCAAAAAAAGAAAGAATCATACTGCAGGGAAAGAACAAGAAATAACATTTCAAAGGAAAAACATAAAGTGAGCAATGAATATATACAAAGGATGTTTAAACCCATTTACTTTTTGCTTATCAGATTGGCAAAGATTGAAAAGATTGATAATATCTACTGCTAATAAGGATATGGTGAAACTAGCAGAAACTTTTGATAGTAAGCTGCCACTATCCATTAAAGTGTAACTACCCTTTGACTTAAAAATTCAATTTTTATAACAGAAATGTATTCTGTGGCAATACTGTCAGAAGCATGCCAAGTGAGGCATTCATAGAGAAAAAGATGGAAATTATTCAAATGTCCATCAACAGGAGACTGAATAAAAAATAATTTATCCATTAAATGGAACATATATTCACCCACTGAACAAATTTTAAACACCCTTTGTTACTGGTATTACAATAACAATGAGTAAGAGAGTCAACAAGATCATACATACAGTGAAGCTTATATTCTACTGTTAGGGAATTAAGCAATTTAAAAGAAAATTTAGAGTAAGAAATACTAATAAACAAGTTTATGAGGTAGAAGATGTGCTACTCTAGTGGGTGGTCAGGGAAGGCCTGTGAGGAAGAGACATTTCATCAGAGGAGGAGCAGCTGGCCACGTAAAGATGGGGCAGAACACTCCAGGCAGAGAAAGAGTGAAAAGTAAGGAATGAACTCAATGTGGTAAAGGTTTTGAAAGGTCACCAGTGTAACTAGAAGGCAGAGAACCATGAAGAGACAGAGATGAGAATCAGATCAGTAAGGATGTAAAATAAAATCCAAAGTGTACTGGGATGCCCATGAAGCAATGTGATGTATGACTTAGGCTTTCTAAAATTCACTCCAGCAGCTATAAAGGGGAAAAAAGACAATAAGGGGCAATAGCAAAGTAGAAACACCATTTAGGAGGTTACTGTAGTTGTCCAGGTGAGCGGGGGATGGTGGAATACCATATAGTCATTAAAGAGAACGAAAAAGGTCTACATTAAAAAAAATTTAACATATATCAAGTATGCAAGGCATCTGCATACCTTTGTACATATATTTTTGCATACATTTGCAGAACCAAATACATAAATTATTAGAAATATCTGTCCGAGAAGTTAGCCTATATAATTTAACCCTATATAGGTTAGCCAAATACTGAAATATAACGTTAAGGAAATGTTTCTAAGCATAAAAGCTAGATGGCCTATGAAATGGACTTTGTACAAAAGAAATGTGGCAACTACTCAGTCAACCATCTTGCCTCAAGGCAAAAACAAACTGCTATAAATAAAAAAAGTGGTAACCAATGTTTTCTAAAGCAAGGAAATAGTACTACAAATTTTTCAATATTTAAGCAAATGTCACTTTACATGTGTCAATAAATTTTCTATTTTAGTAATTTAATAACTATTTCTTCATTCCTAGCTCCTATTCTGTTAAAGTGACAGTATTCTAAGAATCAACTGCATTACAAAGTCACTAGGTTTCTGAGTCACTTACAGCATCTTTATATCTTTTACAGCATAATTTTAGGATACTGCCTTGTGGTATCAGCTAAACACTGAATTCTGCCTTTGACATACTTTAACAAGGTAGCATAATTAAATTCCTAGCAACTTCAGTTCTGAGCCTAGTATGTTATCTCATTGAATCTTCCTAGCAACCTCATAAAGAAGACATCATTCCTCATATCACAAGAAAACTGATTAGCAGTATTAATGTAAGAATAGCTAATAAACCGTTCAGTTAAAATTCAAATCCAGGTCTGCTTGTGGCTCAGTCATGTACCCTTTCAATCTAATCATATTTCCACCCCCCATACCAAAGTTAGAGACAACTGGTAACAGTCAGTGTTGCAGATAAATGAAAGACAGGGGTTAGCCAATTTTATATAAAGGTATCACATGTAATAGTAAAGAACTATATCCTTTCAACAGTGACTACAGCCCAAAAAAACTTTTAATACTTGAAATATACACCATACTTTGACTATATGCCTAGCTAGACAGTACTAGATATGCCAAAGAAATTGAAGATTTTATTTCAAAAAAGTTTCTACATGTTAATCTCTACATTCAGACTACAGGCAGAATTAATGGCAGGTACTCAATGACTTCCAAATTATATCCCATAATGATAACCTTCCTCTACTCGACGTGTTGTAAGAGTTTCCCTTCCCCACTATACCAGCACGCTGACCTTTTAAAGAAAGAAATTTTAAAGAGCCTAATGAAGTGAACTCTGTGAGGGCTGAGACAGTACATTTAGAAACAGCTTCTCGCTTAATATATGCTTTGGCATATATTAAGCTCTTAAATACCTGATGAACTGAATGTGCTAATAAAAAATAAAATGCTCAAAATGTGAACAGGAGAACACACAAAATGTAATATGGAGGCTTGGAGAGCTAACAACAATTATTTATAACCTAAGAGTGTTTTTTTTTTTTTTTTTTTTTTGAGATGGTGTTTCACTCTGTTGCCCAGGCTGGAGTGCAGTGGCGCGATCTTGGCTCACTGCATCCTCCGCCTCCTGGGTTTAAGCAATTCTCTGCCTCAGCCTCCCGAGTAGCTGGGATTACTGCCCACCACCAACCCCAGCTATTTTTTTTTTTTTTTTTTTTTTTTTAATGGAGACAGGGTTTCACCATCTTGGCTAGGCTGATCTTGAACTCCTGCCCTCGTGATCCACCAGCCTCGGCCTCCCAAAGTGCTGGGATTACAGGCGTGAGCCACTGCGCCCAGCCAATTTATAACCTAAGAGATTCTTAAATGCCTTCAGAACCACGAAAGATTCATTTATGAACAACATATAGCTAGAATAAGGTTCAGGAAACTTTTTCTGTAAAGCATCAGAAAGTAAATATTTTAGGTTTTGTGGGCCATAAACTCTTTGTCACAACTACTCAACTCTGCTATTGCAGTGAAAACAGCCAGAGAATATGCACACTTACATAAGCATGGATGGCTGTGTTCCATTAAAACTTCATTCACAGAAACTGAAATTTGAATTTCATATAATTTTCACGTCACAAAATAATTATCCTTTTGATTTTTTTTTTTAGCTATCCAAAACGATTCTTAGTTCATAGGCCATAAAAAAACAGATGGTGGGCAGTAGTTTGCCAACCCCTCATTTATTTATTACATACTTTCACTGAGAACAAAGGCAGGTGTATTTTTACATTTGAATTAAGCACATTAAGCCTAAATGTGAAGACCTGTAATAGAAAGGGTTTTTAAGTGGGTTAATATGTTACTAAGAGAAATCACAAAGTGTTCCCCCCCGTAAGTATCTTCAAAACAAGAAGCTGGACCAAATCACACATGAAAGCTATAACAAGACAATTTATTTGGGAAAAACATTTCAGGCCATTAAAAGCAGTATGTGCTAAACCAGAATTCAGCCACAACATATGCATGATTTTTAAAATCTTTTTTTTTTTTTAACTATAAAGACCTACAGGCTTGAAGGTCCCCTTAAACTGGCAATCAGATCCTCCCAATGGTTCTTAACCAAGGGTGTTAATCAGACTAACCTGGAACATCTAAAAATACAGATGGCCAAGAGGTTCTCTATCAGAGGGGCTGGGGAAGGGCCCTGGCATTGTATTTTTAATTTACATGTCACAGGTCGCTGATGCTGCTCCCCATAGCTAAGGACCATAGCTAAAGTCAAACCATATGATCCAAACTTCATGTGTGCCATCAGGAAATGAACCCAAGTTAAAGAAGAAAAAACCCTGACTGGACAGAGTAACCACTAGCGTAAGCTCCTTGAGAAGCATCTATTTGTTAAGACAACACAGATTCTTAAACTTTTGAAACCTTCTGTCCCCCACCATACATGTCAAGTTTATGTTATTCTTCCAAACAGAAAGACATTTTGCTGCCTTTGACAGCCTTACTCTAGTAATAAGCCTCATAATTATGAGGCTCTCTTACATTTAGGAAAAGAAGATTACAGAAAGAGTAAGCTAGGAAGCTTCTATTATTAAAATGTGACTGCTTTTCGTTATTTCAATACAGAGCTTTAAGGAATATTCCCTCATCTTTGTTCTGAGTCCAAAAACACACCAATAAATGAGTCATAATCTCCAACTATACATGAATGCTCCAGTAGTATATATTTTTTTGTTTTCTCAATTTACGAGATTGTGATATTAATCAAAAGGGATATTTCTGTTCCATAAGAAATCTTTTCCACAACTCCTTTTAGTTTCAGGTCATAGCAATACCAATAGCATAAATACAATGTACAGACTTTCATTCAACAAATATTTATGCATCAGCTACATGCCAGGATCTGTAATAGATTCTGGGTGTGCAGTAGTGATTACTGCAGAATGCAGACATGGTCCCTGCATTCTTGAGAGGGAGACAGCAACCAAATAAACAATTACAAAAAAGTATGTAACTAATTAACAAGTGGGAGAAGGGAGTGGGATTACACAGCAGAAGTGGAAGGAAGGGCCCACTTAGAGTGGTCAAAGGCTTCTTGAAGGTAACATGTAAGCTGAGACCTGAAGAAGGATGCAAAAGGGCCAGCATGTAAGGAACAGAGAATAAACATCCCAGAAATAGAAAATAACACACAAAAACCTAAAGTCATTAAAGAACATGATCATCTTTCAAGAACTAACCCTTGAGATCAGAGTAGTTTGATTATAGAGGAAAAGGGTGAGTGCAATGAAACGTTAAAAATAGCCAGATCACGTAGAGCTCTCTAGCCTTTGGTAAGAAAAGTGTTTTCTGTTCTACGTGACACTGAAAGTCATGAAAGGTTTTAAGCAGGTGAATAACACAATCTTATTTGAGTTTTTAAAATCTCGTGCTGACTAAAATTCAAAAAACTAGAAGAGAACAGGAAAGAAGGGAAACCTGTAAGGCAGCTATAGCAATATTCCAGCTGATAGATGGTGGTGGCACTAGGGACAAGTAGTAGTTAGACTAAAGAAATATTTAGGAGGTAGAAACAACAGGCGCTGTTGATGTGATGAACTGGATATAGTAGATGAGAAAAATTAAATAACAGGAATAAAGATGACTCCTACCTATCTGGCTTGCACAATTAGATTGTGATACTAAATGTAGTGCCATGTAAGAAAAACAGGAGTTTCTAAAACTGTACTCTCCAACATAATTGCCACTAGTCACACAGCCACATTTCAAATGTTTAATAGGCATGGGTAGCTGGTTGCTACCAACTGAACAGCACAGATACTGAACATTTCCACTGTCTCAGAAAGTGTGGATTACTGGACAGTGCTGTGCTAGAGGTAAGAAATGTGCCAAAGGCAGGGGTCAAGACTAAAATTATAAAGTATCCATTTGGCCAACATGTAGGTCCAGTGGTGAAGTCAGCAAGAGCAAGTTCAATGGAATTGTATTAATAATAGTAATATAATGGAATAGTATATCACAAACTGGGATGAGAGTGATAAGTGGAACCATATACATAGGACATCTTTCAGGCCGTGAAAGGGAGAAGAAAAATAAGTGGAGGGGAAAAAAAAGGTTGGGTGATTCCAGAATATTCATTCAACAAAACTTTATTGAACACCTGTAAGTTCCAGATATCTGGCTGTCCCGCTATCAGGGATACAAAAACAGGGCAAGGACCCTCAAAGGGGTAAAAATAAGTAGCCAACTTTCAGATTATGATTAGATACCCCAAATAAATGAAAATCATATGACCAAGTGCAACTGAGTCAACAAGGAAGATCTCAATGGGCAAAACATCTGACATCAGCCATGAAGGCTTCATCAGTTTGAGGAAAAACAAAAAGGCTGAAGAGTCAGAGGAGAAAAGTAACAGGTGATGAAGGATATGGTCTGACTATACAGGAGCTTGAGCTTTTACTGAATGAAATGGTAAGCCCTGTAAGTTTCTGAACAAAAAAGTTACACGATTTATTGTTATAAAAAGGGTTACTCTGGCTACCATGTTGAAAACACATTTAAGGGGGAAAACGGTGTAAGCAGGGACACCAGTTAGAAGGCCTTTCCAATAATATAGGCAAAAGCCATCCATAATAGCAAAGATACAATCAACCCAAATGCCCATGAACGGTAGACTGGATCAAGAAAATGTGGTACCTATACACCATGGAATATGATGCAGCCTATAAAAAAGAACAAAATCATGTCCTTTGTAGCAATGTGGATGCAGCTGGAGACTATTTATTGTAAGCAAATTAACACAGAAACAAAATCAAATGCCACATGTTCTCACAAGAATGAGCTAAACATTTGGTACACATGGACATAAAGATACAATAGACAGAGACAAGAACAGGGAGGGAAGGAGGAGTAATGTTAGAACGTTATCTATTGAGTACTATGCTCACTACCTGGGTGACTGGTTCAACTGTATCCCAAACTTCAGCATCATACGATATACTCTTTCTAACAAACCTGCACATGTACACCCTGAATCTAAAATAAAAGCTGAAAAATAATAATACAGGCAAAAGATGGCATGGCATGGCATGGCTTCAGTGAGAAATGATTAATATTTTTGGATATGAAGACATGCATCACATAAGGACATTTCAGTGGATGATGAACTGCACATACAACAGTGGTCTCATAAGATTATAATGGAGCTGAAAAATTCCTATCACCTAGTGATGTTGTAGCCATCGTTAACGTCGCAGCACAATGTTCTACTCATGGTGTTTGTGGTGATGCTGGTGTAAACGAAACCACAGTAGGTTTACTGTGCTTCAGTTGTATAAAAGTACAGTGGGCCAGACATGGTGGCTCTTACCTGTAATCCTCGCACTTTGTGAGGCCAAAGTGGGAGGATTACTTGATGCCAGGAATTCAAGGCCAGCCCTGGCAACAGAGTGAGACCCTGTCTCTACAAAAAATTTTTTTTAATTAGCCAGGCATGGTGGGGTGCCTGGTGTAGTCCCAGCTACTTGGGAGGCTGAGGTAGGAGGATCACTTGAGCCCAGGAGTCTGAGGTTACAGTGAGCTATCCTCGCACCACTGCACTCCAGCCTGGGTGACAGAGTGAGATGCCATCTCAAAAAAAAAAAGTATAGCATATACAGTTATGTCCAGTACATGACACTTGATAATGATAATGATTGTTACAGGTTTATGTACTTACTATACTTTTTATCATTAGAGTGTACTCCTTCTGTTACTTCTTAAAAAAAAAAAGTTAACTATAAAACAGCCACAGGTAGGTCCTTCAAGAGGTATTCCAGAAGGCACTGTTATCACAGGAGGTGGCAGCTCCATTTATGTTTACTGCCTCTGAAGACATTCCAGAAGGACAAGATGTGGAGATGGAAATACAGTGATACTGATGATCCTGACCCTCTGTAGGCCTAGGCTAATGTGTTCATGTCTTAGTTTTTTGTTTGTTTTTTTTTGAGACGGAGTTTCCGCTCTGTCGCCCAGACTGGAGTGCAGTGGCGCTATCTCGGCTCACTGCAAACTCCGCCTCCTGGGTTCACGCCATTCTCCTGCCTCAGCCTCCCAAGTAGCTCGGACTACAGGTGCCCGCCACCACGCCCGGCTAATTTTTTGTATTTTTAGTAGAGACGGGGTTTCACCATGTTAGCCAGGATGGTCTCTTATCTCCTGACCTCGTGATCCGCCTGCCTCAGCCTCCCAAAGTGCTGGGATTACAGGCGTGAGCCACCGCGCCTGGCCCATGTCTTAGTTTTTCAACAAAAAAGCTAAAAGGTAAAAAGTAATTTTAAAAATATAAAAAAGCTTATAAAGATATAAAGAAAATTTTTGTACAGCTGTACAATGTATGTTTTAAGCTACGTGTTATTACAAGAGTGAAAACGTTTAAAAAATTAAGAATTCATAAAGTAAAAAAGTGACAGTAATTTAAGGTTTATTATAGAAAAAAGTCTTTTAAAACCTTACAAAAATGTAGTGTAGCCCAAGTGTACAGTGTTTATAAAGTCTACAGTAGTGTACAGTGATGTCCCACATCTTTCACGTTCCCTCAATCGTCACTCGCTGACTCACCCAGAGCAACATATCCTGCAAGCTCCATTCATCACAACTGCCTTATACAGTTGTACCATTTTTTATTTTTGATACCATATTTTTTACTGTACTTTTTCTATGTTTCAATACGTTTAGATAAAAATACCTACCTTTATGTTACAATTACCTACAGTATTCATCATAGTAATTGGCCACACCATATAGCCTAGATGTGTAGTAGGCTATACCATCTAGGTTTGTCTATGTATACTCTGATGTTCACACAACCATGATTATCTCCTAATGACGCATTTCTGAATGTATCCCCATCATAAAATGACACGTGACTTTATTCTGAAGGGAGAACAGACAATTTTTTGCAGAGAGAATTCAGATACGTGGTATGAGAGAAAGATGAGTCAAGAACTGCAAGCTTTTAAGCTAGGTAACTGGAAAGACAGAATTGCATTTCGGAAAAGACTAAGATGCAGCTTTGGGGAAAACCGGGAGGTCAGTTTAGTTTGAGAAGCTTCTTAGACATCCAAAATGCTGACCAAAAAATAGCTGGATACCAGTTTAAGGATACCAATTTGGAAATCGTTAGCAAACAGATGTAAATACCATCTGTATAAAGCTATGATACTGGAGTAAATATGCACAACAAAAAAAGATTCAAGGACTAAACCTTCAGCCACTCCAACAGAGGTCAGAAAGATAACAGAAAAAACAAAGAAGGAAATGCTAGTGAAGTAAGAGGAAAAGCTGCTAACAGACATGGTGGCCTGGAAACCAATGAAAAGGCATTTCAAGCAACTGTAGCAATGGTGCCAAATACTACTAACAGATTAAGTGAGATGACAACTACAAATTTATAACGTGGTGGTCACTGGCAGGGGTTCAAAAGAAAACGGGAGTACATAAAGCAATTTTTCAAGGTTATTTTGCGGGAAAGAGAAGCAGAGACTGAGGTGGTGAGTGGAAGGAGAGACGGAGAAAAAATTTTTTTTGTAATGGGATAATACCATGTTTGCTCATGGAAAGAGCCAGTAGAGACAAGAAAAGAGAGATACCACAGTAATATTCTTGAGAGCAAGAGGGGATGGAATCTGCTGTACAAATGAACTGAGTGGCCTTATCTTGGAAGGCTACAGTTCATCCAGTGACAGAGGAGAAGATAAAGGACATGGTCATAGATACAAGAGATCACTGGGCATGAAGCCAGGGAGGGACAAGATTGTTAAACGTGTATACGAGAAAGTGATTATAATTCAGTATGAAACTTCAGCTGTATAGAAGTGAGGGTGAGGAACAGGGAAAAGCTTGGATAGATAAACTGTAGGTCCCAATGGGATTGATGGGCTGTTGGAACTGACGTATTTACTAGAGGAATTAGAAAGTGGGATGCTTGAAATGAGATTGGGGGAAGAGAGCAGAGTTACAGATAAAAGACAAAATATTCTAGGATATGACAATGGGAATATGTAGTTGAGTTAGGGTAGAAAATAAGATCACTGGAGAAGAAATCAAGGAACTAAGAGACCAGGATATTGGAAGCATCTTCTACATCAAAATTTGTACCAGACTGTAAATCAACATATTGCGTCCTTCATCAAAATCTTGCTACAAAAAAAGTAAGCTAAACAGTAAACTTAGTGACACAGGTGACTTATATTCTGGCATAACTCCTTATCTTAATTCATACAGGTAACAGTTACCAGACCACATCTTCACTAGTATTGCTCTACATAGATACTGATGTCACCAAGAATTATGACAGAAATAAGAGACAGTGACAATGAGCCAAGAGCTAATGAAGTGAACAAAGAAGGATGTGAATGACCCAGGAAGGTTTGCAGGTGCTTGAAATAAAGACAGGCAGTGGGTGGTATAATTTGATCACATGAAAGTCAAAGCTTGAAGTTTTGGAAAATAAAGGTCAAGAAGTGACAATAAGGAACAAAAGCAGACATTTAGTCCACACACCTCCTAGTTCAGTGTTATAAGGTGTGCAAGAAGGGAAAAATTCACCACTTGAGAGAGCTGCAAGGGAAGTAGCATTCTTGGGGAGAAGGCTAGGTTACAGCTGGAATAAGAAAGAAAGGAACATTCACAAGATTGAGAATATAAAGGATTTTCTAACGACTGAGTTCCAGAAGTTACAATGAATGGATTTCAGATGATGAAAGGTGGGAGATGGGGACCAAAAAAAGCAACAGGATTAGAGTCTGGGGGATAAGAGTTAAAACAGAAGAGCCAGTGTAACTAAAGTAACAATGTCCTTGAAAAGGCATGCCTCAGGACTGGCCTCTGCCCAGAATGCAGTACTACTTCCTTCATTGTAAAGACAGACCATTGATGAAATCTGATGGTAACAAGGTGAAGGGGTTCCTACTTAGCTCCTGATGGGGGAGAGGAGAGGGGAAGTTCAGGAGAAAAGGGAAGGTATTAAACAGCCCTTCTGTCTTAGATCTTTTCAGACAAATGTAATAGAATCTGCAGCATAATGGCAATAAGGAAAAACCTGAGGCCCTTTAGCATATAATGAGGGCGCTCTTCAAGCATGAGAAGTATTCTTCTAAAAAATCAAATTTTAATTATTTCCCAGCACCCACTTATCAGCAACACCATTTTAACCATAATTAATTACTCTGCCTCAACGGTGACCCCTGATCTTCTGGCATTCCTAGATATCTCATCTGTAAACTTTCTAGCCTCTTCTTATTCTATGGGGAACAGAATGCTGACACTCTGAATCAGGACCCAGGAAAAACGACAGCACAATTAAGCAGGAAACAGTGATCAACGGGGGACAACTACGATATACAAAGTAACAAGATAGTTGGGCTTGAAAACTAAACAATAAAATTCAGCAAAATGCCAGAAAATTGATATACTAAATTTATAATCTATTTAAAGAGCGGTATGTCAGTGTATTACGTTTCCTAAATAGCATTCAGTTTGTAACTTTTGTATCTAAATGAACTATAAAGTATAAGCGAAGTTTGAGGACATTCTTTCAATGGCTCAGAAAGGAATTTAAGGGTCTACCCCAGCACTTTCCTACACAGGGGAATGAACTCCACTTGGAAGCCTCCAAAGTTACTTGGATTGAAAAATATTTCCAAGAATCCCTTGTTCCTCCCTTATACATGTGGCATTCATCTAGTATATGCAAAACTTCAAAGACACTCACTCCCTACACCCTTACCCCAAAACCACTTAATTATACTTAAAAAAGAGAGAGAGGGAGTACAGTTCCTAATCCCTATTACAGCTGTTCAGTTTACTTCACAGTAAAGGAAAATTAGGAGCAGTTTGCAACAACTATCCCCCAGTGTAGCAAACTACTATCACCACTTAAGATCATCTTCAAATTGCACTCCCAAGAAATTTTGCAGTAAATTTAACTTCTTACACATTTTTATATGGACATCCAATAAGGTATGCTATATATATGCACATATATATGCATATATCTATTTCTGCTATTACAAAACCCTGTTAGTAAGAGAAGCTTATCACACTAAACCTAACACTTCAGCTTTTTTGTACGTCTTTGGCTTCCAACTCAGCTACCAGCATTTAAGATTTATTAATCATAAGGTTTATATGCCATGTAGACTGATTAACTTGAACTAACTTAAAGTAGGTTAAAAATACCCCCCAAGTTTTAAACGGTTTAACATATCTGTTACAAGTCAGTTAAAAAGAATTAGTCCAGCAACATGTGAATTACTAAAACAGAAGTAAAACCGTGGGGATATTAGTGAAAAAATAAAAATATGGAAATAAATAGGGGAGAAAATGGAAGTGTTATGAAGCAGTTTCACCCCAGCATCATTCAGATGTTCACACTCTTCAAACCATCATAAAGAGGGGGTGGAAAAGCCTTTTCAACAAGTTCAAAAGATACCAGAGGTAGGAAACTTCTGGGATATTACACAAGAAACTTTACAGTGGTTCCACGAAGTCTCATGGAGATTGTGGGATAGACTTGGGGTGAGACGCCTTTAGGATTAATGTTTCATGAATGGTTCACTGATCTGCTTGTATTTTACACCATCGTATCGTAATAAAAATAATTGCAGACTACAGCATTATTTTCAGATGATGCTTTTTAAACCAACACCGGCCTATGATTTACATTTTCACTCCAGTCACTTAAACACGGAGTTTGAAGACTAAACACCCCACTTTTCTTTCTTGAGATGGAGTCTCGCTCTGTTGCCCCAGCTGGAGTGCAGTGGCGTGATCTCAGCTCACTGCAACCTCCGCTTCCCAGGTTCAAGCAATTCTCATGCTTCAGACTTCCAAGCAGCTGGGATCACAGGCACCTGCCACCATGCCTGGCTAATTTTTGTATTCACCACGTCGGCCAGGCTAGTCTCGAACTCCTGACCTCAGGTGATCCACCCTCCCCAGCCTCCCAAAGTGCTGGTACTACAGGCACCAGGCCACCCCACTTTTCAAAATCTGGAAATACCTTGTTAGCAGCAAAAGATTTAACCAAAATCGATTTAACTGCCTACATAAACTTAAATTGGCCAAAAAGCCATTTGCCATTAATTTAAGTAAAACGTTTATATTCAATTAATTTTTAATTACCTAAACTGTTTTTAAGTTTTGGATCTAGTCTAACAGTAATAGTTTAGCTTAGAAATGCAAACTTCTGGTAAAAAGGACATGATTTAAAGACCAGTAAAATTGGGGGCTGACTTGAGTTGTATACACAGAATTTGTCCAGCATTTGACGTCCCTTCAGATTAAGTTTTGAGACCTCTTAAAAATACACTTAAAGAACTCTATTTAAGATGGTTGAGTAATAAGAAAGTTACTTCTCCCCCTTTTCCTTGAACCTGGCCATCTTAATTCCTAACTTTAAAAATGTGGGTTTCCCAGTCTTCACAAATAAGTTGATAATATAAATCTTGCTTTTAAGCTCCTAATCTATAATCAATTGACACAAGGCATTTCCCAAGTGCCTAAATAAATACAAACCTAATAATTTAACAATGTTATCTGCTAAATTATGTACATTCACAGAACCAGTCATTTCACAGAATCATTATGAAAACACTGTACTTCAAATGGTACTACTGCAGAGGGACAAACTGGCAGTATTCAGCAAATAAGTGTATTTAATTTGTGCTGAATACAGCATCTTAAAATATGAATTTTGTTCACCAACACTTGCAAATCAAGAGATGTACATTGATCTGGATTTCCCACTTAGGGGAAAGAAATCAGATGATCTGGCAACATAAACTATATTCCCACACAGTGGCTGGAGCTGCTTATGACTGGCTGCTTCATGTGCACTTCAATTTTTAATAGTCTGCATGGTCCCATTTACCCAATACCTAACTGGCCCTGGAGACATTTGAGTAGCCATTCCCACTACAATGTAGTAAGACCAATCCTATATAAGGCTTCTGAAAGCGATCTTATTCTTAGTAACATATCTTGAACATCAAATTGTAGTATGCTACATTAATGAAGGCAAGTAGCCCATTTCAAGAGACAAATTAAGTCCCCGGTAGCAATTTTTTTCAGTAAGTTGTATGTACATAATTTTTCAAAGAACTTTTAAGCCTACTCTCATTTCTCAGAAAACTCTTGAAAAATCAGAACAGAAGCTTATAGACAGTAAATGCTGTAAATACTAAGCACCAACTTGGAAATCACTGATTTACAAGTATGGTCCTTGATGGAGGAATATTTAATCCATCCTGAAATAATCATTCACATAAAGCACTTGAGGCATTCTTGCCTTTAAAAAAAAAAAAACCCTAACTATAGCAATACATTTCTTAAGTAGTAAAAAATCATATACCAATGTTTCCACAAAATTACACTGAATTCCACAGGCAAAGTAAAGCAATCACTGGTAAGTGTCATTTTCCGTCCCTACGCTAACGTTTTCATTCCAGCAACATATTCTGAAAAACAAATTTTTAAAAATCTAAACCCTGAAAAATTTCCATATGCTGACCGTTTAACTTCCAAAAACTAATTTAGAATAAGCTTCATTCCTGTTGCTAATTAGATTCTGATTTGAAACATGGATTTTCAGAAAATAATATTACTAACAGAAAAACCATGAACATAGGAGCCTAGAGAAAGCTTTTTAAGGAAAAATTCAAAGGGCAAAACACAGTTCATCATGGCCCACCACTATGTACAAATGAGACCAACCCTATGGTCACTAAGGGCATTATATTTTAGGTCACATACACTGGCTCAATTACCTTTATTTCTATCTATTTCCTAATATAATCAAGTTGAGCACTTATGTTTTACTCTGTGAATGATTTTAGACAAATTGACAATTCACATTTTCATTAATTTTTTTCTGAGAATTTCAGTTGCTGTAATTCATCAATATAACTGAATATTATGATCTTTTACCTCCTAAAGTACTATACTGAGATTCTGGTTTATCATTATGATATATTTAAGCAGAACTGCCTACTCAAAGTGACCTTAAAAAACCTCCCGACTTTTCTACTGCAAATATTGGCTGAGAAGACATTTTCTCAAGCCTGTATTTTAATTAGCAGTAATGATATTAATTATTTTAGAAATCAAAGGTTTCTTAGTTGATTCTCCCTCATCAGAACTATTCCTAAATATATCCCACATAAACTTGTTTGGAATTAAAAAAAAAAAAATCACAAGCATTATACTATATCCACTGGAGGGCACTCAACATGACCCAAGCATGCAATGAAAACATGCTCCAACACTACTCACTCTGCTGCTTCAGGCTTGAGGGAAACTTGGAGAGTGGGGAATGTCTCTTAACAGAAGAGATGCCCATGAGTTAAAAAAAAAAAAAAAAAAAAGTGGCTAAACCCTAAAAATGGGTTCCTAATGTGATTGACTTTATCTTTCAAGAGCTTATTTTTCCTTAGGAAGGAAGCAAATTATATGCATACTTCAAGGACAGCAGGGTTCAGGCCTCAACAGATGAGCCTAGGTTTCAAACTGAGTCAAGCTCAGTCTTGCATGAAACACAAAAGCAGCATTCTTAAGTAAACAGAGGAAATAAAGAACTTTCCCCTGAGTTTAAGTGATGAAAAACTATAGGAGTTAACTCCTATACTCATTTAGATCAACACAAATCATATTATTTTCCTTTTGTGAAACCTGAGTATTTATTTTAACCGACTGGTCCACTTACCTATCACAATCACAACTGCAATATTACATAAATAGTCTGTTAGAGAAGGACAACTGAATCTGCAAATCAGTATCTTCTCAATGAGAGTACAAGGAGGCAATGGCTACATACGATGGACAAACCAGAAGCCGCTCCTGGGCTATGTTTACTATTTACTTTTATGGTATAAAAATGTTCTCAGTCAAGCAGTTTCAACAATAGATACCACAGTTCCAATAAAAAGAGGGCTACAAGAAAACTAAGTTAACACATATTTTCAAAAACAATGTCACAAATCAACATGACACACTACAAAAGAGTTGCAAATACCTTTTGTTAGAAGTTTGTCCAGTTCTAAAAGCCTTCATCCTTTGTGCCCCGGGTTGGCAGTCAAGCATGCTTCCGACTAAGCTCAAAGTACAAACTTAAAACTTACCACCTACTCATCTACAATTATTGATTATCAGAAGCTAGGAAACCACAAGAGAAATAAAAATAATCTTGTAACAGGACAGATGTATTATTTCATTTCAATAACACTGAAGTTTCATTTGGCTAAATATACTTCTATAGTCTATTGCAGGAGATTTAATTTCACTGCTACTTATAACTACAAAATAATTATATTCAAACTTTTAATTCTCTACATCCCTAGTTTCAACAATACTTAGCATGCGCCTCTCCCCACCTCACCCTATAACAAAAACGAGTATCTGCAATAGTTTTGCTAACACATTTCAAAATACCCTTGGAGAAACTTGCCTCCTCGTTTTCTATCTTGGTGGTGGTGTTATTAAAACAAGCATACAGACCCTCATTTATGCCAATTTTTATTCCAGTCATTAACAGGAACAGTAAGCTCAGTCTGATAAATTTTAATACTGGAAATACACTTTTCTATATCATGTTGGTAAAAGAAATAATCAGATAACAGTTTAAAAAACCCCTCTTCCATACTCTGAAACCTGAACACTGTTAAATGCTTCATTTTTTTTTAATTAGCCACCTTATTTTTTTTTAAGTTGGTTTTTCCTGAAAACTTTTAAATGACTGTTCTGGTCTGTGGGAGACTCAGGACTCCACAGGACTCTAAAGTTACATGCTATACTAAGCTTTCTAGCACAGGTTTTTTATTTTTCCCCACCCCCAGGACTTCAAACTTGAATAGTCTCAGCATTCCTTTAATCCTACAGAATAGACTTCTGAAAGTTTTTCAAGTTACTGTTGCAATAATCTCAGGGCCTTGTCCTTGTACACGGCCTTCAGAACAAAGGTTAGGTCAAAGTAATGAATATTGGGCGCAAATTAACCAAATTTTGTCTGGTGTGAAAGGACATCCTCAAACCTTTAAGGGTACTTTTTTTTTAATCAGAGATTTTTCAAAGATTTAAATATAAAAGTAAAATAAATTCCGCACAGCCTTAGTTCAAACGAAAAGCCTCCAAAGTAGAAATTTATGTCAATAATTTAAGCAGAGAATAAACCAGCAGTATAACATAAATAACACTTGAGACTATATTTACTATTTCTTAGGATGAATACAAGTCAACACGAAGACATCTGAAGGTATTGAATGTTCGTTCACCAAGTGACAAATACTGAAATGGCTTCCTAAATTCCAGACAAACTACAACTTAGCGATCTGAAAAACATTAGCCTAGACTTTATGAAAGGAAATGCTGCCGTCTCTTCAAGTTGATGTCTAGCCTAAGCCACCATTATTCATGATACAAAGCTCTCATTTCACTAAAACCACTCCTCGATTTCCTTTTGCCGACCTCTGCATACCAGCAGCCTAGTCTTTCTTCATTCACCACTCACAAACTCGAGGGGTGGGGGGAAGACCACAGATGTCTGGAAGATACAAAGTAGGAGACAACGCTCCCTCCAAAAGGGAAGAGAACGAAGGCAACAACTACATACACCCAACTGCCAAAGCTTTCAAGCTTGGCAGATTCAGAAGCAGGCTATAGGAACTTAACTTCGAAAAGTCTCGGTTCAAAGTCCTCTCTCCAGACAAAACACTGAAAGAAGTTGCAATGCTTGAATTCCATTTGGCCAGCTTTGGAGCGAAGGAAAAATTCACTCCGCTGAAAAGAAAACGTGCTCTATAATTCAATTTTAGCTGCCATCAAACTATTTGAATAAATTTAAATTATTTCTACGAACAAAATTCTCGAAGCGGTCTGAGTCAGAGGCTGAATCCTGCAGTTCACTTGGTAAGAAACAGTAAGCCATCACCTTCGCCTTCCTCCACCCCCTTATTTCACCAGGGTCTCATACCCACTACCATAAATCCATAAGACTCCCAGTACATTATCCACTGCTTTCACTCACCTGCATAGTACGCTAAAATACAGGTGCAAGACATGGATTTTTTATGTGCTCACCCTACTGACGCATCGCACCCGCTGCACTTAGAGTTTAGTTGCTCTAAGGTTTAAAGTTGCTTCGATTCAAACTCACATAGCCAGGGCATTAAAAAAAATAATAACACTTCTATTCTTAAGAATGAAAGAGGAAATCTTAAGAGAAAGTCCACTGGTCCGATCCCCAGGACTGATGGGACTTAGGGTGGCGTCTCTGCCTCAGCGCCCGAACCCCAACTCGCCGCAAGAGCTGAGAAGGCGGAGCCCCCCGTCCCCACCCCGCCCCCCACCCAGGGCCCGGCGCATCCCGAGGCACCGGGTCCCTCCCCCAAACTCGGCCAAGGCCAGAGCCCCGGACGGAAACCACAGACCCCCACCCCCACCCCCACCCCGCCTGCCATCCGGGCTCCTGTACGCGCCCCCGCGGCGCCCCCTCCCCGCAAGCGATGCCCCCAGGGCCCCAGAGAGGCAGCGCGACCGGAACCCGGGCCCGGCCGCCGCCCTCCGCGCCCCGGGCGCGGCCCACCCTCACCGTCCCCCACCTGAGCTCCCCGCTCCCAACCCCAGGCCTCCCGGCTGCGCCCAGCCCGCCGCCCGGACCGCGCGCCTGCTACGAAGTTTGGCTCCGAGAGGAAGCGGGAGCAGCCCCGGAAGGATAAGGAAAGGAGCGCCCAAGCACCTCAGGGGAACAGGCTCCTCCCGCCGCGGGAGTCCGACCGTCCTCGACCTGCGGTGGCGGCTCGGCGGGGACTGAAGCTGCTCCTCAGACCTTCCTCCGTCTCCGCCTCCCCTCGCTCTCCGCTCCCGGGGCCGGGCCAACGCTGCTGCCACAGACCGAGAGGCTTAAAATGGCGCCGCACAAGGAGCTCTTATAAGTCGCGCAGAAGCCGCTGTATCCTGCCGCCACCGGCGCAGCGCGGAGCGTTCCGCCGCGCGAGGACAAGGGGCGGGGCGCGAGGGGGCGGTGGAAAGTAGTCCCCGCGCCGCCCAGCAGTCTGCTGCCGTCTGAGCGCCCCGGGCCGGGGTGGGGTGCCTGGGCACCCCACGGACGCTCCCCGGGGTGACGGCTGGCGGCTGCCCGCTGCGCGGCCTGAGGGCAGCCCGTGAGGGCGCTGTGGTCTGCATCGGGGAGGCCGGGCCCCCGCGGCCTGGGTTGGGGAAGGTGGCCCTGGTATCCTCCCCTGTCCCAAGCCCGACGCCCCCGCCCCGCGCGTTTCCCGAACCGGGAGAGCAGCTGCAGGACTCGGCGCGCCTTTCCCGCGGCCTGCGGAAGGTGGCATCTCGGCCCCGGCCTTCGAGTACCGCTCGGGGCGGCCGGGACAGGTCCTGGGAGGGCGGAAGTTCGGGGCCAGGGCGGCGGCAGGGGCTCGGGTTCAGCGCCCGCCCGTCTTGGGGCGCTCCTGGCCCCGCAGCTGCCCCGTCGCTGGTCTGCGGGTTCCCGGCCGGGCGCGGGTTAGGGGGCCTCGCCGACCTTGTGGTCTGTGCCGCACACTCCCTGCTGGACCTGGGTCGCAGCCCAGTCTCACAGCACCCCCAAAGCCCCCCACTGTCCGGATGGTGGATCCCACCTCTCAGCAGGCTGTTCAGCTTGAATTTCGACCTGAATCACCGGGCCGAGCCGCCTTCTGTCCCCACTCACGAAGGCTGTGAACTCTCCGTAGAACGGGCGCCAAGCCCGCAATTCAACAAGTCCTTAGGAGTACCTACTGTGAACAAATAACTAATGGAAATGGATTAGCTCCAGAGCGCTGTCAATTAGGTTAATTCTTATAGATTCCATTTTTATCTGGTTCCACTTGTCACTAGGTATCAATAGATTTATTTGTGGGGATTTTTCTTTGGAGAAGAAGATTTTTACGGTATTACTTATTTGTGAAATCCAAGTATGTTTATAGAGAAAGCTATCGATTAAGCAGCCTCCAATTTTTTAACTAATTTTCTATTTAAAAACGTTTGTAATTCATTTCAATAGACTGAAAAATGTTTCCCATTCTAATGCAGCAAAATTGACGTTTGTCGAAGCTGCAACAAGTATGATCGATTCAGTTTCTCTAGGCTATTGTTTGTGCTTATTTTTCCTCCAAAACATTGGAGAGAGTACAAAAAGCAGCAGTGAAAGTTACCTCTGTGCTTTTATCCCAGGACTACAATTAATACAAGCAAACAATAGGTCTTAACACATAGATGCAGGCGGAAAACCCACTTATTCATTCACTCATGGAGGTAGGATATGTAGTTTAAGGCACAGCTCATGTTTCAGGGCCAGCGTATTCTTTAAATAACTTTTATTTTTGTCTTAAAGATATTTTACTATATAAGTGGTAATGCCAACTGCCGTCTGTCACCATAGCACATGTGGGCCACTGCAGTGGAAAAAGTCTACACACTAAGATGATGTTCAGTGAGATCCATTGTCTAGAAAGACCTTCTCATTTGTATCTTTCCTACTAATTCTGTAGAATCTAAGTGTAGCTATTGGTTGTGGTCACAATTCAAAAAGATTGAACCGAAAAAGGTATTTCATCAAAACCGTGTTTCTAATATAAACTCAAAAGTATAAATGGCGTTTTCAGGTACTGATTCCTAATTTTAATTGTCATTTGCAGAATTAAGGAATATGCAATTGATTAAAGTCATACATTGAAAATCAGACGACAGATTAACCACTTTTACAGGGCTTTTTTTAAAAAAACATGTTTGCTTTTTCTATGTGCAGGTTTTTTGTTTTTGAATAAGGCACTCTTGAAATTGGTTAAGAAATATCTGCACCATTAGAAGATCTAAAGGATAAAAACGTTTCTATATTTGTAT
This sequence comes from Homo sapiens, assembly GCF_000001405.40. Taxonomy (NCBI): domain Eukaryota; kingdom Metazoa; phylum Chordata; class Mammalia; order Primates; family Hominidae; genus Homo; species Homo sapiens. Next base: position 41,197,538 of record NC_000003.12, on the reverse strand, counting down.
TTCTCTGTTCCATTACCAAAATAATGGAATCATTTTTCTATAATTTAAATACTTTAAATTTAGAATTATGATTTTTAATCCCTACTGACACCGTAAACAAATACATTTTATTAAAGAAAATGTAAAATTTGCAACAATGCAGCATGCTGTTTTTCCCATCATATTAAGTGTACTGAAGAATTACTGGTTGACTAGCATTAAACCAAGTTAGTTAAATTTAACATTGCTCCTAATTTTTATTTGCATGTTTCATAAAGCAGAAATTGTTCTAGTTGTCTCACCAAAAATAAGAGATGAATAACTTCTGTGAAATGAAGACAAACACTATCATTAAATCAAAGAAAAATACATTATCAAGATACATGAGTTTGGTAAAATAAGTAATTTTGTTAAATAATTTTTTTGAATTGACCTTGGACAATACATTTCATAAAAACAGTTGGTTATCTGTTTTATGTCTTTTCCTTCTAGAGCCAGTCACCCCGGGTTTGACATAAATTAATTTTATAAAATGGCGACAGACAAGTGGTTCTAATTTTTAGGCTGTGTTCTTAGAAACAAAAGTGTCTCCAGCTAGTTTAAAAGAGAAGATATTTCTTTTCACGCTATCAGGCCACTGGCATATAAAGCAGTGGTAGACTGAACCTGAATGTAAGGCATCCCTTCGCTAAAACAGAGGCTTTTGATTACCTTTAAGAGAGGAAAAAAAAAAAAAAAAGCCAAGATTATTTCACACTTCAGACAGAAATATGAATCACAGAAATATGCCAGTATTGTAAAGAAGGTTCGTTCACTTTTAGGATACTTAACTCTATCAAATCCATTAATTAAACATTTATTGAGCATCTAAGACAATGAGCTTCCCTTAGAGAGAGGGAAACGGATGACTGGCTCCATTTGATTAAGTCTCTTAAATTAATGTAAAATTGTAACTGTTAATCCACCCTATTTAAAAAGAAGCAGAAACGGTAGAAAAAAAGCTGTGAAAGTAGGGTGTGGTCTCACTTGGACTCTACATCCGAATCCCCTCGGAAGGCTCCCTTCCCAGCAGAAAGGTAAGAATAATATTCCATGCATTTAAAAACAAACAATCCCAACTCTCCAAGAAGGCTTGTTAAAAATATTTCTTAGGACAATGTAAAAACACTGGACAACAATCAGGATCAGCTTTTCATTTAGCAGTTCATCAGGTGGGCTATTTATGGATTGGGACTTTTGATTTGTAATACATCATCTCAGGGTTCAGTGTTATCTTTTGATTTCTTTCCAGCTGAACAGGCTAAGTAGTTGTAAATACCTCTTGTCAGACTACATGGTTGGCTATTCTCGCACACAGAAGTAATCTAGGAACCCACTGGGCAAGTTCGGCGGAAAGCCACTGTGGAAAGCTTGCAGCTGATGTATACTGCAGAGCGAGGGAGGGGCGGTGAAGGTGGCGGGAGGCAATGGCCATGGTGGTTGCTATGGCCTGGTCACTTCAGTTATGTCAGGAACACCCTACATGCTTGGAGTTATGTGTACTCGAGGCCTTCATTGGTTTGCCAGACTAAGGAAGTACATTTTAATGGCTACCATACAAAGTATGAAGGAGAAGCAATGGAGTCATCGTCCATGATATTCAAAGAACATAAAGGTATATATGTTTCTCAATGTTTCTAAGAACTCAGACAAGTACCGCTGCATTTCTAAGAAATCATGTTTCGGAGACACACACCCGCAACACACGCACGTGCACACACACACACACCCCATTAAAAATTTCAAAATGGTTGCAGATATTTCATTCACAAGAAGGTTAAAGGCGTTTCCCATCGCAAGAAGGATTAACTTACCGGAGGATTCTGGGACTGCAGATGTATACTGCGGCAAAATCCTAAATTCATCGAAAAAATCATTTCTGGACTCCAGCTGCTAAAAATAATAGAATTATAGTAAATCATGGATAAGATTAAAACAAGCCATTTTCACCTTCCAAAGTATTCAGAAAAAAAAATGATTCTTTTCTTTTAAGTCATTTCTTAAACAATGCAAATTTTAAAGTAGCTTTTCTTTCCAGACCTCGCAGCGCCATGAAATCGATAATTTTTGATCTTTTGGTTAGTAGGCAACATGGTGAGCTATTGCAGGGACTGCAGGCAGCAGACATGTTCTTGTCAGCTAAAAATTTTCATATTGTTTTTGAATCCATTGAGATTTGTAGATGTGATATCACCGGTTTTTTGCTGTAGCTTGCACCAGGCAATAGGGACGCAAACCCTCAGTTTATCGACATATACATGTCTGTTGCTTTATATGTATTAAAAACAGGGAGTCTTACTGGATCTTAAACAAAAAATTATGTAAAAGGAGTGGCTGGTGTGATTATAATCCCATCATGCAGGGTCCACGGTTCCCATTTAGTGAAATTTCGCAGAGGGCAACTTCTTAAGAACATCCCTGCTGTGCAGACTGAAAAGCATGAACAAACCAAAGACAGAATTCATCTGTGTTTATATTTTACAAACAATGAAAAACCTACTCTTTGTATGCCTTTTTTTCCCCACCTTATTATTTCATGAAAACTGCAGCATTTTCCCCGCCCCCATCCAAACACTCACCACCCTAGCACTGCAGTATTCCGTCCCTCTTTGCTTCTCCTTCGTCTTCTTTTTCGCTTTCACAAATTCTGCACGCGCCATCTTTGTGTGGGGTGATTCTTTGCTAATTTCAGTTACCCATTCTCTTACAAATCAGTTCAGAAATAGAAAATTATAGTGCGCTTTGGGGCTTAATTTGCCTAAATTTCTTTCATTCTCCCCTTCTGACAGAAAAATGGAAACAACGGGGAAGAGGGGGAAGCCAAAAAGAGAGAGAGAGAAAGAGATATTTCTATTATTGCCATAACCTGTTGTATACAGTGGTAATAAAAAATATTATTAACATAATAGCAACAGCTGCAGCCTAAATAGAAGCTATGAGATAATTAATGTGCTACAACAAATTAATTTGCTGCAGGTGCTTCTGCTGTGAACTGAGTAACCCATGCCATATAAAGTCTAAATACAATTATGATTCCCCCCACACACTAAAACAAAATACTGAGTAAAATGTCCTGTTTAGTAAATATGCCTATTGAAAAAAAATTCTCCCCAGTTCTTTTCCCCCTGCCCCTCACCAATCCATGCTAAAAGGTTAAGTCATCAATGGGTAAGTGCAGAGTTGCATCGATGTGTATATGTATGTGTGGGTATGTATGGAGGTTATGGCATTTTAAAACATAGAGGTTTTATACTGTGTCTTAGTTGGAAAACATATGGATCAGCTATAGATTTCGTTTTAAAAATTATAAGTAGTTTATAATATGAGCTTCATTGGTTTCAGAACAAAAATTACATGTTTCCATGTTTATAGCTGGAAAAAAATAAGTGTTGAGCAATTACCTAACTGAATTAGTAATTTTAAAAAATCATCTATCTTATCAAAGAAGGAAGTGTGTTTATAGTGTAGCACTCTTTATTGATGCAAAAGAAAATTTTTTCCCTTTCACCTGCTGTCAAGTTCAGTGTTTAAGGAGAGTGGTTGCTGGTTATATTACAAGTGTGTGCCAGAAATATGTTGTATCAGAGTAACATGGGCAGGGCCTAGAGAAGGTCACAGTGCCAGAATAAAATGTCCGTTTTCTATTTTGTACCACTCAGTAAAAAATAACTTTGGGCCTAGAAAAGTGGAAGAACATACGGATTGAATTTTTTTTTAACTACTTGTCTAAAAAATTCTTAGGGTAAGGACGTAGTCATTTCTGATTTCTCTCCTAACAATGCTGCCCAAAGAAATGACATTTTTGTTTGTATTGCAGTCTTAATTTTTTGTTTGTTAAAAAGCAAAAGAAATAAATTTTCTCATGGCCAAATTGTAAAGTTTATTGGTTATTAAATTTTATTATATTGGATGATCTTAAAATTTAATGCTAAATCTTATAATACAATTGTTGCTTATACAATGTATATATTTTAACAGCATTTTGGTATAACTTTGCAGAAATTTTAGTTCTAAGCGAAGGTATAAAATTATTCAAACAGAGCACTGTTCCAGCTATACTCAGAAGGGACACTGCATTTGCGTGGATTTTCTTTAAAATATATTTTATTTCACATCCTCTTTTTAGGTGGACAAGCAAGGCTCTCAGTCATTACCATTCTCTGTGGAGAGGTACCGCACGTTTGTCACACCATTTCTCATGCAGCGATGGACATGCATTTTACTCCATCTTTCTTTTGTTTGTACTAAAGCTTTTTCTTCACAATCTGTTTTCAAATCTGTTCATGTTTTGAATTTACAATTGTAGAATTTGAGTTGGGGGAAAAGAAAAAGAAGCAAAGGTCATATTGATTTTCTTTTAAAAAGAAGAGAAAGAAATAGCCTATTCCTTGATAAAAATGAGGAAAGTGGATAAGTATGAAATATATACATCTCCACTGGGAATTTCTAGTAATTTTCATGTTAGCTGACTGTGTCATTCTACCAAATGGAACTTGCTGAAATCATATAGTTCTTTAATTATAAAATCGATTTGGGAAAAGAAAAAAGTACTTTAATTTCTGTTGCTTCAAGGGATTGTCCATTCAGAATATTTTTCTGGCCACTATAAATTGTATTAGAAACTAAGCTGTAAGAAATAAAGATAGTAAATGTCTAACACACATATTCCTTTTTCTTATTAATGTTCTTTTTTCATAGCAAACCTATCCCAGTTCTTTCAACCCTTCTTCATATGACTTACCTTTCAGAACCCTTATTCGTAGATTGTCAGTACAAGTGACATTGTGCCGATTCTGAACAATTTAAAAAAGGGTAGTTGTTGTAAGCCAATTTGTTTTGGGGTGGTTTGTTACATAAGGGGAAAGCTAACTAATAGAACAAAGGTAATTCAAATTTTGTCTTGTTTTAAATGATCACATCATACTGCTTATGATGGTTATGAGCTGCTTATCTTCTGACACAAACATTTCTAAAGATTTTTAATTGTACAATATTCTTAGTAAAATAATTTTGTATGTGCACCCCAGACACATATTTACTAAAATTATATACATGTACAGATGCCAATTATATACATTAAATATCAGTGAAGCTTGACTTCTTTTTTTAAAATAAAAAATAAATATAGTGGTTGTAGTCATTATTTCCTCATTCCAGTGGATCCTCATGTGCCTTCTGGGTTATAGTCACTCCATTCAGGACCACTATTCTAAAACTCTCAAATCTTTCCCATAATTAGCTTTAAAGCATTATTTTTACCTATTCCAAATTTGTGCAATTCATTTTTTAAAAACTAAACCCAGAGCTTGATTTATTATAGTTACTGATTATTGAAGAATCCTTTAGGGAATTACACCTTGATCTTTCCTATTAACTGACTTTCAATAAACTCCCTTTGGTAAAAACTGCCATTCACTTTTCTAGCAAATATTCCTAAAATATATACAGGTTTGTGGAGTTTCTTGCATCACCATTTTCTCTTGATATACACATACACACACACTATTTTAATAAGGAGTAATTAACAAAGAGAAAAGTATGCCTTTTCAATGTCAAAGGATTCTGAGGACCTCAATAATGTTTGTACTTTTAATAGCTGTTTGTTGAGAATCTATATAATGACAAAAAGCTACAAATTCAGTATTGATTTTAAACAAATATGTTTTATTAATTTCAGTGGCATCTGAATTTGAATACTATTTGCAAATAAATGTGGAAGACTCATTTTTCAGTGCATGAACACCGCTTAGGGCTTGTAATGGGGTCTTGGAGCCTTGTTTAACTGGATAGTTAGAAAGCCACTGCTATAATGAATACAGAAGATGCAAATCCCATTCTGATATGCATTAACCGTGTGACCTGAACAGGCTCTTTAGCTTCTCTCTGCGTCTTGGCATCACGGCTGTAGTAGTAGTAACAGCAGTGCTAGTAAGTCACAATAATCCCATTGGTGGCTTCCATTTAGTGACCTACCACCAAGTAAGAGCTTTGCACTTCATGACCCAGTGAACTTCACTCCTCATATATAAGGCCTCTTTTAACCATCACAACTAATGAGGTAGGGAAACATTGTTTTCTCCATTTTACATTTTGGAAATGAGACTTAGATAAATTATGAAGTTTGCTCAAGTTATAAGCTAAATAAACACAGAGCTGGGATTTGAACTCTGGACCTGTGCTGTTCAGTTCAATAGCCATTAGCCACATGTAGCTATTAAAATTTAAATTAAACTCCATATTTTAAGCACTCAGTAGCCATATGCAGCTACTATGTTGCACAGCACAAACAAAGAATATCTTATCATTGTGAGTTCCACTGGACAGTACTGAACTCTGCTGACCAACTGTGAAGCATGTACTTCACTGGATTTAATTCTTCCTCACCCATTCATTCCTTTACTTGTTCATTCATTCAACAAATATTTACTGAATACCAACTATGTGCTTGTCACCCCATGGGACACTGGAGAGTTATCTCACTGCATTGTGTTCAAGAGCAAATGAAATAGACATGAAAGAGTTGTTTGAGCTCTAAGGTTCTAGATAAAAGAGAAATACTTTTATGTTGGAGTGTAGGGAAATGCTGCTTCATTGAGAGCAGAGTCTGTGTTACCCTTCTTGAAGTCCTCTCTTCTGTCTCCTGTATACCCCTGCGCCCTGCATTTAGCAGAGTACAGTACCCATCAGAAGTGAATGCAAAGCCTTGCATTATAGTGCACATGGGTCAGTTTTTGCCTGTGAACCCTTTTCCTAAGCTTGGGGAATTCCCCAGGTAGAGTATTGTGGCCACATGAGCCATGGCAGCTGGAGCATGAAGTCCCCCCTCTGCCAATCAGGTGGTTCTGTTTGGGAACAGATGACACCAAGAAGCTGAGGCAACTTTAATTATTTCAGTGACTGCATCAGTAATGTTCTGTTTCTGTGTGGCTGTCACTTTACTGGAATTGTGATGGGTGATCTTGAAAGCAACTTTATTTTTGTCCACTCTTTGAAGCCTCCTTCATGAGAGTGTTTCTGAGTGACTTTCTCATATTTTGTCACAAGTAAGTTCTATGGTTACTGGGTTGCAAAACACAGTCCCAGTATATTAATCCACACTTTTATCTTTTAGTCAAAGGTAAAAATTCTCCCTCTCCCAGCTAGGGCTGTGAAGAGGCTGAGCTGTCTTCTTCCTCTCACCATCACATCCTCCCCACTGGCTAGCTGCAGTTTTGGTTCCCTTTGGGAATGGGGCCATGTGGAAAGGTAAGAGGAATGCAACATTTCTAAACAAACTGGTTACGGTCATAAACTGGCTTTTGCTCTTTGGGTCCAGCCAGTGTCTAAAGGTGGGCATTTTTATGGGTTCATCGGCAGCTCCCCTACAAACCCTTCTGACTCCCTCTCCCTTGAGCATGGTGGGACTACACTAAGCCCTTCTAAGGTTCTCTTCAAGGATTGTTCCCCAATCTTAGTCTCTCATCCCTTTAATTTGCTCACTGTTCCCAGTTCTGGGTCATTTGCTTTGACCTTTCTACCTGGTAATCTACCTTGCATTTCATTCCGACATCTAAAACTGTCATATTTTGGTGCCTCCGTTGACACTTCCGGTCTGACATCCTGTTCCTCTAAGGGACTCAGAGGGAACCAGGGCCAGTGGGTACGATGGCGACTCATCAGTTGGTTCTGTAGTTATTGCTACCTAGCCCCGTTGGGTTGCTGCTTGCATTTCAAGCCCACTGCTTCTATCCTTTCTGGTGATTCTGTAAACTATCCAATATCCTTCCAATACATTTCTTTTCTGCTTTAATCAGTCAGAGTCAATTCTATTCCTTGCAACTCAACACCTGGTTTGATAAATCTTCTATTTTGATTATTTTCTACTATTGTCTGTCTCCCTAGTTTGTATTTAGTCATTATATCTCTACTATTTTTCCAGATTTCAAAATAATACATGCATCATGTAAAGCATTCAAATAAATAAAAATGTATGAGATAGAATGAAAAAGTGCCCCATAATTCCATGCCAACAGATATCCATCAGTATTTCTAAATTTAATTTTCAAATTAAATAATGCATTCACGTGTGTGTGTGTGTGTGTGTGTGTGTCTGTGTGTGTGTCTGTGTGTGTATCTCTCTTGGACTGGTATACCAGGCCAGATTCATTAGCTCAGCTTGATTGGGTTATATAGCCTTCCTCTTTCTTTCTTTTTGTAACATATATGTTTTGTAGTAAAATTATTTTGTTTAGCTATAATATCCATCTCCAGCCACTAGAAATAAAAATTTCCATGGTCTCCAATAGAACCGAGTATCACATTCTTACAGAATGTCCATTTTATTATTAAAATAATTTCTAAACCACTCTATGTGCTCAACCTTCTGTTTTTACACTCAGATATGGGTTTGTGGAAAGGCCATAAGTCACCAGCTCCATGAAGTGGCAACCTGGTCCTTGCTTTGGAAAATCCTCCAGGTATTTATTCAGAAATATATATTTCTATATATAATTTCACCCTGTCTACCATTTCCCACCACCACCACCACTCTTACATTAATGCTATCATTAATTTATTCTGTATCCTGTCCACTTCTCTATGAAAATATGAATTTGTATTACTTTCCCTCTCTTTTTAAAATACAAAAGATAGTATAATTTTCTTGCACTTTATTTTTGTCACTTACATTATCTTGGAAATCTGGCCACATCAGTACTCAGAGTTCCGCCTCATTTGTTTTTATAACTGCATAGCATTCCTTGGTACCTTAGTTTATTTAACTAACCTCTCCCCATTAATGGACATTAGATTGTTTCTAAGCATTTGTCATTACAAACAGTGCTGCATAACAATTTTGCACATGTGTCATTTGCTACATGTGCAAATCTTAACTGTAGGATCAATTCCCGGAAGTGGTACTGCTGACTCAAAAAATATATGCACCAGGAGAGAAGAATCAGTATGACATTGTCAAATTGCCAGTATCTAATAGGCACTCCCAATGATCATAAGTTTTGTAACAATTTCCATTCTCACCAGCAACGTATGAGAATGCTTATTCTCTGGCAGTTTCATCAATGGAGGGTGTGTGGAAGATATGGCTATGCCCCACCCACACCCTGTAGACAAGTCATCTCTATACTACAGCTGCAACCCTCTGCCCCAGGGCTTTTTTTTTTTTTTTTTTTTTTTTGGCTTTAGGAGGGAGGTTTGACCTGTACGTGAGTGTGGGGATAGGGCAGAAGTGCCTGAGAGTTAATTTTCCACAAGCAGCCATCAAGCAATGATAGATAGGGGAGTAGGTGGATAAATACCCCTGCTTTGTCATTCCTAGAGGGGATAACACTAAAGTGTGTTCTACAACGTCTCCCACATTTCCCCATCTGAGCTCCAGGTCTCCATAGTGTTAAATGGAACACATCCTGATAACACATCCTTCTGGACTTCTCTCTCTCTCCTCCTCACTTCCCTGCTGGTGTTAGGTCCAAAATCATCTCCCAAATTAACTATTTAGACAAAATACTTGGAAGAACCCAGTCTAATTAGTTTGTCATCAAACTTTTGGAATTTTATAAATGACATCTCAGTGTAATTTGTGTATTTCTCTTTTGGATGAGGTTGGGCATATTTTCATGCATCTGAATATTTTTCTTTCTATTTCTGCAAACTGATGGGTATATATTTTGCCTGTTGATCTCTTCAATTTCTACAAAATCTCTATAGTAGGAAGATTCAGTCTTTGTGATACAAATATTTTTTCAGTTTGTTGTTTGTCTTTGTTTATGGTGTTTTTATGGGGTTTTTTTTTTTGGTTTCCTCCTCCTCCTCCTCCTCCTCCTCCTCCTCCTCCTCCTCTTCTTTCTTCTCTTCCTCTTCCTCATCCTTTTTTTTTCCCTTTTTTCTTTTTGTCATTCAGGATATTTTATTTTTACCTAGGCAAATTAATCAATCTTTTCTTTTGTATCTTCTGTATTTTGAGTTATAGTTAGAAATGCTTTTCTTATTCCAAGTTACAGAAGAATAATTCCATATTTTCTAATAACACTTTTAATTTTTATTTTTACATTTATATCTTTAATCTATTTGGAACTTATCTTAGAAGATGTTCACCAACTTTTATCTTCATTGTGATTTTTTTTTCTCTATAATCTCTCCCAGAATCACCCACTACTGTGAAGACTGCCCTTGGATTACTTTGAGCAAGATGTTGTATTTCACTGCCCTAACCTATTTCCTTTTGCAAATGATTATGAATCTCTTGGCTTTCCTCTTGACCTGGCCTTTGCTACCCTTATTAGCAGAAGAGTTTCCTGCTATAGCATCTCTCTATCTGGAATAGCCTCTTCTGTATGTTTTTATTTTATGAGCCTATATCTTATCTTTCCTGAAAGTGTACATTTTCTTCCTTTCCCTTAGCTCTTCATTTTTTCTTTCATTCTGCAGAAAAGGGCAGGGCAATTTGTGTGCCATTTTCATATGGTAATGGATCCAATCTCTCCTAAAATTGCAGTTGCAGCTTTTTTTTTTTTTTTTCTGAGAAAGAGTGTTGCTCTGTTGTCCAGGCTGGAGTGCAGTGGCACAAACATAGCTTGACCTCCTGGGCTCAAGCAATCCTCCTGCCTCAATCTCCCAAGCAGCTGGGACCACAGGAGCATGCCACCACGCCTGGCTATTTATTTTATTTTATTTTTTGTAGAGGCAGGATCTCGCCACATTGCCCAGGCTGGTCTCGAACTCCTAGGCTTAAGCAATTATTTTGCCTTGGCCTTCCAAAGTGCTGGAATTTCAGGCATGAGCCACCATGTCCAGCCAGCATATTTTTAATTGCAAGCTCAAAAACCAATGAAGAAGATTGAGAGGGCCCTAATGATTTTTAAAATCTGACTTTTGCAACTTATCACACTGCTATGAACAGTTTAAATTGATAGTTGTTTACTCTTAGTGAGAAAAAATATCAATAGATATTTAGATAGATGATAGAAAACATAAATAGATGATAGATAGATAGACAACCATGACTTTTATTCATCTCTAGAGTATCATAAACTGTTGCACAAATCACATGTGTGCATGAACTTGATTAAATTCAGTTGTTTTGGCCAAAGCAGACAAACTGAAAGGATTAAACCTCTTCTGATTTATTGCTGCCTGTTTGGCCATCCCTTAGCTGTGGTTTTTAAAAATATTGTTTTTGTGCTTCTGATACCTTTTAATGATATCTCGGGCCAATTCTACCCCCAAATGTGGGTGAACCATACTCACTGATCTTTGACTTTTTTCTAGTTGAGTAGCATTCACAGACACATAGTTTCTTCTTAGAAAGAAGGAAAGAAGCCCATCATATTCTATTGTCCTGCTTGATACTGTCTTATCATTGACTCAGAGGCCCTACTGAGCATGAGACAAAGAAACCAGCCATAATTCCTTCCTCTTATGGGTGTTTTAAGCTCCTTCTGCCCATATGTGATAGAAAGAAAGCATGCTTACAACTGTAATCCCAGCGCTTTGGAAGGCTGAGATGGGTTGATCACCTGAGATCAGGAATTTGAGAACAGCCCTGACCAACATGGCGAAACCCTGTCTCTACTAAAAATACAAAATTAGTCTGGTGTGGTGGTGCATGCCTGTAATCCCAGCTACTCAGGGGGCTGAGGCAGGAGAATTGCTTGAACCCAGGAGGCAGAGATTACAGTGAGCCTAGATCGTGCCATTGCACTCCAGGCTGGACAACAAGAGCAAAACCCCGTCTCAAAAAAAAAAAAAAAAGAAAAAAGAGAAAAGAAAGAAAGCTTGCTACCTCTACCTGTTTACTCAACTGCCTTTGTGTGTACCAGCCTCTGCTTGCATTACCTGGGAAGAAAATATTCCTGCCTGTTGCAAATGGAATAAACTGTGAGATCAACTTTTCCAAATACTTTCCAAAGCCTTACTTTTTCTTGCATGAGACCAGAGGAGTAAAACTGGGTGGCCTAATGCCCGTCTCCCTATCAGTTCTCCGTTCTCTCTGCAAGTTTTCAGTGTAGCCTCTGTGGAAACTTCCATCGCAGACATCTCCCAGGGACCCCCACCCTCCTCATCAGAATACTCCTCCCCTGGGTGTCACTAGCTGTGGGATTGTAAGGACCATTATAATAAAGGTGACAATGACAGATCTCAAGGAAGTGGAGCTCCAAAGTGAGGGAGGGAGGCACATCAGAGAGAATGGGCTCCGCAAGCCTGATAATGAGCATGGAGAGGACTTTTTCTGCTTATGGGTGAAAAAGACAGGGAAGTCTCTGTTTGAAGACAAAGCACATAATAATGTGATCACAGAGCCTTCCTAATGGGGCCGATGTGATGTTCAGAATATGTATTCTTTTCACTGCCTTATTCTTATATTTCAGTGGAAAAGGTCTTCAATTAAGTATTTACTTAATGCATCCAACCCAGTGATGCTTCACTCTAGCCAAGATATTTATACAGCAAAATTATACAGAGGATATTACATTTAATTGACTGAATAACCTTGAGTCTCATGGGTAACTTTTTCTGGACTTCTTCCCTCAGTTGGAAAGATAAAAAAATGTTTGGTCAGGAATAAACCCCTTAGTAGTATTGTCAATTTATATTTCCAAAGGATTTTCTAATAGGCTTGGGTGTTCCTTTCCTTTTTCTTCTCCCAAAAGGTAAGGAGGCTTTTATGGAAATTTATAACTTGGTTCAACCAGTACTGCCAGCACTGCCAGCTTCCTGTGTAAGGAGTGCCCTGTTTCCCCCGAGTCTGAATTTGGGGATCAAGCCCTCATCCCCTTGGTGTTCAGGAAGAAACCAGGCCACACCCCTGCCTCATGTGCCAGAGGTGGCTCCTGCTCTCTACATAGCAGGACATGCAAATGCTCACATTTCTCTTAGTCTGGGACAAGGGACCAGATTCATTAGCTCAGCTGTATTGAATTGACACAGGCTTTCCCTTTCTTTCTTTCTCTTGATTTGCCAGTCACTGAGCCTGGCAATCACAAAGGCACTCCAAAGCTGTGACTCTGTCAAGCAAATGTGGAGAATGGGGGACTTCCCAGAGCTATTCTTTTCCATAAGGCTTTCTGGATGGTTCCTGAAATGAGGAGCAAGAGGGATTGTCTCCCAGCCCTATCTACTTTTTACTTTGGGCTGGGGATATAGAGGAAGATGAGGAATGACTGTCAGTGGGTATGAGGTTTCTTTTGGGAGTGATGGAAATATTGTAAAATTGATTGTGGGAATCATTGCAAAACTTTGTGAATATATTAAAAATTACTGAATTGTACACTTTAAATGGGGAAATTATATGGTATGTGAATTATACCTCAATAAAGCTGTTATAAAATTTATTCGTATATTTTATTGTTAACAATTAATCCTATTTTTCTAGGATCCAATCCTTAATGCATCTCAGGATATGCATCTCTCAAGAGCAGTACATGGCCACCTGTGACTAAGTGCAGGTGTCAAAAGATATGAGCAGAGTTTGTACAAAGTTTATTCCTGTGATAGACTCAGAAGTTCATACGGTTCTTATAAACGCTATTATGTAATGCATTCATGTCAAAACAGGGAATCTAATTTTTAGATGTGCAACAGATAGGCTAACACTAATTTTTAAAGTTAGGTAAGTAGAACTTCAGAAATACATATTATCTTATCATCACTACCTCCCCATCTTCAGGTGCTTCCTGATTTACTGGCTAGAGGGATCACGTGTGAACATTCCCAGTGGAACGTCATACTTTAGCATTTTCTGAGGGATGCTGCAGGTGGGAGCTGAATGCAGGGTGTGTCCTGCCTACATCTTAGATCACCTGTACCATTCTGTGACCCCCCTTCCCCACTTTGGTGTTCACCTCCATAAGCCAGTATGTGCATTCTTTTATTTCACTCTCTTTTAATTAATTAATTATTAGAGATGAGATCTCACTCTGTTGTCCAGGCTGGAATACAGTGGCTACTCAATAATAGGTATTTCTGAGGTTCTATCTACCTAACTTTTAAAAATTAGTGTTACCCTATCTGTTGCACATCTAAAAATTAGATTCCCTATTTTGAAATGAATACATTACGTAACCTCAAACTCCTGGACTCAAGTGATGCTCCCGCCTCAGCTTGGGACTAGACTACAGGAGCTAGAGATGTGCACCATCATGCCTGGTCCTCAGTTCTGTTTTAGAAGATTACCCTTGGTCTACTGGAACCCACTTTGTCCACATGCACAAAGAGCTAGCAGTGCCTGTAAATTATGTGCCCACCCACATGGAGAGTGGTCCTTAGTCAATGACCGAGGGGTGCACATAGAGAGAGATGAAATGCCATCTCCTTTGTCTCAGGTCCAGACAACTCTGAGGCATAACTCACACTCCAGAGCTCCCTGTGGGATCAGGCCGAAGCCACCCCGCAAGGGACTCTGACCACAGCCTTGCTTGGCTTCTTCTCCTTTCCTGTCTTGCCTCCCCTGTTTCCTTACAGACCTTTCTGGCAGCACTTCCTTTATAAATCATCTGAACACCAATCTTTATCTCAGAGTCTGCTTTTAGATAACTCGACCTAAGACCACACTCAACATATCTGGCCGATCAGTGTGTTCAGTGTGATCAGGATTCCTGCCTGGACATGCTATATGTAGAACTGGTCTGTGCATCTCAACTGGCTGTGGGGATCTGGACAGGCCTTTCTCTCTGGAGCACTGGAATGCTTGGGCAGGTGAGGGATCAGCTAGGATTTGTCATTTTTCCTGTATTTCCTCAAAGGCCTTGATGAAACACAGCTCCTCAGGCTGGGCTTGTGGCTCCAGGGCAGCTTTGACCAGAGTAAGGGTAGGAGACTCTGGCTGAGTCCTACCAGCCCAAGGACAGTGACTCTACCCCTGCCCCTCCCCCATTCATGCCGCTCTATGCACGGGTGTGAAAGTGTGGGTTTCAGGGAAGATTTACTCTTACTTGGACTCTAACCTGGGCCCCAGGTGAGGCCCCTGAGCATCCTCCTGGCCTCTTACTCTTTTCACCCGAGTCTGCCACTGCCCTAGGAGACCCTAACCATTTTGGCTTCAGAAGATATTGTCCTCTACTTCATGGCCTTTGCATGGTGAGGGCCAGTGTAAGGTTTCCTACCAGCTGAGCATGTCAGTGTGCCTTCCTAAGACAGACAGCTTAGGTTCTGGTTTGCCCTTCAACACTCATTGGCTGTGAGAACCTGGGCAATTCACAAACCTCTCTGAACCTCTCTTTCCTCATCTGTAAGATGTGGAAGTCTCTACCTCATTGAGTAGTTGTGAGAATTAAATGAAATAATAAATGTAATACACTTAATCCAGAGTCTAACACATGAAAAGCACTCAATAAATACCTAGTTACTATCGTTTTCTACTTAAAAAAATTTACACAATTGTCAGTTATTTATATGATCATCAGTTTTCAACTGGTTGAAGTTTCATTGATTTACCAAATTTAGAACATATGTTCTCTCTGAAATAAAATATAGTATACATGGCTTGAATAAAATTCACTTTGGGGACTCCGAGGACACTTTATACAGAGGGACAATTACTTTCTAGAGCAGGAAAAACTGAGAAACAATGACAGGCCTGAGACACTACTGATGGAGAAAGATTTCAGGATGGGGAAAATAAATGACGGTTCCTACTGCGAGCCCCTCATAGAGGTACAGAGAGAAGTTGATTTGCAGTTGAGCTGCTTCTTGCGTGGGCAACTGTGTAATGCTCTCCAGGATGAGTGGCATCAGGGACTTACTTGTTTAACAATAGTTAAGGGTTTTCACCAGCACCTGGGGGCACATGGTTAGTACAAACGTGAATGTGCAGATGAATTATTTCTCACTTACAATGGTACTGACCAGGCAGATCATTTGGTGTTTTAGGATCTAGCCCACAATATTTCTCACATTTCATATATGTCCTTTTAACATCTACCATCTAAAATTGCCATACCGATACAAAACATACCTAAAACACAATAAAGGTTGCCAAGCCTCTATTACTCAAAACTGCAGAGAGAACAAAAGATGAAACTGATCTATGCTGTGGAAGTAATAAAGGTGGCTACCTCCTAGAGGAGGATGTAAGGGGCCTTCTGGGGAAGTTTGGAGCTTGGAATGTCCTGTTTCTTAAACTGGGTGCTATTTCATGGGTGTGTTTACTTTGTGAAAATTCAGCAAGCTATACATTATATGTACTTTTCTCCATGTTTGTTTTACTTCAGTAAGAAGACAAAACAAAGGCAGTATCAGCTACATCTTAACATACGGAAACAAGAAAATATCTAGGTGCAGATTTTGAGTCTTTCTGGTTACATTTGGAAGCAGAATGAGGCAGACACTGCTGACTAACCTCAGATGGATTCCTTCCTCCCTCCCTCGCCTACTCTGAGATGGGCCAAACTCACTTTTCCAGCTGCCCTTCAGCTGTGACAGGGACCAGTGAGACGGAAGAAATTATTTGCTGGGGACAGCCGAAAAAGCTTTTACTTTCGTGATTAAAGGAACAGAGAAAACCGGTATCATGCCTTTGCCCCTTTCTCCTGCCTTGAACACAAACGTGAGGTCTGGAACCTGGGCAGCTGTATTATGGCAACAAGGGGGAGATCAAGGGAAAGTCAGAAGCACTGCCTCTGAGATTTATTATGGGAGAAGAAATGTTTTTTATTTATTTAAGATAAGTTAGTCTTTTTCTTGTTGTTCCTGCTACTTGCAGCAAAGAGCATTCCAAATGGACACACAGATCTCCTCCTCTCCTCTTTCCTTCTCTTTCTTTGAGATTGAGTTCACTATGACCAGGAAATTAGCTGACTTTTGACTATAACAAAACTATATCTCTCTTCTTTGAGACTGAGCTCACTATGAACAGGAGATTAGCTGAGTATTGACTATAACTGTCTTTCTGGCTTTGTAGTGACTAATAGGTCTGAACTCCAGTAACTTATCACTTATAGCCATTTTATAATGCTCATTATAAAATTTACAACACACACTTTGTATAACAGATAGGTCAGGTGTATAAAATGGTATAGCAACAGTGCAGCAGTGTCCATGACCATCCCTTGACGACGTTATGGGAAAAAGAGGTATGATGGTCAAATGGAAAACACATGGACCAACTTAACTAGGTTACTTAACTGTGGGATAGTCAAAGCCCTTTATACGCCAATATGCAGAAGGAAGAGCTGAATTGATTTCCAAACCCTTTATGACAGTCAACTTCTGGGACTGGCCTTTGGGGAATGCTACCTCATAGACCTGAGATGGAAGTGCACTTTTGGCTATATCTTACTTTTTCCCAGTCCAGCTGAGGGCTATGCTCTTTGGAGAAATGTACTAGAGGGTTAATAGCATAGAGATGTTATCTGCATACATTTTCCTGCCCCTGAACATCCCAGTGGAGACATGGATAAACCTGCAGTTTACATGTTAAATCAATGAAAGAATCAAACTTAGGGTAACATCATAAGGGTCATGGGCTCATGGGGTACCACTTATTCATACAAATCTCTACTTAGGATGACCCTATTCCCTGTTTACTCAAATGCTACCTATATTTCAAGACCTTGGTTCAGTCTCCTCTACCATAAGACATTTTCTGAACGTAACAACCTATAGTTCTCCTTTAAGCTCCAAGCACATAGAGTTAGAGGGCACAAAGAGTCAAGAAAGCCTTACTTTCTGTCTTCTCAAATGTACTATATTAAAATAAATTATGCTTTGCTGCAGTAATAAGCAAAGTCAGAAATATCAATGGCTTATTACAAAAAGGATTTATTTCTTGTTTACATATAATGCAATGCCTATTGAGCACTTTCCCCTGTCTTTATGCTTCTGGAATATGTAGCCTCCAAGAAGGAGAAAGATGGAGGAGAGGCAATAATTCTTAACTATGTTGATTTGCAATCCAGAACTTGCACAGGTCCTAACCTAATTGAAGGGAGACTGGAAATGAATGGAGCACATGTTGATAAACATTAACTCTCTCTGTTACATTTTCTTATGAGATCATATTTCCTATTAATTTATAAGCTTCTTAAG
The DNA here is from genome assembly GCF_000001405.40 of Homo sapiens. Classification (NCBI taxonomy): domain Eukaryota; kingdom Metazoa; phylum Chordata; class Mammalia; order Primates; family Hominidae; genus Homo; species Homo sapiens. The sequence goes on along the minus strand of NC_000003.12, from coordinate 41,179,502 downwards.
AGCAGGTGTACCTTGTACAGTGGTCACCTCTGTTGCTTTTGTCTGCCCACCATCTGTTCTCCTTTTTGCTAGTACAGTTCTCTGCGTTACCCCTCCTTTACTCTAAAGTCACATGGCTCCAGTGGGGATGACTCTACCTTCTGTAAGAGGTATGTGGTCCAGGCTTGACCAATAGGACCAACTTCTGGGATTATTTTTTGGAAATTATAGGAAAGGGGCCCCCTCTCTTTCTGTTGCACTTAAAGCTTGGAGCTGCTTGGGGACACCATATAAAGAAAACTTGATTGGGAATGAAGTCAACACAGAAAAAAGCAGAGCCAGGAGGTAGAGAGAGAAAGACATGGAAGTCTTGGTGACATTGCTTGAGCCCCAGCAGGGCTAGACTTATGGGTATGCAACCTGTGCAGTCACACAGGGGTCTGAGCTTAGAAGGGCCCTCTGCTTTTATATTGTTATCTTGAAATTCTTAATGATTTTTGAAAAGCGACTCAACACTTACATTTTGTATTGGGCCCTGCAAATTATGTAACCAATCCTGGCCCCTGGATTTGACCATACCTGAAACCACGAATACTCCTACTGGATTTTTTTCTTACAAAACTCACCAAATTTCCTTTGGGCTTCTGTCACTTGCAGCTTACATAAAGCTATGTTCACAGTCTGGGTTCCCAGTTGCAAACCTCAGGAATTCATTCTAGGCAGTTTAAGTGGAAAAGGAATTTGTTTAAGAACATTAGATAATTCACAGAATCTCTGAGAAGGCCGGAGGTACACACATGAAAGCCTAGTGACCAAGAACAGTGGCCAGATTTCATCACAGATCTGCCTCCAGGAATATACCCCTGGGCACAAATATTGTGTTAATTCCCCTGAGTCTAGGGTTTGGATGCTTCTTAGAATAATCTGCTGCAATGTTTGGCAGAATGAATTCCCTATGGCACCAACTTCATGGTACTAGTTTCCCAGGCAAAGCCTCAAGTGAGTGTATCAGATCAGTAGATCCTAAGTCCCCTGCCTATATCTTAGCAGCAAGAGTGGATGGGCAGGAGCGATTCCAGCTTCTACCCTGGGGATGCATCACAAACCATGGAACTCCCCCAAAGATGGGAAGATGTTGGGCAGCATCCAGAAATAACCAATACCCACTGCTTATATACATTAAATTCTACTGAGGACTGTGCATGTTCATGAATATGGAATGAATCAACCAATGCACACACTTTCTGCTATTCTTAGCAATTATGGGATCTCCCAGTGTTCCACCCCAACCAATCCTTAGGACACCGACCCCCTGATGCCCTTTTTTAGTGCTGTTCTAGGCTCACTCTCTGACTCCACTTCCCTGGTAATCTATTTTCCACCCACCAGGGATCCCAGCTGGAAAAAGATGGGTACCTTTCTGCAGAGGAAAATACAACCCCACTCTTGGGTTCTAAGCCAATTTTTTTTTTTTTTTTACCTGGAGGCAGGTGGAAAGGAGCTTGCTGGATATTGTTGGCTGCCACAAAGCAAGTCCCACACACTTAACTGCAGCTGGCCGGTAAGAAACCCATTTCTATGCAAAAACATCTTGTTATTGCTAATAATTTTTATGCCAGCTTCCAGCCCATTTATAAAGAATATTTTTTCAGAATCAGATGCTAACAAAATAATGAACAAAATAAAATGTACAGAATTGGTAATTATCAGTTTCCTTTGATGAATCCACCCTAGAGTTTATCAGCAATCTGAAGTAAAAATTAAATAGAACAAAAGAGTGCCTTTGGGAGGGGCATGAAATCAGCATTTAAAAACAACAGTTTCATCCATTTTGTACCTTTGCATTGAATACATTTATTTCAAAGGAGAGGCTGGAGTGTAGATGGTGAAAATGGACTGAGAGGCTGCTGTGGACAAGATGGGCTTCCTGGTGTTTGGCAAGAGGCTCTAGGTGGCTGGCCTGTGGGGAGTATGTCTTGGTCTCAGAGGGGTGAGTTTTTGCAGACACCAGCAGGGCCCAAATCATGTCTAGATGGGGTGTGACTCTACCAGGGACTCGAGGGCATGCCAGATTTAGAATTAAAAAAGAGCAAACAGCTGTTCCTTGTCTCTGTATCTCCATCTTGGATCAGCTTCTGAGCTTCATTTTCTGAAGCTCCTCTGCTGGTTGGGAAGGGGTTGGTATGAACTGGGCTCCCCTAAGATGCTGCTCTCTAACCCCAGTTGGAAGAAACGACAACAGGACTTCACTCTCCCAGAGAGGCCAGGGATTGCAATAGCCTTAAGAGAGTCTGTCAGAGTTCTGTGGCTCCAAACCCTTTTATCTGGCAATCAGTCAAAGACGTGTGGTAGATGCTTAGTAAACATTCGCTGCACAAATGCGTGTTCACTTCTCAACAGCCTTTGTCGGTGCTATTTCTACTACCTGGAGTATGCTTTCCCTTTCCTTGCTTCCCATTACTCACTAAAGCCTCTTGGAATTTTGACAGAAACCATTTAAACATAAAATGAAGCCCATAAATCTTGAGGGAGAAGTATTCTCCTGAATGCCAGGAATGCAGTTCAGTCCCCCACCAGCCAGGTTCACCTCCTGACAGCGCCAGTCCTCAGACACAGCTCCCCCATATTGCTAAAGGAGGGAGAGTAACACATATTGAATTCTGTGTGGCCACTGAAAAAGGCATCCGCATCCTCTGTGGAAGGTGCTAAATAACCCTGTGCCGTGCATTTTCACTGACCTTTAAACCCAAACAAAATAGATGAAGAACAGCTGCAGAGACAAGCAGGGCAGCTTGAGAGATTCACTTTTTAAGCATTCAGCTGCCTCTGGGAAAGCTCCTCTGTGTTCCCAAGTGCAGGTCTTTAAGTGCAATGCCACTTCTCTTATGCAACCCTGGCTGAGACCCTCCCTGTCCAGCCTCCTTTGGGCTGTGGTCTCACGGCCCCTCTTCTGTAGGAGGTGTTGAAGCTTTCTTCACATTGGAGGGGAAACAGAGCACACATAACTCAGCTGCTGTCTCTGAGATGCCAGAACCCCACCCTCCAGTCTCCAGGAGCCCTAGCAATGGTTTTAAACTCACAATGCAACTCAGTCCTTTCTGGGTCTTTGGGAGGTCACTTTCTGAACTGAGAGTCCCTGCCTGCATCCTCTGAGATTAGGGTGACCAAGTAGAGTTTCCTTCTTTTTCCCCAAATCTGGCCAAGCTTTCCAGGATTCTTGCAGGAATAGTAGGGCAAGTTGCAACTTACCACTAAGACACTTCTGAATCCTTTCTATTAAACAGGATGAGTAAGTCCTCAAAGAAGGCAAAAGCATCTTTTCAAAAGAGATGGCAAATTTGTAGCTGCTAACACATGCTAAAAATATACACAGAAGAATAAGTAACATGCTATAAAGTGCCCTCCCCATTCTGAACTTCGAAGCAGCTTCAGTACCCCCATCTTAACCTGGGAAATGTATGACCAATACATTAGGACATGCCTGTGATTAGAAATCCCAGCTCCACCATTTTCTGGCTGTGTGATCTTCAAGTTACTTGACCTCTGGGTCTCAGTTTGGTGATCTGCAAAATAGGCACAATAATTATACCGCCTTGTGTGGTTGCTGTGAAGGTTAAACAAGACAGGACAGGTGAAGGGCTTAGCGCAGTGTCTGGAATGTGCAGTAGGAGCTCAGGGAATGTCAAACATTACCCCATTACTCAGATGTGGCTGGAGGAGAGAGTAATAAGCCTGATAGGGGGCTAGAATCCTGAAAGATGGACTCTTGAGGAGTGCAGAGGGTATAAACTAGGGTTTTGGGCCAGCAGCAGATGCTATTGTCCCTCAGAGTCAGGAGCCATGCTTTCAACTCTGACTGGCCTCCCTGGTGTGAACGGCTGCCTCAGCCTGGATAACCTTTAAAATGAGCAAAGCCATAGGGTCAGAAGGTTTTGCTTTCTCCCTATGATTGACTCATATAATTACCACTCTCCCTGGGGGTTTGACTGGCCAGAGATGAGCTCAAGAGAAAAGGAAGGGCTGGATACCAATAGGAACTTCTGCCCAGCCCTAAGGAATTTGAAGTTTCTGAAAGCCAGGGTAAGTATTCCAAAGGTTTTAAGCAGGAGGATGATCAGAATTATATTTCTGAAAAATCACAAAGGAGGAGGGTGTATGCTCCTCTACAGGTATCTGTAGAGGGCCATAGAGACAGAATGGAGAAGGTGAGAGAGACTCATTAGTCATTTGTGTAAGAGATGACCCACCTAGACCAAGACAGGGCAACAGAGATGAAGAGAGAGAAATGAGGAGAAGGGATATAAGTGAGATTTGAATAGAATTGGCTGAGTTTGGTAAACAGTTGGATGTAGATGAGGTCTGCACCATGGTGGTTAGCACCAGCTGTAGATGGGCCACCCAGAGAAAGAAAACTTACCATGAACACAGCAACGGCTTTGACATTAACTCATCTGAGTGACAAATCAGATCCCAGCATGGATGTGCACTACCCACCCTGGAGATCCTTAGGGGTCTAGGCTGCACCTCCAAGAGCTGATGCTTTTGGAGAACTTCAAGAATCCACAGGGAGATTCTGTGCAGTGCCAGATGCTGGGGAGATTAGTGTTCTCAGAGGAGTGTTAGCCCTCCCTTCCTGCTTCCCAGGCCTTGCATATGGCTGCCCCACTCCCTCCTTCTTCCCCTCCCCTGCACATCCACCATCATGTGGGAGGAAAGCCTGGGGTGCAGTAAAGTCTTTGCCCCTGAGAGAAATCTTTGCCTGTCCTGAATCCCTGGGGATGCCTTCTAGGGAGCAGGGGGCCTCCAGGGAGCGTTGCTTTCTTGCCTCTGAGTCTCTGCAGAGCCCCAGCTGTCAGCAGGAGACAAGAGGGCAACATTCCCTGAGGCTTGGCGCTACTGTGGAGAAAGCACATTGGCTCCAGGAGCCTCCACTCTGGCAAAGGAGGAGGCAAGGGTGACAGCTGTGCCTGGTGAGATACACAGACGCTAAGAAAAGACAGAAATACACCAGGCTGTGTTTTGTACAACCAACTAAAACAAAGACGGGCGAAGCAACTCAGGCCTCCCTGAGAAATGGCTTGAGGCACAAGATTGACCACAGCCTCTTCTATATTTAAGGAGGCTGCTCATTTACTCAACATAGGCCTTGTAGACATGTCATGTTAAAACAACATCTCTCCATTGTATTACTCTCCTCCCAGAATGCTGTATCTCTGGAGTTTGATGTCAGAAGAGGCCTTTACTTAATTTCCAGGATCTTAGCTTTGTGAAACTAGGGCTTTTTCTGTGTTCTAGAATGTCACCAAACTCTCTGAGAAGAGTCTCAGTGTTAATGAAGCATCTGATTCCAGCGCAGGGAAGTGGGGCTGAACATTTTTCTACCAGTAGGGAATTCAGGACAGCTGCATTCATGTTGCCAACTCTCTTCCTCTTAGCTTCCAATCGAGACTTTGGTTTGGTGTTGTAATTAGTTATGCCCTAAAGCAGAGTTTCTCATCCTTGGCACTACTGGCATTTGGGGCCACATACTTCTTTGTTGTTTGGGGCTGTCCTGCATATTGTAGGATGTTCAGCAGTATCCCTGGCATCTAGATGCCAGTAGCAGACCCCCTCCCCTAAGTTATGACAACCAAAAATGTCTCCAGACATTGTCAAATGCCCCTTGGTGGACAAAATCAGCCCCAGTGATGACCACTGGTTTGAAGGAAGGCCTCTGGTTAGAAGTGGCATCTGGTTCCCTATGCAGAGTCCAATTCTGCTCTGACATTTGTCCCATGAGAAAAGTGAGGAGGATATGAACATTTGATTCCAAGCACCAGTCCTAATAATGAATGGCCTCCTCGTCATACCCATTGGGTGAACCAGGCTTCAAAGCCTATATCCACTTCTTGAGGGTAAGAGGAGGTGAATTTCAGGTGGGTCACAGGTGCAGCATTAGAAAATATTGAATCAAAAGCACGAAGTTTATTTTCTTTCCAAGCTTCATTCAGACCTACTGAAGTCTTTGGTTTGTACTGGCATTTCTTTTTTTTACCTTGTTAACACATCTTTGCTAATTTCTTTTTCCCCTGCCTACTTTATCTCCTGCGTTAGCGTTTCTGTTGTGCATTGTTCTATCATTCTAGTGGTTGGGTGCCCTAGAAATTATAAAATACATCCTTAACTTATTGCAGTCTACTTCCAATTACTACTTTTATTACAACCTGAACTATGCAAGACCCTTACAATTTAAATGTATTTATTCTGTTCCTGCCTGTTTGGTCCTGAGGTCGTCTGTTTTATACACACACACACACATACACACACACACTATTGTTATTCTTTGCTTTCAACAGGGAACAATTTTTGTATTTACCCTTTTAGATGCGTTGCTTTTCCTCCTGCACTTCCTTCCTTCCATCTGGGAGCCTTTCCTTCTGCGTAAAGAAGTTCCTTTAGTATGTCTCCTTTAGCTGCTTCAGAGAGTAGCCCTCAGGCCAAGATCCTTTCTCAGACATTAATATGTGAATTTAGTCAAGGCGTTTTTGTTTTCATCGTGTTTATTGCAGTTCTCCAATATTTAAGATAAAGCGATAGTATACTTTCTATTGAACTTTTCAAAGTAACCCACTGGGTTGATTTAAAGAAAGGTATTAAGCAAATAATTGTCTAGGTGGTACAGACAAAAAACTGAGAAGGTATTACAGAGATTTTCAAAGTTTGGTGATAAGAGCTCACGATAGGTAGGATGCTGTGGAGAAAAGGAGGAAGAAGGCAGGTTCTTCTTTGTGTGACTCTTGTCAAGGTATAAGGGTTATTAGGGCGTGCATCAGGCTGAGAGTTCCAGTGCTGCGGCTATAGGCAAGTTGCGTCACTTCTCTCACCCCACAACAGGGATAATCATCACAGGTTTAGAAGGAAAGCTTCAGCTATTTTTCTAGTTTCAGGTTATTTAAAGTTATCTTAAATAATAACTGTCATTTAAGAGTGCAAACACTATGTGCCAGGCAATATACTAAAAATCCCTGTACTAACTGGAGGTCAAGTTGTTCTTGTTATTAACTATTTCTCTCTTTTTCTTTAGTTATGAGATTTCTCTCGCTTGTCAGCTTTATTCATATACTCACTCAACAAATGGTTATTGGGCAGATTCTCTATCATAGTCCTGGATTAGGTGCTGAGGATACAGTGGAGACCAAAAGCAGGACTGGTCCCTTCTCTCCTGTACCTTGTGCTTAATGCAGAAGACAGGCATTCATCTAACAATCACAAAAATAAATGTATAATTGCAAATTAGCTAAGGGCTAGGAAGAAAACCCGGATTCTACAAGGGCAGTAATAGGGGCCCCAGCACAGTCGGGGGTGCAGGTGGGGGATCTTCCTGAGGCCATTGACTGTGGAGCTCCATTTGGCTGGGACCAATACCGGTTTTTTCTTTTTTCTTTTTCTTTTTTTTTCCCTCTCTCTCTCTTTATAAATTTTTTGATCAGGATGAAGCCAAGAAAATAAAGGTCTGGAAGGAGTTGGGCGGAACATCCAACCCAGAATATTCCTTTTTATAGATGTACCAGAATTCAAACATTCCCCCATGTGAGGCACTTTTAGGTTGTCCTAGTTATCTTTGCTTACCTAGTCCCTGACAGTGTCTGGCACAGAGTTGGTATTCAGAAAATGTTGTTGAATAAATTAATGAATCCCCTTTCAGTTACTTAAGGAAACAGTAGTTGCCCAGGAAAACAGTTATCTATTGAATATGGGCACGAAGGGGATAATGGATATTAAGATATATCATTTAAGGCAGTGGCTGCTGCAGCACCACATCACGAGTGCTGGTTCTGATACTGGTTTGAGCTCTGCCAGTAACTAGCCGTGCTTTCTGGGTCTTGAAGCACAGGAGAAAAGGAAGAAATAGATAATGGCAACAACTTGACTTCCAGTTGGCACGGGGATTTTTAGCAGATTGCTTCACGCACAGTGTTCATACTCTGCCTCCACGTTCCTGACCTGGTGACCTCCCACCCATCCTTCAGATTCCTGCTTACCTCCTCAGAGCCCTTCTCTGACCCCTCCAACAAGTTAGATAGTTGCACCTGTTACTTGTCTGCATCCCACTGAGTACCCTAGACTTTTCCTTTTATATATCACATCGTTATGATTAAGTAGTTATTTGGCTAATCATTTTTTCAATATCTGACAGCTCTCAGTGAGCTGTAAGTTTCATGTCCATCACATACACTGCTGTATAACTTACGCCTGGTACTTAATAGGCTCTCAGTAATGCAAATTAATTAGAGAACCTCTCCTGGCCAGTTTTCTCTCTGTAAAGTAAAGATAATGATATTGAACTCACTAGCTTTGTTTTTCCCAAACCAGAGGCACATAAGTAGTTAGAAATGCATAAAGTACGGAGTCTGTAGGTAGTTTTACATGTTATTTCCTGTTTTTTTTTTTTTTTTTTTTTTTTGCTTACTTGCTTGAAGGTGCCTGTTTCCTTGGCCTTTTTTTTTTTTTTAATTTAAATTTCTTGCCTGCAATTTTATGACCTCCTGCATTAACCCCTTCTCGGAGCTGCACATTCTTCTTTCTGCTTCCAGAAATCAATCACACAAGCTGGCTTCCAGCTTTCTGCTGAGATTAGGGAGGACTTCTCCCCAGTCCTGTGGTCTCAGACAGACATGTACATAATCATGAATAGTTTTACAACTTAAAGCGCAGGTAAGATGGCACCAGATGGACTGGGGACACTCCCAAACTCACATTTGATGGGGGAAGGGTTAATACCTGCCCCCCTTAATAGACTCCTTTATCCCCACCAAAAAGACAGCAGAAATCTCTTTAATACACTTTTGGTGGCAGTGCAGGGAAAGCCTGTGTTCTAGGTCAAAGAAGGAATGGTCAGGTGTCACTATGCAGAGAATTTGAGAGCTGGACAGGCCCATGGAGCACATCAAATGCAATACCCCCATTTCACAGATAAGGAAACTGAGGCACAGGGAATACAGCTAGTTACTGGAAGAGCCCAAGCCAGTGTCAGAACCAGTACTTGTGGGCTGGGCACAACAGCTCATCCCTGTAATTCCAGTGCTTTGGGAGGCTAAGATGGGGAGAATCCTCGAGGCCAGGAGTTCAAGACCAGCCTGGGCAACATAGGGAGACATTGTCTCTCTAAAAAAAAAAAAAATTAGCCGAGCATGGTGGCGTGCCCCTCTAGTTTTAGCTACTCAGGAGGTTGAATGAGTATCGCTTGAGCCCATGAGTACAAGGTACAGTGAACTATGATCATGTCACTGCTTTCCAGCCTGGCTGACAGAGAGAGACCGTCTCCAAAAGTAAAACCAAACCAGCACTTGTGATGTGCTGTAGCAGCCACTGTCTTAAATGATATACCTTAATATCCATTATTCCCTTCATGCCCACATTTAATAGATGACTGTTTTCCTGGGCAACTACTGTTTCCTTACGTAACTGAAAGGGGATTAATTAATTTATTCAACAACATTTTCTGAATACCAACTCTGTGCCAGACACTATCAGGGACTAGGTAAGCAAAGATAACTAGGACAACCTAAAAGTGCCTCACATGGGGGAATGTTTGAATTCTGGTACATCTATAAAAAGGAATATTCTGGGTTGGATGTTCCGCCCAACTCCTTCCAGACCTTTATTTTCTTGGCTTCATTTTGATCAGAAAGCTTAGAAGAGAGAAAAAGAGGTTAAGACTCTCCAGAAAGGGTAGCTTAAGTGACTTTGTTTTCTTTATTTCTGTTTCTTTCCTGACAAGTTTGGACCCCAAAATGTCAGGTCTCTCCCTGGGCAAGGAATCTATTCTTGTGCAGAACGAATCTATTCTTGCCCTTATGCTATGTGCCATACTCCAGCCAGCTATACCTGCTTACCTCCTTCCACTGACCTTCCTTCCAGTAAGCAGGAGACACAGGGAGACAATGTCTCCCTGTGTTGCCCAAGCTGGTCTTGAACGCCTGTCCTCAAGCAATCCTCCCGCCTTGGCCACCCAAAGTGCTGGAATTATAGGGATGAGCTACTGTGCCCAGCCCACAAGTGCTGGTTCTGACACTGGCTTGGGCTCTTCCAGTAACTAGCAGTAAGGGCTTTGGTTCCTGCTTGAAGAGAAGGAGCCAGCCCAGTGATAACTAAGGTGTCACCCCCAACCCTGGAACCACATTTGTCCCCCAGCCGTTCCTGTAGGAACTGTGGTCTCTGCTGACTCACCTTACCCTCTGGCATTTGCTCCTCCCTTGTTCTGTACATGCATTGCTCTGATCACCGATGTGTTCTTGGCTCATTCTGCTTGTGCTTTTGGCCTCTGTTAAGCGTCCACATCAGTGCCATCCAACAGAAATTTCTGGAATGAGAGAAATGCTCTATAATCTGTGCTGTCCAAACAGCAGACACTAAGCCACGTGGCTTTTTAATCTTTTTATTGTCCAAGGGGAAAAAAAAAGGGATGGCCAAAGAGAGGTTCTTGTTTATAAACGGGCCTTTATAACTTTTAGGGAAGAGAAACCTAAAATATTGAAACTGTAATCACTCACTTTTATTCTCTTTCATCATCACTTGATTCTGTTAAAAGAAGCTTTTAAAAGACCCACATGATTTAAACTATCTTTTAAAACCATGTAGATAAACAAGAATTCCAAGATGTCAGCAGAATGAAAACTGCTTAAAATGCATGTTAGTATCATGTGGGCCATCTGTAGTATTTTATCTGTTCTAGCACTGCCCACCCTAATTCTGGGGGCATGGCACCTCTTTTGTCCTAACTCCAAACACATGACAAGGGGCTATGTGCCAATCACAAGACTGATCCCTTGGTGGGGGAAACATGTGACTCAAGCAAGGCCAATCAAATCCTTCCCTGAGAGATTTTTTTTTTTTCAGCTGGAGTTGGAGGAGGGCCCTGCACCTGGGGGATGGATCAGGAAGAATTTGAAGTTGGAGAGGGTGGTGGCCTTGTTTTCAGCCACCCAGAGAAAGCCTGTCTGCTCTGCAAGACAATGAGTCAAGAAGATACAGGCAAAGCAAAGAGAAGGAGGGCTCTGGTCTTGTTTCTCGTCCCTAAAAGGACACATAAAAATGAACTCTGAATGGCTCAAGAGGATTAGGGAAAATAGGACAATTGAGAGAATCCAAATGGTAAGTGACTCATTGAAAATACTCAGTGCAATAGAGATACCAACATGAGACACTTTTTCCCACTCATTGCTGTGCACTGTGGTGTCTGCCTTTCTCAACCTTTACATGATCTTGACAGATTCTATAACTTTCTGGCCACTTCTGATGTTTAAACACAGCCAGGTCCCGTTAAAAACACCAATCCTCTAAGTAACACCATGGCTTATTCTTTGCCATTGCCGTCTAGACTTGTGGCTCAAAGGACCTGGATGGAGGGAGAGCATGTGCTTCCCTTTCCCTTCTTCTTCCTCCCTCGTCTGTCTTTAGTTTGTCTACACTGGGGAAGTAGAGAGAGATGAGAAGCAGGGGTCAACTTACATGACTCTCATGTGGTACTGTGGCCTTGATTTCTCTCTGGTTTAACCTGGTGCTATCTGAAGCTTGAGGTCTTTTCTGATGTGGCTGTCTCTGTGTAGACAGTGGATGTGGTTTCCTTGGGGGTAGTGCTCAGTTTCATTCTATTTCCATTGCTGAAGACTCTTCAGGGGTGGCCCTGTCTCTTATCAACCAGACCAGAAGTTCAGGTCCCTGCTGCCCTTTCTGAAGGAGTGTCTCCTCTGTTCGTTTGGGGAACGGTGGTTCCTGCTCCCTCTCCTAACCTTCACACTCCTTCCGCGGGGGTGGAGGTGCCCCCTCTTCTTTTCACTAGGCACTCTTCATCTGACCCTCTTCTAAGCCTCCTACCCCAAGCAAGAGGAGGCTGTTCACATGTGCTCCTCATCTTCAGGAGACATTTACACATTCTCCCAAGCATTCTCTAAATATGTTTCTCTCCACCTGTTGCCAGCATTAGAGAGCCTAGGAGGGCGATGAAGTCTTCCTGTTGACATCCCCAATCTTCACATGTTACTTTCCTGACCCTGTTCCCCATTGGAGTGAAGAGAAGAAAGCACCCCTGTCTCTCCACCCTTTGTGGGAAGGGAAGAGATTTATTTTCTCGGGGGACCCTGTACTCCTCATAAAGCCACGTAGCTCTCTCCACTGATTTCCATTTCATTTTTTCTCCCAGTGCTTTCCTTTAAGTATTGTCCAGGGGTGGGGCTGGTGATCGATTATAGAGTGGTCATTTCTGCTGCCTCTTAATAAGCCCTGTCATCTTTTTAGAATGTGGAGATTATTAGCACTACCTCATCTTCATGTAATGCCTGGTAAACATCCTGTTACAATTATTTGTAAAGTGTTTTGCCACCTCTATACCAAAAGGCATGAAGGAAGAGTTCATTAGTCAATGGCTCACGTCATTTTTCCTGATGGGTTTGGGTGTCAGATAGGCTATGGTAGTCTACACAGATATCTACAGGTGGGCAGGACGAGAAGTCTGAAAAATGCCGAATAAGACGTTCACCCTCAGGGCACATACCTTACTTCAGGCCAGTGTGCAAATGTTATTGGGGAGAGACTCTATAGGTTGGAAGAAATATCCTCACCTGTGAAGTGCCACCAATGTGAAAACACAGGCTCAATTCACCAGCTTTCCCCATTTATTGCCTGTGTGATCCATGGCAATCACTTTTGTGAACTCAACCTCTTTTTCCTCATCTGCAACATGGGACACTACTATTGACATTACTGTGTGGATTAGAGCTGCACCATGTAGAGTTTCAGAATGAGAGCCCAAAAAACACTAAGTATTAGTCTTGTTTCTGTTCCTTTTCTCCATAGCAAAGACAATCTCCCTTTCCCTATTCACCTAGGAAAGAGCCCAGACTCTCTAACTGCTTTATTTCTTGAAACGAATAGGTTTAGGACTCCCTTCCCTCCCTTTGTTCTCACCAGGGAGGAAGGGGAGTTGGACTGATGAAGGTAAAATGTCCTGGAGCTGAAGTAGATACTATTGGTGTAGCTGACCAGGCCTCAGCAGTTCCTGTGGGGTCATGTCCTTGCTATCCTCCCATTCTCTTTGGGGAACTGCCCACCCTCCACCTGACACCTACAGCTCTATGAAGTTCCAGTAAAAGCTACCATTCCTGATGCCCCACATCCTTGACCTGATGGGGCCAATCATGGTGCCTCCCTCCCTGGCAACAGTGACTGGTCTTGAAATGGGCAAATCAGGGCCTTTTCTCAGATATATCTAATTGGAGCTTTCTTTCTTGGATGATGAAGTTGAGAGAATACGTGTCCAGAGCTTCTGGGGAACATGATTTCAGCTTCAAGAAAGGAAATGAGGCCTCCTAGCAGAAAGCAAAGACATGAGAAGAGAAGGGATAATGAACTGCTGTTGAGTCCCTGGTTCCAGGTGACCTTGCCTGCCTGTGATGTGGTTCTTGTATGGTAAGCTTTGCCTCTTTTGCCTAAGCTAGCTTGAATTGAGTCTGTCACTTAAAACTGGATGAGCCCTGACCAATACAGGGCCCTGCGTCTGAGAGGTCTGAGAGACCCCTTTCTGCCTTCTGCCCCTTGAGATCCTGTATTGATACCAGGGTCATCACTGATAGGCTTGGCAATACCCCCTGGTTTGTTTGCTCTCTGAAGATATTAAAATCACAGGTCAAGGGTGACTTTAAATTGGTAGTACTTCCAGGGTGAGCCTATTAGAATTGGCATGTGAAGATTCTCTTTAAATGGGGCCCCCTGGATTGCCCCCAGTGGCCTCCCAGATGCAAAGCAAGTCTCTGCAGACTTGGGGCATGGTCTTGCTCTGACTCCTGGTTTCCTGGGAAAGGAGAATGCATTCCCATCTCTCTCCAAATGTTCCCACCTTTGACTTTATAGATAACACCTTAACCTCCGACCCCAGGGTAGTGTCTTTATGAGAAATTTTAACAGTTGAAAGTCCACTTGGATTCCAGAATCCTGTTCTTTAGCTGGTTATTAAATCTAGTTCCACTATGGAAATGCTCTGATCCTTTACCTTGGCTCTGGCCTGAGCTCTGGGGCCTGAGCTTACCAGTACCATGTTGCCTTGATGTCGGCTTCCAATTCCTGTCCCTATCCCCTCTGCCCTATTGCTGCCCTGTTCCCTGTCATTTCCAATGAAGTGCAAGAACCCTGGAATCACAAAGAACCGGGTTTGACCACTGGCCCTATTACTTTCTAGCTTAGTGAATTTGGGCAGCAACTTCATCTTGCTGAACCTCAGGTTATTCCCTCATAAAATGGGGATAGTAAGACTACCTACCTCATGGGACCACTGATCCTGTAACCAAGGGAACTGTGATTTCCAGCTCTTCCCTCCCTCCAATCATATGTTTGGAGTAGGAAAGATAATTTCCTAAAGGAAGGGCAGAGCATGCTGGATAGACAAAACACTATTGTCCTTGCAACCCTAAACATCCTTAATAATGTGAAGGCTCATGACATTTTTTCTGGAACAGGCTGTTGTCTGTTACCACCTTAAAACACAATCACTCAGGCCTACCTCTGAGTCAGCTCTGAGCAGCTGCTCCCTCTGCTCTAGGAAGAGACTGACCATTGGGGGTTTCTGGAGGACTGCAGGCTGTGTTCATCCATGAAAGTTGTAATACATTACGTTTTTAGCACACAAAATCCACTCTGGTCAGACTGTAAAATGTGTTCAACCACCAGAGACAATTCAATGCCCCTGAAAGAAAGGGCTACACGTTTTAGGGCTGTAACTGTCAAAAGAGTCCTAGTTTCAGCCAAGAATGGCCACTGCCTTCAAGAATTCTGAAGCTATTTCCCAGCATCTGTGTTCATCTCAATTTGCAAGCAGAGGTGTTCTGTACCATGTGTGTGCACTTCAAATGGGCCCTTTCTGTGACTTGATCTCTATTTTGCCAAGTTTTATATGGGGAATAATGAGGGCTTAAGTTTAAGGAACATTTTTTGAGCACCTACAACAGAACGAGTGCTGAGTTTGGCACCAGGGACACAAAAAGGATCAGAAGACACAGTCCCTACACCTGATGACCTTGCACATTTAATTATAGTATCATATATAAGTGCAGTGATAGAGAAGTGCATAGGATGAGAGACAGCTTAGCCAAATAAGGGATTTGTGGGTGAATCTTACAGTCGATGCATGATTAAATCAGCCATGAGCTGGGCATGGGCTGTGTGCTTCCTGCTGTTTTCAGGCTTTCAACACAGGCCCTTTGCACATATGATTCTTTTTGCCCAGATTTCTCTTCCCTTAAATATTCTTATGGATCACCCTTTCATTTTATCCAAAATCTACATTCTAATGCAGTTTCATCAGAGAGGCCTTCCCCTGGCATCCCATGTAAAAGATTAAACCACTCACACTTATTTACTATTCCATACCGGGCTCTATTTTTCTTCATTGTATTTTTTACCACTCACAACTTACACTAATTTGTTTTTACTTGTTACCTACACACACAAAGACATATACACACAACTGTTAAAATCAAGAAAGCAGGGACTTAGTGTGTATATATATTTTTTACTTCTGTATCCTCAGTACCTGGAACAGTGTTTGTCAAACAGTAGATGCTCCGTTAATACAAATTAAATGACTGGGTGAATGTGGTAAAATACCTAGATGGCTTAGACTTAATCTCCGTACTCAAATTGTGCATTTGTTTGGGAAGAACAGTCAAACAAAGTAGAACAAAACATAGCTGCTGGTTTAACTGAAGTGCGAGCATAGTGTTAATAGAGCTTGGAGGAGGAAGCTATTAATTCTTCCTCGTGGGGAGGGAGTGTGGAAGGAGGTGACATCTCAGAGGAGGTTGAATTTCACAAGGATCTTAAAAGATAAACAAGAGTTTGTCAAAGCAAAAAGGAAATGAAGAGTTGCAGCAGTTACTGTGGAGTTACTACCCATATCTGTTGGACTCACCATCCAGGACATTTCACAGCTGCCTACTGCATGCACGTATGACTCTCAGCCTGAGGTTTGCTTTCTAAAGTGAGCTGGGCATGCAGCAAGGGCTGAAGAGATAAAGCTCTGGGAGGAGCCCTCAGCCAGTGGTGGGTAGGAGTTGGAGGATAAATGCCCTAATTTCTTTGCCCCTCAAGTGGAACAACTTAGAGGTGAGTTCTGAGGTCTCCAAGGAGATTGGGCCTCGTTCTCCCATAGTGATTGCATGCTTGATAACACATTCTTTACTGACTTCCTCCTTTTCCCTTCCTTTCCCCATCTTACCTCCCCACTTCCCTAGCAGTGTTTCCTGAGATCACCTCCCAAACAATTGCATCTGGAATCCTTCACTCATGTCTACTTCTGGGAGAAGCATCTAAGACAGTCATGGTCCATAAAACAGCAGCAACATGAACAAAGACACAGGGCTCAACTGTACCAGGCAAATGAAGGGAGATGGAGAGATTGAAGCAAGAGCTAAAACTATCCACCAGACTGCAGTCCATTGTGAGGTATGTCTATACATGGTGTTTAATAATAGCAAGATTATGCTGATGGGCACATGGAGGATCAGCCTGGAGCCAGAGTTTCTTCCTTCCACAGGTATAGTTTCTAGATGCCGATTTAGTCTTTTAGTTTTTTTTTTTAATCATTCTCTATGCTGCCGTTTTATTCCAGTTTTAATTCTCTTTGAGTCATTGGAAGAGAAATAGCACCCCTGCCATGGGAGCCAACCTCTCTCCATGTGGAGCAGGCCTTGGGACGTGCTACTGGGAACCCTGGGAGAGAGTGTACAACAGATAAATGCCCCCTGGCAGCACATTATGGCCATGGTGGGTGGGCATGACAGTGGGTGGTCTAAACAAAAGGAAGGAAGATATGTGCAGGAAATGGGGGAATAGATATAGGACTATTGTTCCTTTGGAGTTACACATTCAAGTCATACGTCATTGTCATTCAGTGAAATCTCCTTGACTGAGTGGCCAATTTTTCTGAGAGATAATTAAACAGTATCCAAAGCATGAACAATCAATACAAGGGTTGCTTCTGAATGAAGGTGACAAGAGTAGCAAGTGTTTTGAGATATAAATCCATTCTAGTGGGGGCTGTAAATCTTACAAAGAGAGGGATGCTGAGACCCTAATGGCTCACAATGTGCTTTCCCTAGATAAGTGACCAGTGGACCTTTTTTTCTCATCCAGTAGGTTGAGAGGAAATTGAGCTGCCAAGACATATGAAACTCCTGGTGGAGATTTGGAGGAAGATGAATGGTACTTAAGTAACAAGAAGACCGTGAAATCAAACCATTAAAAGACAATTTCAAGACTAGTCACTTCCCTCACCTTCTATTCACTGTGATAAAGCCCCCAAAAGTCATTGGATGCTTCCTTTGATGTTGCTTCAGCTGGTGTGTTGACTTTGTTAGCACTCTCTATTGGGCATAGAGGTGCTCCTTACAAATGCTCTCTAGGAGTAAATGGGCATGAGGAGGCTCCATCACCTTCTTCCTATTTTCTCTGTTGTTTTCCAGCCTTGGGGACAAAGCTGGGATTCTTAGGGCCGAAGTCATCAAGGTTGCCTGCAGGTGTGCCTAGAAGAGATATGGTTTCAGCAAGCCTTCTTCTCTCTGATTTCTAAAAGGTTTTTTCATCTAATCTGAGGTCCCTGTCACTTTCTACCCTACCTCATCCCAGAATTGAGGTCAGAATGGACTTGTGTGGGATTTTGGCCCATGTAGCAGTGTGCCTTTAAATCTGGTGCTGGCAGTGGTAGCGGTGATGGTGGGTGTCACCTAGGATGGCATAAATTTCTCCTTCTGTGCCCAAAGCCCACCTTTCCATTCTTTAGTTTTTAGTTTAAAATTTAACTCTAATCATACAAATTACAGGAAAGTACATTCTTCTTGTGAGAAGTTAAATCAAAACACAACTGATAAAGTTAAAGACCTCTTTGACCAACAGTTCTTACCCCCTGGCAGCCCCAGAGGTAACACCTACTGCAGGGAAGGTGTGTATTCCTCCAGTTCTTTTCCTACTCATTAACATGCATGTTACGAATTGCTATCGTTAGAGAAAACATGAAGAATATGTGCTTAAATATATCAAAGACATCCTGTTTTAAACACTGTTCCACAACTTGTTTTTCCATTTGACTTGGTCATTCAGGTTGGTAGGACTGGACTCAGAGCCACTGGTCTGGTCGCACAGCCAGGAGGGTATGAGGAAGGCTGGAACTCTGCCCATCTCCACTAGATTAGCCCAGAGGAAGGGATGCCTTTCTGGAATTCGTTCACCCAGAGGGGATCATCTTATTTTAATTCATAGAAAGATATGTACTGTGGTGGCCCTGGATGGATCCTCTACACTCTGTTGCATTGCATCATAGTATTCCATTTTGTGGGTATAGTGTATTTTATGTATCCATTCCCACAACTGGACACTTGAGTTGTTTTTAGTTGCTCATGATCACAGACAAAGCTGCAATGAATAGCCCTGTACATGTGTCTGAGTACACATGTGCAAGCATTTCTCCTAAGAAGTAGTGGGATTACTGGTCATAGGGATGCACATATTAAATTCTACCAGCGAAATTGCCCTCTGAGGGTCCTACCAATGCACAGTCCCACCAGTAGTATACAACAATGCTCATTTCCATCATCCTTGCCACCACTTGCTGTCAGACTAGACTTTTTTTCTAATTGTCTTCTGTCTTAGTGTATTTGGGCTGCTGTAACAAAATACCATGAACCAGGTGACTTACAAACAACAAAAATCTATTCTTCACAGTTCTGGAGACTGGGAAGCCCAAGATCAAGGTGCTGGCAAATTTGGTGTCTGATGAGGGCCTGCTTCCTGGTTCATAGATGGTGCCTTTTTATTGTGTTCTCACATGGTGGAAGGGGCTAGCTAGCTTTCTGAGGCCTCTTTTATAAAGGCACTGATCTCATTCCTGAAGGCTCTGTCCTTGTGAACTAATCACCTCCCAAATGCCCCACTTCCTAATACCATTACCTTGGTAATTAGGTTTCAACATATAAATATTGGAAGGACACAAACATTCAGACCACAGTATCTTCCCCCTTCTTAATGTACCCCTGGTTGACTCTATTGCTCTGGGGTTGTTCCCAACCTATTGTTTTATTTTGTTCCTGGTTTCCTTATTATCTTGATCTCACCCTTGGCTCGCTGGGCACCCAATCTTCCCGTTCCTTGGTCCACCTGCTCTGACAAAGATCATCTGCTCTCATTTTAGCCTGTATTCTAGGTGGCAAGTGGGCTGGAGAACAATACTGCTTCCAACTGGCTGTGTGACCATGAGCCAGTCACTAGGATGGGGCCTCAGTTTTTCCACATGAACCATAAAGGAACTGGGTTACAGGAACTCCAGGATCCGAGTTCTCAAGTTCTGACTTGAGTAGGACTAAAAATTTTTATTTTAAAGAGACACTTGTCCTCATGGGCACTAACCACTGTTCTGGTCTGTTTAAAACATTCACTGTGAGCACATACAGACATGAGTCATTTGAAGAGGTAATGGGTAGGTATGACTTTTATTGCTCCCATAAATTATGTCACCATTCATTTCTGTGTTTTCATGGGTGGGGTTGGGTGACATCAGAGAAAGGACTTCTCGGTCTGCTCAAGCTCTCAATCAGCTACCAAACATTTCTTGAATAAATCAGGCCCACTTCCAACTCTGCCTCCTTCCACTTCCTTCTTATCTTCAGGCCACATCTTCCTTATCCATTCAGGAAATATTTATTGAGCACCTACAACATCCCCTACTGCATGGCCACTTTTGGAGAAAGTGAGAGTGGAAGGTGGATTAAAAATACAGGGTGGTGGAAAGTGCTTTTACGAGCTGCCAACTCTCATGGTTTAGTTCAGTGTTGTTTAATAGAACTGTCTGTGATGATGGAAATGTTCTGTAAAATCTGTGCTGTCCAATATGGACAAACTATAAGTGGCCATTGACCAGTTGCTGTGGAAAGTGTGGTTTGGGATCCCTGAATATAAGTAAGCAGTACAGGGCTGGGGGTGCTTTGCAGCAGATGCCCTAGAAATCAGTTCTCACAATCCTCTCTTTGAAGCCTCAGTCTCTTAATCTGTAGAAAATTGTTTTGAGGATCAAAGCACATAGTGTATAGGTTTTAGTACAGGGCCTAGCTCATCATAGGTGTTCAATCAAGGAGTACTTCCTTTCCTTCTTGTAAAGACCTGGTTCTCAGGACTCCTGCCTGCTTAGGACAAGTAAAAGCTTCCATCTCAAGAGGCAGGACTTCAGGAGCAGAGCCTGTGCCTCTGGGAGGGCAGGCTGAAGAGGCCACTTCCTCCCACAAAGGCTTCCAGTGCTTTAGACTCTGATTCACTCAGGTGAGTTGCACAACTTTATGGATGCCACAAATCATATCACTCTCATTCTGGGGATTTTTCAAGTGTGGGAATTTGCCTCCCCCACTACCGCCTACCTAGACAGGTGCTAGAATATAATAGGTGCTCAGTAAATAATGTGGGTGGATTAATCACCCAAAGTTGAGTGGAAGCCAACAGTCATGGGTTGTAGACTCTCCCATCTCTGCCTCTCCAGGAAAAAGCAAGGACTCTGGGGTAGCAAGCTAGGGTTTGAGGCTCAGTTATGCCTGTTACTTGGCTCTTTTATCTTGGCAAGTGCTGACTCTGCTCGGTTTCTTGGTGTTCTCCTCTGTCCAGTGGTAGAATTGTGTGACCTGACTCTCTCTCTCTCTCTATATATATGTAGGCTGCTTTTTCTGGGCAGGTCCTGAGGCTGAGTATAGGCTTTAAATACACATTTCTTCTCAGATTGAGGTTTGTCCAGGCTGATCACTCATCCTCCTGCTCTGCCCATCCCCCCAATCCCCTTACACAGCGGGAGCCTTGCAGTTGGTTTCCTGTGACTCCAACTACAAGCGAGCGGGTTTTCTCCTTCCCTTCCTTGACCTCACCCAGCAAGCACTCCAGAGACAGTCAAAGCAAACAGAACTTGAGCGACCTGGGCAGGAAATGTAGAACAAAGGAGGGCTTCTTTTATCAGCTGTTCCCTTCTGTTAGAAGATAAATTGTGAGCAATAAACTTAAAAAAAAAAAAAAACTGTAACAGAATAAAAATAAGTTAGATAATACTTTGATGAAATGGAGGCATTTATTTATTTATTTATTTATTTATTTATTTATTTATTTATCTCAGATGGAGTTTCGCTCTTCCTGCCCAGGCTGGACTGCAATGGCACGATCTTGGCTCACTGCAAACTCCGCCTCCCAGGTTCAAGTGATTCTCCTGCCTCAGCCTCCTGAGTAGCTGGGATTACAGCCGTGCACCACCACGCCTGGCTAATTTTGTATTTTTAATAGAGATGGGATTTCTCCATGTTGGTCAGGATGGTCTCAAACTCCTGACCTCAGGTGATCCGCCTGCCTCCGTCTCCCAAAGTGCTGGGATTACAGGCGTGAGCCACTGCCCCCGGCCCATTTACTTTTTTATTCAATGAGCATGTGAATACTGTGTGCTGGGTACATTGAGCTGTGACTGTTTAATGGTGTGTGAGACATGGAGCTTGACCTATAAGAGTTCACAGTTTAGTAGAGGAAATTAGAAATAAAAACCCAGGCCAGGCATGGTGGCTCACACCTATAATCCCAGCACTTTGGGAGAGTGAGGTGGGAGGAAGACTTGAGGCTAAGAGTTCAAGACTAGCCTGGGCAACATGGCAAGACCCTGGCTCTAAAACAAAAAATAAATAAATAAATAAATAGAAATAAAAACCCAAACAAATTATGTTGTACCTAGAGGTTAGATGACTTTGCCCTTTTCATTACTGTGTCTCTATTGCCTAGATTTATGCTGGCATGTGCTTGGTGTTTAATAATTATTTGTTGAGTGAATGAATCAGTGAATGGGTAGAATGTTTGGAAAGCCCATAGGAGGGGTCTCTAATCCAGTGTTGAGGGATCAGTTAAGGCTGCTTGGAAGACATGGCAGAGAGACTGGATGACTTAAAGAAAGGGAAGAAATGAAGAAGGAAGGAATGGGTGGGAGGTAGAGAGAAGCTGGGGTGGTGAGAAAATGTTTTCCAGGTCGAAGGAGCAGCACATAGGTGAGGATGAAGGCCTTGGTAGGCTCAGCCATATAAAGTTGCCAATAACTGACCATTTTAACTAAAAAAAACAGCAGGTGCATATATTTCAACCAAATATTTAAAATGTCCCTAAATAGACACAAGATCTTGGGAAGACTTGTCAGCCATTCAGAAATTGAATGCTAACCTGAGGGCATAGAGAGGCAATGAAGTTTAACTTTTTTCTCCCAAAAAAAAAAAAAAACAAAAAACAAAACAAAAAAAAACTAGTCTATTTTTGTGTAGCTATATAACTGGTAAATATTATTATTTTTAAAAATCAGATTATAACAAGAATATAAAGAAAAATGAGAACAACGATGCTTGCTGTCACCACCCAGATGACCATAGCTAACAATTTGGTGTGCTCTTCTCAGACTTTTTTCCTCAAGTCTTATATATGAAGAGGAGAAGGCTGTGAAGCTGCTACTTAGAAGCTGCTGTTTGGAAGTTGTTTCTGTTAAGCTGCTGTGTCTACCAGAGGAGGCTGCAGGTTACCATGGAAAAATTTGGTTTTGTCTTGTGAGCAGAGTGGGAGAAAGGTGAAGCAGGACTTTTTTAGGGATTAACTGTTGTGTCTCCTCATATGTACCCTCATGTGAGGTGGCTAGGGACAAAGTGGGCACAGGGAGGATCAAGAAGCCTCCTAAGAGGCAGGGCATTGAGACCTAACATATTCTCTAAAAACCAAAACCAAAACCATAAGCCTAGAAAATTTCAAAAATAGAGAATCGTTCAAAAAAGAAAATGATTACTTACAGTTGCACCATGCAAACAATTCCATTATTGATATTTCTGGTATAGTTGGTCCCAGTCCTTTTTCTCTCTGTGTTATGTAAATCAGACTGGATTAATGTTCAGCAAATATTCACTCTGCTCCTCCTACCTCTTTGATATTTACGTATGCATGTACACATACGTACATGTGTACTCACAGAAAATAAGTAGTCATGTTTTGTGTCTCCTCTCCTTTTACTATTTTATTTTTGAATTCCAGCTTGGACTTATCCCTAAGAAAGTTCCTGAAGGGGTTTTTTATCCTGAAATAGTTCTTTACAACTCTGATGATACGCTATGAACTCCAAGAAGGCCGTTTATTCCCTAAAATTGGTGAATTGAAGTCACTTTTGGTACTCTTTAGAATTTGTGCCCCCTCCTTGTAGTATTATGTTTTTTAACCTATTTTACCCAGAGTAGGCATAACTGGCATTTCTCAAGCAAGAAGTCAAGTCCTGCAGCTCTTAAAAATGGTAAGTGGGCCTCCGACAGGTCTTCTCTGCCTGCTTTGTGGAATGTGGATGGATGGCAAGGATGTCTGCACAGTGCCCAGACCAGCTGCCGGGAGTGGAGAGTGAATAGCTGAAACTGATCAAGTGGGTGCTTGTTGATTGGACAGCCCTCGCATCCCTCCTGGTCCATACCCATTACTGCCCCCTCTTCCCTTCCTCACCTTGCTATTCCAGTCTGACTGCTTCTCTCTGAAGTGGGGGACACCTCTGCCTTTCTGCCTGGCCTTCCCAACATAGGCAAATTCTGGGTGGAGCTCAGGGTTGGCCATGGAGAGGCAAAAATTATGGTGACTTGTGACACTTCATCAATGCCCTGAGCACTGAATCTATTCTAACTCCCCGCTGCCCGCACCCACACCCCCCCCCACCCCGACCCTACACACACACACACACACCACCTACACCTACATATTCTCTTGGAAACAGACTTCATGTGCTGGACACTATTCTAGTGCAAGATAGAGATGTCTTAAATCCCTGCCTTCTTTTAATCCTTTTCAGTTTTTGGAGTTTTTAAAAAATGCCTTTAACGTTTACAATTCTAGAGAGGAATTCTTTTATCAAACTTTTTATTTTTTTAATCTGCTCATCTCACCAATGGCAGTGACAAACAAAAGGATGAACCTGCCTTGCCTGTCCTGGACCCCCTTTTCTCAGCAGCTTTCCCTCTAATAGCTTGTTTTATACTGCCAGTTCCCCTTTTCCCTGCACACCCCGAGAGCTGCAGGCAGGGCTGCCTCTGCAGGTCGAGGGCTCACCTGCCCAGCCACCCATATTCTAGAGAGTTTCCCTGCAGTCCCCCTAGTTGTTGTGTGTTCCCTTTTTTTTGTTGTCTTGAGACTTCACCTCTTCTTTTATATCTTCTTACATTCTTACATTATATCTTCTTACATTTATTAACCAGAAAAAATTGCAGATTCCCTTTGGTCTAGCAAATAGAGCTTGAGCCTTGACAATGACAATTCTTCACTGTTCTTTTCTCTACTATTTTCTGTAATAAACTGTCCAGGCTTGTGATTAAAGACCTATTTTTCATCTAATATAAGTAACCACCCCAAATAATAATAAAACAAAAACAACAATAATAGCATACATTTATTAAGTACTTACCACATATCAAGCACTATTTTATGTGATTTATTTTACATATGTGATCACTTTTGACCTTCATAATAATCCCTGCTCTACAGATGAGAAAAGTTAAGTACAGAAAATTCAGGCCGGGCGCCGTGGCTCACGCCTGTAATCCCAGCGCTTTAGGAGGCTGAGGCGGCCAGATCACCCGAGGTCAGGAGTTCAGACAAGTCTGGCTAACGTGGCAAAACCCCGTCTCTACTAAAAATACAAAAATTAGCCGGGCGTGGTGGCACACGCCTATAGTCCCAGCTACCTGGGAGGCTGAGGCAGGAGAGTAGCTTGAACCTGGGAGGCGGAGGTTTCAGTGAGCCGAGATGGCGCCACTGCACTCCAGCCTGAGCGACAAAGCAAGACTCTGTCTCAAAATAATAATATAATAATAATTTAAATAATTTATTGATACTTAAAACCAATCAGTAACTCACATTAGGAGCCACTGAGATGTACTGTATGTAGAAATATTAGCTATGAATCTCTTTGACCCACTTCCCTGCTTAATTGGTCTTGGGCATTCAGATACCTCAACTGAAGCACTGTTTGTTTGAGGACATGGTTGATCTCAGATGCGCTCTTGAACACTCTGCATCAAGGCTCTTTTTTTGGCTGCTGTTGTCTACAAGTGGCTGCAGGTGTTCTTCTAGGGTCTCAGAGACAGGCTTTATCAGGATTCAGATATCTCTCCCATAGGCCAAACCACACAACCACACTCACCGAGAAGCATCTCTGATTGCAGCCCCCACAATTGTGTTCTTAATGCCTTGGCCCAGCCTGTGGGAGATTCAGTGACATGCTCAGGGGCTGGGCTGAAGAGGGAGATCTGCGCATAGCAGCCAGAGGCTGGCCTCTGCTTCAAAGGCTGCCTCTATGAGGCAGACATAGCCATCAACCTCCAGAAACCTGGGGCAGCTTACAGGCCATGGGTCTAGGCATCAGTGTCATGCACCTGTTGACAGGTTTTGCCTCTTGGAATTTAGAATTTTTCAGATTTTAGAAAAGCAATATGATGTGTAAGTTGTATATTATATAACACTCCCTGCAGGAACGAGGGCAATACCTCATGATCAAATACATTTATATGTCTGCAGTGAAATGTACAAATATTCAAATTAAGTGAGATAAACAAAGACTGTAAATAGACTCGTGTTTATTCAGGTCAGGGTTTGCTATCACATGAGTTTAGGTGCTAAACTTAGGAAAGCATTTTTAGTTTTCAGAGTTTTGTACATAAGGGATAGTCAACCTTTCTAGAGAGCAATTTGACAATATATATTAAGAATCTTATAATGTATATACCCTTTCACCCAAAATCTTCTAGAAATTAGTTATAAGGAGATAATTATGATTGCATGCAAAAATCTAGAAATAAGAATGTTCACCACAGCATCGTTTTTTTGTTTGAAAACAAAACCAAAAACCAAAAAAAAAAAATAATCTAAATGTCTACCAGTAGGGGATTCTTTAAATAAATATAGTGCATCCATACAATAAAATTGGAAGGAGTCGGCCGGGCGCGGTGGCTCACGCCTGTAATCCCAGCACTTTGGGAGGCCAAGGCAGGCAGATCATGAAGTCAGGAGATTGAGACCATCCTGGCTAACACGGTGAAACCCCGTCTCTACTAAAAAAATACAAAAAAAAATAGCTGGATGTAGTGGCGGGCACCTGTAGTCCCAGCTACTTGGGAGGCTGAGGCAGGAGAATGGCATGAACCCAGGAGGCGGAGCTTGCAGTGAGCAGAGATCGAGCCACTGCACTCCAGCCTGGGCGACTGAGAGAGACTCTGTCAAACAAACAAAAAAAAAATTGGAAGTACTCCTTGAAAACATAATGTTTGCTTATTGACTTGGAAAGCTGTGCATGATATGCTATTTAGAAACAAATGTAAGCTATATATATAATCGTATTTGCATAATGAAACCTGGAAGGGTACATATCAACTAGGCTTATTTTCAGGAGTTAGTCTTATAAGTGGTTTTTATTTATTTAATGCTAATGTGGATTTCTGCATTTTCCTTATTCTAAGTTTGAAAAGTAATACTCATCAAAAATTTCAAAGAATTCAGACCTACGTAAGTTAAAACAAAGGGTTCTACCCCACTGCACTCTCTCAACTCCCTCCTTGGATGCAACACATGTCAATTTAGTGTATTTCTTTGCAGACCCTTTTCTATGTTTGTAAATACAAACTTTAAAAGTAATTTTCCGGCTGGGTGAGGTGGCTCACTCTTGTAATCCCAGCACTTTGGGAGGCCGAGGCAGGTGGATCACCTGAGGTTAGGAGTTCGAGACCATCCTGGCCAACATGGTGAAACCTCGTCTCTATACAAAAATTAGCCAGGCATGGTGGCAGGTGCCTGTAATCCCAGCTACTTCGGAGGCTGAGGCAGGAGAATTGCTTGAACCTGGGAGGCGGAGGTTGCAGTGAGCCACGATTGTGCCACTGCACTCCAGCCTAGGCGACAGAGGGAGACTCCGTCTCAAAAAAAAAAAAAGTAATTTTTTATTCATGGAATCATACCACGTCTGTTCCTCTATGTCTGTATTTTTCATGATACTTTATCGTTAACTCTTTCCATGCTGCAAGAGTATACTTTAATTTACTTAACCCTTTCCATATTGTTGGGCTTTTAAGTAATTTCTGTTTATTTGCTATCTCAAAGAATATTGCAATGAACATCCTTGTACAAATGCCTTTGTGACAAGCACACATTTATGTAGAAGGGTTTTTAATTTTGATTTTTCTGACTCTTCTATAATCAACACATGCTATTTAGATTATTAAAAATATTATTAAGCATATTAAAAGATTTCACTAGGCTCTCTCTAAAACCCTGAAGCCACTCAGTTGGCCTATTCTTTTCTCAGGATAAATGAGCTATTCGCCAGCACCATCATGTAAATGAATACCACGTATTTTCGGGCCACATATATTTTTTACAGATTTACTCTTCCCAAGGAGTTTCTCATCCAGGGCTGCAGATGGGAACCATTGCCTCTGCCTGAGGGAAGGAGCAGCAGTTGCCAAAACCATGAGGAGGGGTGGGTGGATTGTCCTTGGATGGCTCTGGGTCCACCTTTCACAGCCTGTCCAGTGACCTGAAGGCCTTTACTTGGCAGTTGGTGGTCTCTGAGAGACTGAGGAGGGCCTCAATCACTACTTAGGGGCCCATGCCTCCCCAGGGGCCTGTTGGTTTCTTGGAAGCTTAGACCTGATGGGTCTCTGAGGTGCAAGGGGTGCTGAGTCCAGACGGAGGGGACTCCTAAGAGAGGGAGGTAGGCAGAGTGGGAGCTTGGTTTGGGCCCAATCTCTGGGCCTCCATACCCTCTAGCTTTCCTGTTCCTTTTGTGCTTGCAAAACAGATACCACATTTCCTCAATTTTCGCATATACCTTTCTCTTCTGCATTTTAATGTTTCTGAAATGTGAAGTGGGCATTGAGTATGGGAGTGTTCATTCCCCTTGCTCTTTTTGAAGCCTGTTATTAAATAGATGGTGCATCATGTCATTGAGGGAGTTCTAGGATTAGGGAGTATAAAGGGTCCTCTTTTATTCCTCTTCACCTCCAGCCCCATCACACATGCAGCTCCAGCTAGCCCACCATCTGATCAGGGGCTGTAAAATTCCACCCTTTGTGTGTACAGCATGAAGAAAAAAGCTGTTGAGGTCTTTTCTGAAATGCAGACTGGACTCAAGCGTGAGGCAACGGCGGGGCTCATCACTCCTTTCCTTGGTTGCTCTGTGCCCATCCCTTTCAATAATGCTGCTAGAACCCTTCTGTGTAATTAGTGGGGGCATAATTAATACATGAGAGGAGTCTTTCTAACAGATCTGAGCAAGCGTATTCTCTTAAAAATGGGATGGGAAGCAGAACTTTACAGGCTTGTACACGTCGGGCCAAAATGTCCAGTGAGACAGTCAAGCTCCCATCCTCAGCCACATATATTCATATGCTTTGTTGATGGACCCGGCCCCATGGAGGAAAGTAAAGGAGTTAGGGAGAGTTCTGAGTAGCTGAACTGGGTGGGTTTAAAAGTTGGGGAAATGGGGCCGGGCGCGATGGCTCATGTCTGTAATCCCAGCACTTTGGGAGGCCGAGGCAGGTGGATCACAAGTTCAGGAGTTCGAGACCAGCCTGGTCAATATGGTGAAACCCCATCTCTACTAAAAAAAAATACAAAAATTAGCTGCGCATGGTGGTGCATGTTTGTAGTCCCAGCTACTCAGGAGGCTGAGGCAGGAGAATCACTTGAACCCAGGAGGTGGAGGTTGCAGTGAGCTGAGATTGCGCCACTGCACTCCGGCCTGGGCGACACAGTGAGACTCCGTCTCAAAAAAAAAAAACAAAAAAAAAATGCCAGGCACGGTGGCTCATGCCTGTAATCCCAGCACTTTGGGAGGCTGAGGCAGGTAGATCATGAGGTCAGGAGTTCGAGACCATCCTGGCCAACATGATGAAACCCTGTCTCTACTAAAAATACAAAAATTAATTGGGCGTGGTGGAGTGTGCCTGTAATCCCAGCTACTTGGGAGGCCGAGGCAGGAGAATCACTTGAACCAGGGAGTCGGAGGTTGCAGTGAGCCAAGATCGCACCACAGCACACCAGCCTGGCTACAGAGCAAGACTCCATCTCAAAAAAAAAAAAAAAAAAAAAAAAAAAGAGTTGTGGAAATGAAGCGTTGCAGTTGCAGTAAGAGGATCATCAGAAGGCAGAGTTTGAGGAAGACACAAAGAAATGAATGTTTATGAAGTACCCACTGTGCGCCAGGCACTGAGATGCAGTCTCAGTTAGCCCCTGGGGTAGATGTTCAGGTCTCTCTATTTACAAGTGGTGGTAATTTGACCAGCTGAAGGCCACACAGTTAGGGATTGGGTCTCTGGTTTGTCTAACTCTCAAAACTTAAAAGAAAACATCATTCTTATTGCAACCTCAAATTCCCTTGTTCCTCAGGTCCCTTTCTTCAGCCTTTTTCCTGAGTCCATCCAGCACACCATTGTTAAGATAAACTTTCTAGAACCCTGGTTCAGACGATTCCCTCCACAACCTGGCTCCTCTCTACCTCTGCAGCCTCATCGCTTGTGGGTGAAAATGTGCTCCCCTCCCAAGGCCTTGCACAGATGACATGATTGGCCTGGATTCTCCCTGAAGTCTCTCCCAGGCCTGAGGGTCGTGGTTTTATGGTTGGAAAGGCTAACTCCTTTATAAACATTTTACCAATTAATTTTACAAGTCTCTGACTGCCAGTAGGCACAAAGCAGCACCCTTGTTCCCAGCCAAACTTGCTTTTCTCCATATCTTGTGTGTATCTTAGTGACTTATCCATCTTCCACTCAGTTGACCAAGGAAGACCTGGGTCTCAACCTTGATGCTTCTTTTTCCCCCTCACCATGCCCTACCCAGTCAGTCACTGATCATTAATGTTGCCTAAATCTCTCTCGAACCCGCCCCTATCTTTTCATTCCCACTGCTACACCCTTAGTTATCTATTGCTTGGAATAGTTTTCTGCCTGTTCTTCTACCCCTATTTTTGCTCTCCACCCTTTCCAACATTTTCCACATTGCAATCAAATGATCTTTCTACAATATAAAGCTGACATGTCACTCGTTATTTTAAATCCCTTCAGGGGCTTCATCATCCTCTTAAACTTATTAACGTAACTCACAAGGACTTTCTTATCTGGCCACTAATGTCTCCCCGTCTTTGTTTTCCACACCTCCTCCCTTCCCATTCTATGCCCTAGTTGTGTGAACCACCTACAGTTTCACAATACGTGGGGGAAAACATGTCCTACAACATGGATACAGACTTCAAATGTTAAGCCACACTTTTAAACTTTCAGAAATGCAGTAATATTAAAGCACTAAAGTTCAACTGCAAAGCAGCATTTTTTTCTCGAAATCATGTTGTTTCAGTGCTTCCTTCACACGCAGGAGGGAGGGATGAGTTAAAGGTCACGTTCCTTGTGTGGCTGGCTTTTCCTAAGGAACAATAAAGGCAAGTAGGTGCTGAGCAGGATTTGCATCAAGAACCAGAAGTGCTGTCCCCAGGGTTCCTGGGAGAGCTGCCTTCCTCCCTGGTGGGCTGCTCTGCCAAGCACTGCCAACTGCTTTCTCCCTCTGAGCTTCTTGCGAGAAGCTATTACTATCACTCAGTTTAATTCCCATTTAATATAGTGTCTAGATAAAGACAGAGGATTCATGGGCTTGGCCTGTGAAGGTGCAGTGCAAATGTGTGAAAATAAAACATCTCCCAACCATCAGAGACACAGATTTTATTTATTTTCTCGGGAGTAGAGTGTCTGGTGAGGTCTTTTTTTTTTCTTTTGGTTGTTGTTGTAGCTCAATGGAGCATTAAATTTAGAGTGCAGTCTGATCTGTCATAGCCAGAGCTGGCAGGATTGTGGGATGATGTGACCTGGAGACACAGTCTTCTGAGTTTTGTAATAAATCCCTTGGTCTGTGGCTGGGGCCCTGAGGGAAGGCTCCAGCCTTAGCCTGCTCTGAACCAAAGTGTGCAGTCATAGTAACAGAGTCATAATAACACTTGCAGAGTGCATTTTGAGGGCTTCTTTTAGTTTGGGGTTCCCCTAAAGCAGATCCCAGAAAGCACATGGGGATTTAGGAAAGTAAGACAGGGGAAGGAAGGAAGCCAGTCCAGGGTGAATAAACAAGCAGCTCACCTCTGTGGGCAACTGGGGCTCAATTCACTGGAGATTCTTTTTTTTTTTTTGAGACAGGGTCTTACTCTGTTGTCCAGGCTGGAGTGCAGTGGCGCAATTATAGCTCACTGAAGCCTCATGAACTCCTAGGTTCAAGCAGTCCTCCCTCCTCTGCCTCCTGAGTAGCTAGGACTACAGATGTGTACCACTATGCCCAGGTAATTTAAATCGTTTTTTTTTTTTTTTTTTTTTTTTTTTTTTTTTAGAGATGGGGTCTTGCTATGTTGCTCAGGCTATTCTCAAACTCCTGGCCTCAAGCAACCCTCCTGCCTCAGCCTCTGAAAGTGTTGGGATTACAAGCGTGAGCCACCATGCTAGGCCCACTCGGGATTCTTGAGAGATTGTCCCTGCATGTGGGGAGGAAGTTGGGGTATTTATTTATGCTCTCCTGTTTCTCACTGGGGAAGGGTTGCTTCTTGGGGGCATTTTTTGGTGGCAACACAACACTTTGCTGGTTTTCCTCATACATCTTAATTAGTTTTCAGTCTATTTTTTGGGCTCTACTCACTCATCATTAAATACAGGAGTGTCTTAGGGCTTGGTGTCATCCCTGTTTTCTTAATTATCTATGCCATCATCTTACACTATTTTATCTGCATCCTTGGTTTTTAGCTCCACTTGCATGTTCGTGACTCTAATTGCCAGTTTGGGCAGACTGCTAGTTATCTCAGATCTATTTTCCTCTTCTTCCTTATGAATAGAGCTGTGTCCAGACACTGGGCTTTCCAGCTAGACCTACATTTCCCACCTCCCTTGTGACTAGGTGTGACCAGCTTTGAGGGTTCGCCAAGTTTGAGCCAATAGGATGTTAGCAAAAGCGGTGGGTGCAACTTTTGGCTGATCTCTAGCTTAAAAACAAACCACTTGCCTTGGACTTTTCTCTCTTTCTTCCCCACAGGCTGGGGCACAGACAAGGCAGTAACTTAACTTTACCATTTCCAATGAGGACACACTCTGGGGATGGTGGAGGAAAATGATGGAATGAGCCTAGGCCCCTGAATTATCTCACCAAGCAGAGTCACACCACAGTAAAATTCTACTTTATTAAGCATCTGTATTTGGAGCTTCTTTGTTACATTATTGCAACTTAGCCTGTTAATTGAGAAACTAGCCCGGACCTCTTTCCTGAGAGCCTACCCAAATTCAACTCCACATTTCTACTAGGATGACTCTTGGGCCTTCAATAAAACTGAACTCTTAATTTTCATTTCCTCCCTCTTCTAATATAATTCTTCTCCAACATTCTCTTTTTCCATAAAGTTAATCTTAGCAAATCACTTTATTACTAGAATGCTATCATTTATTTTTTAAATGCCTCTCTTTATCTTATCTCCACATCCAATCCTATTACAAAATCCCATTGATTCTACTTTCAAGATAACATCACATGTCCATACACTGAATTTTCCTGTTTTTTCTTTTTTGGATCTCTAGAGAAACCAGAGTCCATCATATACCTCTGTTATTGTTGTAAGTTCAGGCAGGGACACTTTTTGTTTTATTTTGTTTCATTTCCTTTTTATGTTTTACATTTTCTTGTCTTATTCTTTATGCACATTCCCACAACCCTTTTCTCTACAAGTACGTTCTGATGTGTTTGGTATGTGTCTTGTAATAGGTATATATCTTTGAAAAATGCATGGTATTTGCATATGCAAGTATTTTCATTTTTAACATGGTATTGTGAGAGATCCCATTCTAACTTTTGTAATCTACTTAGTACTTTAAAATATATATATCTATGTTGCTCTATGAACCTCTAATTCATTACTTCCATTTGCTTCGTCTGTTCCTTAGTGGGTCAGCACCACATTTTGCTTATCCATTCTCCTAATGCTGGATGCCTCATTTACCACAAAATCCCTGCTTCCAAAAACAGAGTTGCCAAAACATCCTCACATAGGTTTCTTCATGGATGTGAGTGTGAGCTCTTCTTGGATATATGTCCAGAGTGGGATTTCTGGGCCGTAGGGTATAGGCATACTTAATTTCACTAAGTGATGGTAGGTTTCTACTGGTAGTGCTGCACCCAGCCTTCTCTCTCACCATTAGTGTACAAAGGTTCCTTTTCCCCCAAATGCTTGCCCGTTATAATCAAGATATGGTTCTATCTGACTTTTTAATTTGCCAATTTTATGGCCATAAAATGGTATCTCATAATTATTTTAATGAGTGATTGAATTAATTGTGCCAGTGTGAGCATCAATTCTCATGCTTGTTTGACATTCTACCTCCACTTCTTTGAATTGCCTGTTCATATTCTTTGCACATTTTTCCCCCTATTGCATTTACTGACATGTCCTTGTTGATTTCGGGGTCGGGGGGTTTCTTTTATCATAGGAAGTTTTCTAATCATGTATTATTGCTGTTTGTGTTTATGTTTATGAGCATGTTGGTGCCAGGTAAAGCTCAAATGAACTCATAGGAACAAATGATTTCCAGTAGTTTGTATGGAGAAAAGAGGTGAGAGGACTGAGTCATCACTCTGCACATGGTAGTATAGTCATATGGAACTCTACCGAGCCTGCACTGTGGCAGTTAGAACCACCCTCACAGCAGTGCTATGCTGCATGAACCACTACTTTGTGCAAACCAAACTTCCACACTTCATTAACAATAAAGGTATTAGTAATTGTGCACTGAAGAAGTTTTAATTAAATGGTGCTTTAAAATTTTCAGCACTCTATTTTGGAGTGCACCATTAAATTGAGTAGCCCATTAAAATCAGTGGCTAAAAAATGAGTTCATTGTTAAAAAGAAAAAATAATGATAATGTTACTGACAGTGACTAAAACAATGGGCCATCTTACTCAAAATTTAAAAAATCAGCCCATTAACACGTGAAATGTAAAACGTGCAAATACATTTTCCTACTTTTACGTCCAACATTGGTGATTTACTGTGAGCAAAACATCATTAATCATCCTAAAGTAAGTTGTTAGTTTGACTTTCATCCTTTTTAGAGTTTTGCTTGTGTTTAGTTTGCAAATTAATTTTTATAGTATTTTTAAAAAGATTTTGTAACCATGAGATTTTTATAGCTATTTTTATGTTCCTACATTTTTAAATAACATTATAATAAAAACAATTTTGACAAATACTGGGAGTCTGTAAGAATTTTGCCAGTAGCATTTAAGAAATACTGCCTCAATATACTGAAGCATTCACAGAGTTGGGGTGAACGGTGGTCACCAGGATAAATTCTAAAATGTCAGGCACCACAGATAATTCAAATATATGTTAGTTTGAGGTGAAGATCACAGGCAAGGTTAACAAACCTGCAGATTTGTGGTAGATATGATGGGCTGACTCTCAACAGCCATTCCATTCTTCTAATGTCTTCCCTTCTTGCAGAGACTGGAAAGCCAAGAAATACATTTTCCAGACTCCCTTGCAGGTTGAGTTCTGAACAGAATTTAGATTTGGCCTTTCAGGGGCACACATGTGAGTGTGGGGAAGCTGAAGTGAGCAGATGCCTACCATCTGCTCTTTCTGTTGCCAGGCACACTTGTGGAGCCAGTTGTATTTGTTCCAGGGTCCAGCCACTATCTCTGAGGATGTTAGAGGCCGAGTGTAGCTGAGGCATGCTTTCAATGGTGTGGATATGATGGTCTCCTGGTTGTGGTTCTGTTTCCACAGTGGCCCCCTGGCTGTGGGACAGGCAGCAGCTCTTTTGGTGGCTCAGTTATTCCTGTGTCTTTGGGAGTCATTTTAAAAAGGTCAGCCTGTTTGTCGAGTGCTTCCCGTGATCCTATAAGTTCTAAATACCCTGTAATAGTTTGTTCTTGCCTAGCTTGGCTAGAATAGATTTTGTTCTTTACAACCAAACCTTGGCTAACATAAGGTCAAATCCTTGCAGAGTGAGACTTTTCGACTGCCAAAATCAAGTCCCTCCCAGGGTAGGAGCATATTTTCTGTGCAGGGCTCTTGCTAAGGCCACATAGGATACAATTTTGCTTTTTGCTAGTAGGGAGCCCAGAGACAAGACGGTTTATGTGATCAGTGGCATGTGAGCAGCACAGGCTGTGGTCCCTGAGTTCAGGGATGGGTGGGGTGGCATAGGGGGAGAAACCACTGGGTGTAGATGTCCAGGGAAGCCTCCTGGAAAAGGTGGCACCTGAACTGATCTTCAGTGAATTGAGTCTAGAGAGGCAATGGGAAGGAAAGAAAGGGCATGGGAGATAAGCAGAATGGCATGAACAGCATGCAGAGGTGGAGAATTAAGTGTTGGCCAGATCCTGGAATCCTTGAATGCTAGGAGAAAGATTTAATAATATTTTATTCTTTAAGCAGTGGAGAGCTATTGCAGGTTTTGAGTAGAAGTAATATGATTAAAGCTGTGCTTTTCTTTCCTCCCTCACTTCTGGGAATAAAGAAAGCAGTGTTTACATGATAAGCCTTTGGAGTGACTGGAGTGATGGAAATTGTTTCATGGTGTGTAACTGAAACTGAGATACTCTTACGTGGCCTGTTAATTTAAAACTTCAGGCAGTGGCACCCATGGGAGATTTAGCATTGGATAAATCTCTCCTGGAAGACATCAGAAGAGCCATACCAGTCTCAACAAGCCAGTCCATGTTGTAACTATTGAAGAAGAAACCAAGATTCCCCCCAGATTCCTAAGAGCCATCTTCAGATTGAAATTGATGTTGCAAAATGTCCTTTCCACATTTTTTTCGGTTGTGCAGAATGAAAAAAATGTGCAAAGGACATTTTGCAACATCGATTTCTTTAAGTAGTAAAGTGGGAGAGATTTGATTTCAGGATTTTACTTTCTCTGTGGCAACAATGGAAGACTGATTGCATGGCTGGAACTTTTATATTCTCTAAGAACTGTAATTTTTGTGTGGAAAC
Source organism: Homo sapiens (assembly GCF_000001405.40). Classification (NCBI taxonomy): domain Eukaryota; kingdom Metazoa; phylum Chordata; class Mammalia; order Primates; family Hominidae; genus Homo; species Homo sapiens. The sequence continues at coordinate 41,143,431 of NC_000003.12, read as the reverse complement.
TTTAAAATGGTGGGAGAGTCTTAATTTTATTTTTGTTTTTCTGGATTTGGGCTGAGTTCCTTGCATAACCTTCTCTGATGAGCAAGGCTGGATGATGTAGTTGGGATACAGAATGGGGACAAAATGTCAGGTAGTGAACTTTGAAGTTAAATGAGCAGCCTTTCTTGACCTGTTTCAGAAATTTCTGGGAGTTACAAAAAAAAGAGGCATTGCTTTTGGGGTAAAAGTATCTGAATGGGAACCACAAGAATGGAGAAAGAGGTGTCCCTGATAATCTGTGGATTTTCTACCCAGAGACAGACAGTCTAGGTTTGACTGACAATAGACCTGGCTATGGAGCCTGATGGTTAATGAAAGCAAAAAAGCATGGGAATGTAGACATCTACATGTAAGTAGGTATAGTTTCTCACCTACTTACATTCCTTCCTGGTGGAGCTTTCCCAGCATTTCACTAATCTAACTGGTCACACTTCAGAATGCTGATCAGGCCATGTTTACTTGAGGACAGGTTATACCCATTCCCTTCTTTGGTGCAGAACTGGGAAACAGAGGCAGACCCCTTTTGTATGTTGACAATTCCTTTTCTTTTCTTGATTTTGAGAGGCCAAAAGGAATAGTGGGGCAACTTGGTTGCATCGGCAGGCTGTTACAATCACTTCCATCCCAAATCAACTTGAAGCAGAGCTAAGGAAGCTAACCACACAGTCATGCAGGCTCTAAGCCAGCTCCACAGAGCTCTGTTGATTGGTTGAGGACAAAGCAATATGAATCAATGGACACAGATTTCCTTGCTCCCTCTCTTGACTCCATCAAGTGTCATCTTTGAGGCCATCGGTGCCACCCTTGGATGGTCCCACTTCCATGTTCAAATACAACCTATGCATTACATTCTTGGAATTATCATGTCATTATAATACAGGGAGGAATTTGACTTCCCAGGTACCTTGTTTGGTGTGTGTGAAGTCTTTTCTTGGTGACAACCTGATGATTGCTGATATTTTTTCAAAGTGTGTACAAACAACATCAAAATTCTATGATCAGAGATATATAGTCTAGACTTAGACCTTTCATTTTTTCTTATAGATGCCACTAATATTAAACTGCACTACCTATTTTTTTTCCTGTCTTCCCTACTATCCCTGTATTTTTTTTTTTTCGGTGCCAATCTATTTTGCCTGACTGTTCTCTATTTGCTTTACAAATTCCTTTTTAACCTGAGCATACAGATGCATTTTACGGTCATTTTCCTCCTCATCATTATACTCTCCAACCTCCTGTTTAGGAGGAGACCCACTTGCCCTTTTTCTCCCCAAAGGCTCTGCTTACTTCTTCCTCTGGTTTCCAGGCAGCTGGAAGAGTGAGTGCATGCATTCCTCCATTCTTCAGTCACGTGCACCTAGGTCCTCTGGCCTCTTTAGCCCAGGGGGCTGCGCTGTGGAGGGTTTTGTCTTGAGCTCAGAGGGAAAGAGACATCTTCCTAATTTTTGGCACTCAGCCATACTCCCCAGTTCCTTTGCCAGAAAGTTCTGCAAATAACAAAGCAATATTTGTTTCCCACTTGCTCCTTGTGTACAATGGCAAATGGATTTCAGCAAACTATTTGGGAGGAAGGTAGAATTGCATTTTAAGGTGCCCTATCCAGATGTCATTCAAATCCCACCGCTGCTTTTGGCAGAAGATACTCCTGGTACTGAGCTGGGGGCAGGTTGTGGCAGCAAGAAGCAGAAGACTGAGAGCGATCACCGAGGCATGTGTTGCTAAGGGTCTGAGCTGAGGACATGGCAGTTGGGGAGGAAGAGACATATGAATGTGAGAGACAGTAGGGGGTGAGAACTGGCAGGACATTGGACTGGCACTAACAAAGCCATCCTCGGAAGTATGAGCAAGTAAAAAAGTCAGAAACGGGGCAAAGGGATAACAACAAATGAATGATAATGATGACAAAGAAAAAGAAGATATAATAAGAGAATATGGTTAGAAGAATATAGGAATTTAAGAAAACATAAAAACAGATTAAAAAAAACACTTTTGTAGATCAGATTTGCAAACTCCGCTTGCTTGCCTTTCTTTCCCTTGGGCATGGTGCATGGCTCCCTGGAGGCTGATACAAGTTTAGGGAAATCAATACTAGTTAGTCCAAATTGGGGAGGCGATGGAGAGGAGCTGGGCCTTATGTTTTCGAAAGGCTTAAAGACTGACCAGGCCAATTCAAAAGAAACCGGGATTCTTTTGGTTTTTGGTAATGATGCAGCTTGCACCTTGTCTCCCAGTGGTGCCTTCACTGATTCCTTCTGTCTTGATTTGGGTTCCTCCAAGACCCAAGCTTTAGATAAAGAATCAGGAAGTGATTTCTGGAAACAGGAGTGAGGGGCAGAGAGAGTAGGGTAGAGAAGGGGAAAAGCTGGTGTGCGAGTGCTTTGTAGAGATCGTGGCTGCGGTGACGGGAACTTGGGTCTCCTGGTACTGTGGAGAAGGCCAGAAGGCCTCCATGGATTGGACACTGAGAGAGGAGGCCAGAGTGTCTTTCTAGCACCTCTCCTCCTTGCCCCTGCCCCTGCTTCCATTGGCAGAGGGTTGCCCCAGAAGTATTAGCACGCTCACTTTTGGGCTGGGCTGGGATGGGTTGGCAGCTCTAGGGCAGAAAGTGGAGAGATTATAGAGCTTGAGGAAGGACACTGTGAGCTGGAGGGTGTCCAAGCTTGTGGAAATGTCCACCCTGGCTGCGGCTGAAATTGCAGGTGGGATGTGATGATGCTCTAGCGTCTGCACAATTACTAACCCCTTCCATTGGGCCAACTTCTACCAGACACTTCCTGCCCTGCCTTGTACCAGTGTTGGCATTCAGCTCATGTGCCCCAGTTGTTCAAACACAGAACTGAGAATCCTACTCTCTACTCCCATGCCAGCCCTCAGCCTCTCCCGGGGACCTCTGGATAGTCCCATAATCCAGCAACTAAAGGGTTAATTTCCGGCCAAGCAGGTCTTTAGCTCCAAGTCTGTCTGACTGGCTGGCCAGCTGGGCCTGTGCTCTATTGACGGTGAAATATTTTGCATATCACCTCTGATTGTAATCATCTGCCCATATATATGCCTCTTTCACCAGATCAGTGTGCTTTCAGGCAAGGACTATTTTATTTATTTGTTTAATTATTTATTTATTTATTTTTTTGTTGAGACAGAGTTTCACTCTTGTTGCCCAGGTTGGAGTGCAGTGGCGTGATCTCTGCTCACTGCAACCTCCGCCTACCCAGTTCAAGCAATTCTTCTGCCTCAGCCTCCCAAGTAGCTGGGATTACAGGTGCCCGCCACCATGCCTGGCTAATTTTTTGTATTTTTAGTAGAGATGGGGTTTCACCATGTTGGCCAGGCTGGTCTTGAACTCCTTCCCTCAGGCAATCCTGCCTGCCTCGGCCTCCCAAAATGCTGGGATTACAGGCATGAGCCACTGGGCCCAGCCTGTTTTATTTATTTTTATATCTCCATTGCCCAGCGCAGGGCATGCTACACTTAGAACCCAATACCAGAAACAGAAGTGGTATCAAAATGAAAATATCCATGTAATACCAAGGTTAACCAAAGCATGGTTAATGTCAGATACTGACTTGTGTGAACATAGCTTAAGATGGAATTGATCACTGAATATTTCAATTCTTACTTTAACCTTGGCTATAATCTTATTCTAAACTGTAACCTAAATCCATTATAAAGCTGGGTTCTGAAGATAAGTATCTGTAAACTTTGGTTCTTTGAGAGTGTATTTGATGTCTAGAAATGACCTAGATTTGTTCAGAGATAAGTCTGGCAAATTCGAGTAGTTTTTCAAAGTGAGAAATACTGTTTTGGATCATAAATAAGTATATGATGCTGAGGGTTTTTTTTTTTTTCTTTTGTTGTTCTAAGCTGAACTGGAAGGAAATTCCAAAGGATGAAGTATGAATATAGTTCGGGCCATGGAAGATTTGTTACAAACAAGTGTATAGCCTCCCAAGGTGACTACTTTGAAAGAACACCCTTGTTTCGATATTTAAGTAGGTTTAATATGATCAGTCATGTGCAATTATGGCCATAATTCACCCACAGGTGAACATACACATTTCTGAGTGCTGAGACACATTACTGTCATCCTCCCATGTTAAGCAGCTTTGATGTTTAGGGTGTCATAGACTGCAATATGGAGAACACAGAGCATCGCGGGAGGACAGCTTGCTACCCATTTTCTCATTTTAAAGCTGCTAAGTGTCACGTAGTATTGCTGTACTCTCCTTTTGAGAAGGTGGCTAGATATCTTCTCTGGCATACGAATGTCGTTAAGTCAGTGGGTTGTAGGAATTCTAGAATGTACAACGACTCAGCTACTCCAACCACTACATGCTACAAAAATAGAAAGAAAAAGCTAATTGTACTTCCTGGGGATAAAAACCAACTTTCCAAAATTAATTAGACTTTGGGTCACATGAAAGTAGGTAGAGCTGCTGCTCCTCTCCCCTCCACTCCCTTGGATATGTGTAGCTTGGCCAGAGACTCATTCTTTCAAGTCTAGGTTTCTCAAGCTCAGCACTACTGACATTTTGGGTGGTAGAATTCTCTGTTGTGAGATCCGTCCTGTGCCTCATAGAATGTTTAGCAGCGTTCCTGGGCTTCATTCACTAGATGCCAGTAGCAACACTCCCCTGCCCCTTGTGACAACAAAAAATGTCTCTACGCTTTTCTAAATATCCCCTGGGAAGGCAACCTCACCCAACACCCACATTAAGAACCACTACTTTAAATGGAGGACAAAGCTCTCAGCATCTCTCCTGAGACTAACATGATTTAAATGGTAGAGAACTTTGCCACGTCTTCCACAGCAGTGCAGAGCATTCTGTAAATGGTGTGGTTTTGTGAGATATTAGAGGAAAACCCAGTCTTTTATGCCCAAAGGCCCTCCCAAGCACGATTTGTGGTGAGAGGCAGTATTTAGCTGGAATTTCCTAGTCTTCTGTGACTGTACTGTAGTTTAAGGAAGGAGCGTGGACTTCAGAACTGTATGGTTCTGAGCTCAGATCCTTCTCTGTGGGTAAGCTACATAATGTTTCCTAGTGTGGGGTTTCTCTGTGTAAAATGGGGATGCTAGGACCCACCTTGTGGAGTGCCTGAGAGGGGGAAATGAAATAATGCCAGAGAATATGCTATTGACAAATCCTCACTTCCCCATCTGTTCCCAAAACCACCCAAGACGGCTGTAGCAGATGGAGTTGCCTTTCTGTGCAGATTCCTTTGGGTCCCTTCTACATTTCCATGCACCCATTCCCCAACTGTGTGTCCTTTACTTTTCAGAGCAGCACAGGTGACTCATTTCAGAGGACTGCCCTTGGCTACTGGAGCCCCTTTGCCCACATGTGGAGATTGGGAAGTGTGTGGGTGTTTACACATTCCAAATCTCTCCTCATGGCCACATGTCAATCACAGACAGGTGTTGGAATGAAGTCTCAGGTCCCTTGCCTCAAGTTGGGCCAAACACTAAGGCATAGTTTACATGCCAGAGCTCATCTCAGGATTCAGATTGAGACTGGAACTTTGCCTGGACTCGCTCCCTTGCTTGGCTTCTTCCTGTTTCTTGACCTGCTTCCCCTATTTTCTTACCCAGTTTCTTCTGGGAGTGCTTTCTACATAAATCACCTGCATGTGAATCATCATCTCCAGGCCTGATTCTGGGGAAGTGTGTGGGTTTCTCAAAGTGGCCTCCATTGATTCCTTCCTTCCCTGTACGTGCATGTTGTTCCTTACATTCAGAGGAAGATTCTAATTTCCTTCCCTTGAACCTGGGCTGGGCTTAGTGTCTTGCTTAACTAGTAGAATACAGCAAAGTGATGTTCTGAGATCTTTTAAGGCTAGATTATAAACACCCAGGAGCTTCTACCTGGGGTTCATGGGATGCTGTTTTTGGGAACTCAGCCTCCAGGTGGTGAAAATCCCAAGGCACATGGAGAGGATACTTGTAGCTCCCCCATCAAGAGCCCCAGCTGGGCTCCCAGCCTGCAACCACCACTTACTGCTAGCCACGTGAGTGAAACATCTTGGATGTTGTTATGAACTGAATATTTGTGTCCTTTCAATATCAGTATTTTAAAATCCTAATCCTCAATATGAAAGTATTTAGAGATTAGGCCTTTTGGAGGGATTTAGGTCTTGATAAGATTAGTGCCCTCAGGAGATATAGGAGAAAGCTTGCTTCTTCTCTCTCCCCACCATGTGAGGATACAATGAGAAGACGGCTGTCTGCAAACCTCATCATAAACTGAAACAATTGGCACCTTGATCTTGGACTTCCCAGCCTCCAGAACTGTGAGAAATACATTTCTATTATTTAAGCACACAGTCTTCATTCAACAGCCTGAACTGAGAGAGACATCCAGCCCAGTGGAGCCTTCAAATGACTTCAGCCCCAGTTTCCATCTGACTATAACCACATGATAGATGCCACTGAGATCTATCCATAAGAGCCCAGTAACCCACAGAATCATAAGAGACCATAATAAATTGCTTTAAGCTACTAAGTTTTGGGGTGGTTTGTGTCTTAGTCTGTTTGAGGTGCTATAAAAAAAAACAACATAGGCTTCTGACAACAGAAATTGATCTCTCATGGTTCTGGAGCCTGGGAAGTTCAAGATCAAGATGTCAGCAGATTTGATTCTGGTGAGAGTTTTCTTCTGTTCATAGAAAGTGTCTTCTCACTGTTCTTACATGGTGGAAGGATAGAATGAGCTCCCTTGGGCCTATTTTATAAGGGAACTAATCCCATTCATGAGGGCCCCATCCTTATGACCTAATCACCTCCCCAAAGGCCCCACTTCCTAACACCATCACCTCAAGGCTTAGGATTTCAACATATGAATTTTGAGGCAATACAAACACTCAGACCATAGCAGTTTGTTTCATAGTAATAAACACCTAAAACAGGATCTGGACTGAAGACTTCTCTCTGAGAAGGCATAAGATTGAGCCAAGATGTGCACACCTGCCCAGCTATACTAAGAATATTCTGAGAACAACTCTGCATAAGTGAAGGGTAGTGGAAAAGTTTCCAGCTATGGTGACTTGCAGATAGGATGGCTCTTGGTCTACTGTGTTCCCCCTGCAGAAGGAACTGGGGAGTGAGGGTTGTTCTCCTCACATGATTTTTCTCGGCTTGCTCTGTCAGTAAGATGTTTTTATGTTGCTCCTTCCACAGCTCAGCTAATTAGCTAGTATGTCTGATTGGCTGCTTGCCTTCTAAAAATGGGTTTGTGAAAATGACACTTCCCCATTCAAGAGCTTTATTAGCTTTCTGTCTGAGATGCTAGCTACTTTATAACAATCTCAGACCCAAATCCCAGTGATGTGGAGACAAATATTCCCCTCCCCACAAAACCAGGTGTTGCTTGCTGTGCCAGGCAATCAATCCAGACAAGCCACCTGCTCAAGCTGCCATCGCTGTGTACTAGGGTGATGCAAAAGGAGATAAATTTTGAGCTGCTGTTTGAAAGATGTACACTATTCAGATGAAGGTTATACTAAAAGCCTAGACTTCACCACTACACAATATATCCATGTAAAAAAAATGCACTTGTACTCCCTAAATCTATATTTAAAAGATGTGATTAGAAAAGGCAGGCACATGGGATGGAAGAAATGGGAATGAGAGGGGTCGACCATGAGGTTTTTGGCACACAGGGAAGATGAATGTAATCCTGGGCTGATATATGCCTCAGTTGACCCTAACTAATCCCCAGTTTGTGCGCGTGTGCATATGTTTAACCAAGATAGTAACACGTAAGGAAAGGAAATGGTTTGGACCATAAAGAGTCCCTCTTTGCTCTTTCCTACCTCTTAATGACAAGACACATACAGGAGACCTGGATATGTTGAGAGGAGGGATGGGGTCTCGTTGCTGCTCTGCCTGGTCCAAAGTCACTGCCAAGCTTGTCACAGATTTGTCATTGGTAGGGGTGGCACTGGCTCATGTCCTTCTCCTCTGGCTTCTGAAATCCAGGTCTTTGGAAACATATGCTGGATAAGGGTATTTGTAGATCAGAATGAGCCTCTTCACCCCTTTAGCTTCTCCACTAAAGTGCGGCTCAGTCCCTGGATTAACTTTGTCATCAACCTGGTGATGTGTATGAGGCTATGTCCTTTAGAGGACTTGAATCATAAGTCCTTGGTTTTCTTCATATGCACCATGATGAGATTAGGGCCTAAATGAACCTCCAGGGATGAGATGTAATGTAGCCACCACATTTTACAACTTGAGGGGCACCGTTCATACCACAGTCTTCATGAGCTGGTGTTGAGCACTGCACAACCTGAGCTGCTATTCTCAGTGGCCACGGTGGAAAAGGAGTCACTAGGGACTTCTATAAGTAGCACTGAGCAGGGGCACAGAAAATGGTTTCTAATTTTCCTCAAAGTCCTGATCATGCCACTTTGCTGCTCTACAGCTTCTTAGCTTTTGATTGCCTGTGATCTGGCTTTTATGATCTCATTCCTTACTACCTCCCTGTCTTCATCTCCAAAGCCTCTTCCCCTCACTCATTCTGCTCCAGCCACACCAGCCTTCTTGCTGCTGCTTTTCAAATACACCAAGTGTCCTCCTTCCTTGGAGTTATTTACCTTTTATGTGGAATATTCTTTCCACTAGATATCTAAATGGCACACTTTATTCCAGTCTGTGCTCAAATATTACCTCCTCAGAGAGGTCTTTCTCACCAAACTGTCCAAAATACTACCCCTGGAACTCTCTGTTTCCAGACCTGCTTGGTGTAATATCATAGCACTTCTCACTGCCAGACAATATCTCACATTCCTTTTTTTTCCTGTTTATGGAGGGCAGGGTTTTTTTCACTGCTCTATCTTCAATCTTGAGGATATAACTGACGTACTCAATGTATATCAAGTGAATGAATGAATGAGTTCTTGCACATGGGCTCAGTTGATCACGTGCTGTGTGACCTCAGTCCCTTGAGTAGCTCATCTATTCCATGGGGAGGTGATGGCACCCTGGGCCCTGCAGCCCTGGCTGGGAATTTTGTTTCTCTCCTATCTCCTTTTAGGCAAAGGATGATAGGAAGATACTGGACCTCGTGTGGGATATGTGGAAGGATCCAGAAGGGAAGGAAGAAAACAGAAAAAATAAGGATGTGGAGAGTGAAAGACGATGCAGAAAATGCTGGCTCAGGGTGATTTTCCAGGCTAGATGGCATACAAAGGTCCTCCTGGTTGGCTGTGTGATAAGCAGGCAGGCAAATCTCACCAGTGAGTGGGGAATCCAGCTTGGGCATGAAGGGAGGTTTAAAGGCCCCAGAGTGCCCAAGGTGGTAGACAGTTGCACACGAGGTCCATAGATCCAGCATTGAACAACACAGAATCACATCATGATAAAGTTATTTCTTTTCAATGCTCTCACTGCTTGTAACAAAGAAGAGTCTTAGTCTGACAATGATGTGCTTTACTCCCTCTTTCTAATCTCTTCTTGCAGTAAAGAGGTGACAGGCCTCAGGCTCGAGGTCTGAAGCAGGCAACAAGTCCAGACGGAATTTAGTAATCCTATTTTGTTTTACTTGTAAGTACTTTTTTTTGTGATCACCTTCTGTTTACGGCAAATTGAACGTCTCTTGGAAACCTGGAAGGGCTGGCAAGTTCAGGCTTTCTTTTCCTCATTGCCACAATTTACTGGGATGAAGAGTGGTTTCTCACTTTAAGTGGGGAGTTCTCTAGAATTACCCCCGCTTTCTTTTTGTCTCTCTGAAGGAAATTAGAAACCATCTTCTGCCACCACACTCACTTTATGGGTGTGTCACATGCGGTATGTCAAGGGTTACAGCTCAGGTTTGTTAGCGTCTCATCCACTGGAGGAAGGATTCTTAATCATATATGGGCATTGGCATTGCCAGGGCAGCTTTTGCTAAATGCTTATAGGAATTGTTTAGAAGCTCTCCCAGTGCCTCTGATAAGCACCTGTTGGTGGTTATACTACACTGGCCCATAAGAGACGTCAAAAAAGGTTTGCCTCCTCATCTACCCCCTTTCTGTAGGTATCTGTTAGCATTCTTTCACAGTAAGCAGCAGAAACTGACATTTGTTAATTTAGTTAAAAAAGGAATTTATTGGAAAGATGTTGAATAATTGATAGTATTATAAAAAAAAGTTGACCAACCAGGATTTGGAAATCAGGGAAGCCATAAGAATCTTAGTCAAAACCTTGTGAGCTATCTTGTTTGGGGTCCTTCCATCAGATGTTTCAGCTCTGTGTCTCTGCATTCAAAATTATGATTTCCAGAAGAATCTCAATGGTCTTAGTTGTTTTGGGCAGATGGGGTGGTGGGGTATTTTGAGCCATCAGGACACCAAAAGGAAAACAGTTCTACTAACAAAGAAAAAGAAAGGATGTTGAAAAGACATAAACAGCAGATGCCAACTATATCCGGTGAGAATCTTCCCAGATACATCTAAAACTACACAACTGTTTCCTTTTTGGCTTGTTTTAGGAATACGGGTTGGAGAGATAATTTCGTATCTGCAGTTGGCGAGCCTGAGTCTTTGAGATATCAAAGTGACACAATTAGAGTTTCAGGATGAATTCTCGATCGGCATTGTAATCCAGAGAACGTAAGATTTAGACTCTTCTCTAAGACTTTGGAACTTATTGTCTAGCAGGCTGAGGTAATAGGCAGCACTACTCCATTTGGAAGATGCATCTTATTTTCTTGAGACTCGGGGAAATCTTGATTTTGAGGCTTGAAATGTTTCCCAGACCCTGTGTCAAACCAGTGACAGGATTGTGTGTTTCCGAGTGTAAACTATTAGCTGGTGGACCCAGGTATTTCCTAATGAGGCCGATTTAAATAGAATACTTCTTGGGATGAGAAAATGGATCCGTCTCTTCAATGGTAGTTTTTTTCTATAATGCTGGATTTTGGCTTGGGCTCACCATTTACAACTAGAACTATGTTACTAATCTTTTTTCCTTTTTTTTTTTTTTTTAAGACAGAGTCTCCCTCTGTTGCCCAGGCTGGAATGTGATGGTGTGATCTCAGCTCACTGCAACCCCTGCCTCCCTGGTTCAAGTGATTCTCGTGCCTCAGCCTCCTAAGTAGCTGGGACAACAGGCTTGCACCATCATGCCCAGTTAATTTTTGTATTCTTAGTAGAGTCAGGGTTTCTCCATATTGGCCAGGCTGGTCTCAAACTCCTGGCCTCAACTGATCCACCTGCCTCGACCTTCCAAAGTGCTGGGATCACAGGCGTGAGCTGCTGCGCCCGGCCCTTGTTTCCTTTTTTGCTTAGACTGCCAGGACATCTTGAATTGTAGCAATTGTGCAGGACTTTCTTGGGAATTTTATCCCCCCAGCCCATATATACTATTGTAATTCCTACTTTTTCCTATTTTTGTCGTGTATTGCACTATTTTGTTATATACATTTACTATTATGAACTTCATTCCCTTTGTGGGAAAAGGCTGAGGAGAAATAACATGGCCTCTCATTTAATCGGTATTGGCTGGGTGTTCTCAGGAGAGGCATTCATTTTTCTGCGCCTCATTTTTCTATAAAATGCCCTGCCGACTTCACTCGGTAGTTTTAAGGGTCAAATGAATTCATGTGCATGAGAGGGATTTGTACAGCAATATAATCATACAAAGTATTATTACACGTTGTAGCAGCAGCATGATTAAGAGTAGTAATTGGATGAGGCACAGGCATATTTTACTTTAGTTCTGAAATTCAGCCAAGCAAAAGGAAAGGAAAAACCAGGTGATAGAGGTAATATTTCCAAACTGGGGAGAGGGAGGGAATTTCATTTCAGCTTTGTGCCTTTCTGAATGCACATTGCCCTGTGTTGACTCAGGTTGCTACGAAGCTACTTTTGATCAGACTTTCCTGCTGTGAGTGTCCACCCTGTGGTATAACTTGTCTGGCTCTCACCCTGAGGAATGACATGTTTCATAGCAATACATATACTCTTAACTCTGTCCAGAAACTTGTGGAAGCCTGTGGAATGGACCCCAGGGCTTCTCTGCTCATCAGGTCAGAGCTGCGGGAGGCTGAATCATGCCCCTGGGGGCTTGCCTGATTCAGCATTCCTTTGTTACCCTGGTGTCCTGTTGGAAACCTGAATACCTGGGGAAAGAAAGACGCAAATTTAAGGGCCTCTTTGCTTATACAGAGTTTGTCTCATTTCATTCAGGAAAGCCTCTTGTCTTATCACATAATAACATCTCAAACAGAGACTGCTGTCTGCCTGTAAAAATTATTTGTATTTTCCCAGGGATAAGAATATCATGTTTGTCTTTTAAATAACTTTAAGGGAGATTTTTTTCCTTTAGTCAGTTTTGAAAAAAGCGTCAGTGTCTCTCTGGTTTTGGAGATATGCTCCCAATGGTGGAGGTGCTCCCCAAGAACCCTCTGGGTCCAGGACTGCCACGGAACATCTAAGGAGGTGAGGGCAGTCCAAGGAGCACCAGGGATGAGATGGTTAGGGACAGCAATTTGAGGAATGGACAAAAGTCTAGTTTCCCTGCAAAAATAAACCGTAATTCTTTATAATCATTATTTACAGTCCAGCCATCTCTTTTTGGGCAGAACTAGCCTTTACTGGCCAAAGCAGAACGTGATAATCAGTGAGTCTTATCAGTCCTTTAGATGAGTAGTCTTAAGAATCTATTCAATGTTTACCTGGGTGTGGAGGAGGAGGGTAGAAACAGATTGATTTCCTAATAACAAGAGTTTTACATAATAAAAGATGTACATTCAGCAAACATATTTTCTGCTTTTCTGTGGCTTTTCTTTTTCATATGCATATTTATTGTTATTTTATGCTATTTCTTAATGTGTCAATTTGTATGCAATTTATTAACCTTTCTTAAAATAGCATCCTAACACCACTTATGCTGTGCTTCCCCATCAATCTCAATATAGTTACATCACAACTTTTGGTTAATCAAATCTGTGGTTATATTTCTAAGACTGTGAAAATATTGCTTATTACTGAATCAAGTAGTGTAGTATAATTATGTCCTATTCTTGAGAAAGTGTTTCATTTTTTTCCTTTGCTAAGTTTTCAATGTTTCCAAGGCGTTTTCTCCGTCCCCAACCCATGCGCAGTACTTCTATATATCTGTCCATTTTAAATTAATATTTCTCTCAACTATATCAAATAATTGATCAGCTCCCTGCGCAGAGACCTTCATATTGATGTTGGCCTCTTCCTGTCCTCCTCTTCTCTGGTTTCTTTCTAGGACTGGTACTGACATTTTCTATCACTGGCTCCTCTGTTTCTAAGTTGATGTTTTTATTTTGCTAAAACATATCCACCAGTAGCTTCCTAAAAAAGGATGCATAAGGGGTAAATTTTTTGAGTCATTGTATGTGAACTCTCTTTAGTCTGTCCTCATACTCAATTGAGAGTTTGTCTAGATTTAGAATGTCAGTTTGAAATTAATTTTGCCTCAGAATTGAGATATAGCTCCATTGCTTTCTAGCATTCATAATTGCTATTGAGATGTCTGATGTAATTCTTTGCATCTTTGTATTCTTTGTATATGACTTTTTTGTTGTTGTTCTTCCTGGAATTAATTAATTAATTAATTTATTTATTTATTTATTTTGAGACAGAGTCTTGCCTTTGTCACCCAGGTTGGTGTATAGTGGCATGATCTCAGCTCACTGCAGCCTCCGCCTCCTGGGTTCAAGAGATTCTCCTGCCTCAGCCTACTGAGTAGCTGGGATTACAGGTGCCTGCCATTGTGCCCAGCTAATTTTTGTACTTTTAGTAGAAACAGGGTTTCACCATGTTGGCCAGGCTCGTCTCCAACTCCTGACCTCAGGTGATCTGCCTGCTTTGGCCTCCCAAAGTGCTGGGATTACAGGCGTGAGCCACCGCGCCTGACCTCTTTCTGAAATTTTTTAAGGCTCTCTTTATCACTGATATCCTGATATTTGATGATAAAGTGCCTTAATGTGAATCTTTTCCAATTCATTCTCTGAGGTCCACAGTGGAATCTTTCAGTAGGAGACAAGAGTCCTCTAATTTTTAGAAATTTTTTTTTTTTTTTTTTTGCTAATTTCTTTCCCTCTCTTTTTTTCTCTTGAGGCTCCAAATAGTTAGATGTTGCATCTTTTAGACCAGAGTTTTTCACATGTCAAGTTGTGCCTCATTTGAAAGTCAAAACATCAGTTTAGTCGGTTGTAATGAGCACTTTTAAAAAGTGAAATAGAATAAAATAGAAAATTGTATTTTCTGTATTTGTGATGGTTCATTTTGCGTGTCAACTTGAGTGAGCTAAAGGATGTCCAGATAGTAAAATGTTATTTCTGGGTATGTCTGTGAGGGTGTTTCTGGAAGAGATTAACCTTTGACTCAGTCTGTCCTCACCAGTATGGGCAAGCATCATCCAATCTATTGAGGGCCCTGATAGAACACAAAGGTGAACGAAGGGAAAATTTTCACTCTTCTTAAGCTGGTACATCCATCTTTTCCTTCCCTCAGACATCAGAGCTTCTGGTTCTCAGGCCTTGGACTCCAGGACTTACACCAGTGTTCTTCCCCCACTCCCAGCTACCCCTCCAGTTGTCAGATCTTTGGCTTTGCACTGGAAGTTACACCATTAGCTCCCTCTGTTCTCAGGTCTTTGGACTTGGACTGAATTACACCACCAGCTTTCTAGGTTCTCCAACTTGTACATGGGATATAATGGAACTTCTCAGCCTCCATAGTTGGGTGAGCCATTTCTGACAATAAATCCCCTCATATATCTACATATATCCTATTGGTTCTGTTTTTCTAGTGAAAACTGATGAATACAGCATATCATATAACAAGTATCAGAATTGTGTGTGAGTATTTATGTGTAGTGGGTTGCAATGCAATAGGAGATACATTTATTGCTATGGGTCATGGTAAAAAAAAGTTTACATAGCACCACAAACTGCTTAATTTTTTTTTAAATCCTTGCTCTTCTATTATCTATTTCCTGGCCTTTTTGTTTTAATTTCTTCCAACCCTTTTACTGAATTTAAAATTTTGGCTATCAGGTTTTTAATTCCTAAGAGGTCTATTTGCTATTTATTCTTTTTCCATAGTACCCCTGGCCCTCACCACTCCAGAGCATGCTAGCCTGACTTCTAGCTGCCACAGCCTGCATTGCTTTTCCCGAAGGCTTCCTCTGGCCACTGAAGCCCATTCAAGCCATCCAAGTGAGAGGTTGGATATACCAGGGAATTAACACGTCTCCTTTCTTCCCCCGTCCCCCTGCTCACCCTCAACCAAAGACTGTGGGAATTGGTAAAAAAAAAATACCTTAGCTAATTTGAGAATAATATGAAGCCTATGTTTTACATGGTTTCTCATTTTCTTGAGGGGTTAAACTCTAGTGACCCATAGTAGTAAATGGTCAACAATGTACCCTTTATTGACTGCTCCCCCTTTCTTGTCTAACTTCCTCACTCTTCTTTATTCCAATATAAATGACTTGCATTTGAATCCTTGTCTCAAGGTCTCCTTTTTGGGGACCCTTGTCTGACCAAATTACTAGGTGATGCTTCTAAGCTTCTCTGGGGGGATTTGCATTATAAGTAGTGGCTTTGAAGAAGCTCTAGCTCCTTGGGAAAAGTCTGCTCCATCTCTGTAGAAGCAAGCAAGCAATTTTCAGGTTTGGGCATACTGCACGGGTATTTCTGATCAAAGCCAGGACATGACCTCATGTGGGGAGGTGCAGGTGACAGCTTGTTCCACGGACACATGAAGCCTGGACCATATAAAGAAGGGCCTTATTCCAAGTGATGATGATGCTTGGCACAAATTTGATTCACCCCAGAAAATCCTCACCTTCTGTCAGGTATCAACCTTGGCACCCCTATGCCCACCTGTCCATTGGCAAGCCCCTGAAGGCAGATGGATCTCCCAGGGACTGTGGCTCTTGGCTTTCCAGCTCACATTAAACCCTTCAGAGTGGCCTCAAGGAGCAGGACAGCTCAGGCTTGGGAGGGGAGACCATCATTAAATAATTAAGTATGAGGTTATTCTTTATTGGCCCCTTCAGGGTTAATCATAAGAATTAACAAACAGCATGTATGGCTGAGAGCCCTGCTGTTTATTTTAATAGCTGTCTTACATCTTGAGGGGGAAAAACAGAGAAAGAGCTGAGCAGAGCTGGAATAAACCCAAGTTTAGCTTCCAGCCAAGTGCAGCATGCAGCACTCTGGGGAGCTTGGCTGGTGGCACCAAGGAGGGCTGAGATGGGGCAGGAGGGAGTCCCAGGTGAGGGATGTGGTTGGGTGATTCCTGTCTACTGAGATGACCTTTGTCAATGAATGCCTCTCCCTGTGTGGTCTGTTGACTGCCCACCTAATAGGAAATCTTGACTACGATAGTTCTTTGGACTATTTTGTTCCTAACTCATTCCCTTTATTCCTGCTTCTTCCTCCCAGTGCAGAACATACCATAAGTGACTCCTTAGTTCAAGTATTGGAACAGTCTGATATTTAATGAGTATTGTTTTCTTGCGATCTGTGTAGCTGTGTTGTGTGTTTCTCAGCTCAGTGGCCAGATGATAGCCAATTCCTGGAAAAAGCAGAGTCCTCATGCTGGGGGGTCAGAGCTGGGGAAGGGGCACAAGAGGCCATTTCCTTTGTGACCAGGGCAAGAAGGTACTTTGTGAGAATACGACAAGCTATCACTTTACGGAGTGTACCTATGTCACGAGGCAAGTAAAGACAGGATATTCCAGTCAGTGACCAGTGCTGAATCCTTACCAAGGAGACAGAACAGAATAAATATTGAGCTTGTCTCTCATAGCATCCAAGTGGGTGTTGGGCATGTACCTTGAAGCAATGACTGAGCCTGTCTTTTGTGGAAACAGATAAAGCATGCAATAGCCACCAATTCTATGACGACAGACACTCAACACCATTCAGAGATCTAAATCCCTCTCTGTACTGTGCTAACCTAGCTCCTTGAGCTTTGTCTTTGAGCTCTGCCATGAGGGCCCTAAGCACATGGGAATGGACTGTGAAGCCCTGAAGAATCAAATAAGGCAACTCTTGCTGGGGGCTTACCTGGAATTTTAGCTAGTAATCTCATCTCCTGGGAGTTTTGCCCATCCTGTTCCTAGCCTCTGGGAGGCCTCCAGCTCAAGCTCAAGGGATCCTATGGCTGGTGTCCCCTGTAGCCCTCACATACCCTCCTGTCTCACCCTTCTAGTCCTCTGGTCACTCATGTCCCCCTCCTGTCTTTCTCTCTCTGGCAGTCCTTTGGGATGTACTTCTGTGTGCTGACCTCAGCCCAGCCTGCTTAATTCCTCTGGGCTTCCTGCAGCCTAGGACAGCTTCTGCCCTGCAACTCGAGCCTCAGGAGATTGCTGGCCATCCCTCAGGGAGAAGGTGTAGACAAGATTTATGCAGGGAGATTATTCAGTCACTTCCTCCCACTACCCTTCCATTCTGCCTCCATTACCCCCAGAGACCCCTGATATTAAATATCTTTTTACTGAGGAGTTGCCCAGCTGGCCTTGCCCGTGTTTTGCTTCCTTATCAAGTGTGACCCCTTTGCATGGGTTGCCTTTCTTTTGGGGAGGAGTGGTCCAAATTCTCTCTTTCAGGAGGAGAGACTGCTCTGGGATTATTTTGGTTGTAGCTTTCCTTTTTTAAAAACAAGGATCTATGTCTTTGCATTTGTCTATTTGAGGCAAAAAGAGGGTAATTAGCATTAGTTTCTGAGCTTAGAACTATAGGAGATATAGGATATAGAGCTATAAGAGTCTTGCTACTATGTCAGTCATCCATTGCTGTGTAACAGACAATGCCAAAACTTTGTGGTTTAAAACATCAACCAATTATTTAGCGTGTGATGTTGTGAGTCAGCAATTTGGGCTGGGCTCAGCCAAGTGGTTCTTCTGGTCTTGTTTGGACTCACTCATGAGCCTGTGGTCAGTTAGCAAGCTCATTCATAAAATATCATTTCTTTCAAATGGTTGGCTGGCTGTTGGCTTGTCTTTGCATCATGTGACCTCTTATCTTCTAGCAGCTAGCCCAGGTTTTTGCACTAGGTGGGTGGATACGGTTCAAAGAGAATGAGCAGGCTCAAAACTGGTTCAGTATCACCTCTTCTGCCTGTTGGTCAAAGTGTGTACAAGTCCAACACAGATGCCAGGGGAAGGGATAGAGGGATCTGGAAAGGTACATTGCAAAGGGACATGGATTAGGAAAGGGTGGGGGAATTGTGCCCAGTTTTGCAAATGATCTACCTATCATGCTATCTCTGTACTGCCCTTTCTTTTTATAAAACATATGGTGATATTCAAGCAGCACTATTCTCTAAGTCCAGAATTTTCTCCATAGGCTCCCTTTCCACTTCTAAGCAATGGTCCTCATATTGCAAGGGGTGGGTGTTGGAGGAGCAAATTATATGAAAATTCCTGTACATCAGCACCACAGGGATCCCAAAGTGAACTAGCCTGTCCGTGGAGAGGCTTACAGCCTGGAAGGGACAGAAAGAAATGAAACAAACTTTCCAAAACAGTCCCCCAGGTGCTTTGATAATTAAGGTGAGGAAACAGTGCAGGCATTTTCCCCCCCATATTTTTTTACTTATTATTTTGAAATAATTTCAGATTTCCAAAAAAGTTGCTGAAGCCATACAGAGCTCTTGTGTGCTGTTCACTCAACTTCTCTTAATGTTAACATCTTGTATAATGATGGTACAAGGATAAAAACCAATAAATTAATGTTGATGTCACCCTATTAGCCAATCTACAGACTTTATTCATATTTTGCCAATTGTCCCACTAATGCTCTTTTTTCTGGTCCAGGATTCAATTCAGGATCCTGCATTACATTTAGTTGTTGTGTCTCCTTAGTCTCCTTTAATCTGGGAAATTTCCTCAGTCTTTCTTTGCCTTTTGTCACCATGGTGCTTTTGAAAAATGTTAGCCAGGCTGGGCGCAGTGGCTCACGCCTGTAATCCCAGCACTTCGGGAGGCCAGACAGAGTTCAAGACCAGCCTGGCCAACATGGTGACACCTCATCTCTACTAAAAATACAAAAATTAGCTGGATGTGGTGGTGCGGGCCTGTAGTCCCAGCTACTCACAAGGCTGAGACACAGGAATCACTTGAACCTGGGAGGCAGAGGCGGCAGTGAGCCAATATCGCACCACTGCACTCCAGCCTGGGTGACAGAGTGAGACCTCATCTCAAAAAAATAAAAATAAATAGATAAATAAAAAACGTTAGCCAGTCATTTTGTAGAATGTCTCTTAATGTGGGTTTGAAAGGTGTAATGTCAGCATGTTTTATTGTCGGTGATCTTAACTTTGATGGCTTGGTGGTGTCTGTCAGGTCTCCCCACTATAAAGTTACTATTGTTCCCTTTCTAATTAATAGGTATCTTGTGGGGAGATAGTTTAAGATTATGTAAATATCCTGTTCTCAGCATGCATCTGTCTGCTAATTTTAGCATTAGCTTCACATTATTGCCTACAACCCTTAGTGTGGTAATTGCCAAGTGGTGATTTTCTTTCTTTCTTTTTTGTTTTGGAGACAGGGTTTTGTTCTGTTGCCCAGGCTGGAGTGCAGTGGTACAGTCACAGCTCACTGCAGCCTCGACCACCTGGGCTCAGGTGATCCTCCCACCTCAGCCTCCTCAGTAACTGGGACCACAGGTGTGTGCCACCATGCCTGATTAATTAAAAAAATTTTTTCTTGTAGAGATGAGTGTCTCACCATGTTGACTGGCTGGTCTCAAACTCCGGGGCTCAAGTGATCCTCCTACTTCAGCCTCCCAAAGTGCTGGGATTACGGGAGTAAGCCCACTGCGCCCAGCTCAAATGGTGATTTTCTATTTCTATTATTCCTCGTACACCTATTAATTAGAATTCTGTAAGGAAGAGCTGTTCCTTCTCTGTTATTTATTGATTTATTAAATTATTTATTTATATCAGTGTGGACACTTGGCTATAATCCTTTACTATCATTATTTATTTTGCTAGAGCAGGCTTCTTAAACGGTCAGAAACCACACAGTGTCTTAATGATCTATAATGTGCTGATCACTTCCTCCAGAATGTGTGGCCTCAAGGGCAGGGCCTGGGGCATATGCATGTCTGCATCTCCCAGGCCCTGGGCCTTGCATGATGCCTGGTGTAATGATGTGCTGAATGAGTGAATGAATGAATTAATAAATGATTCTAGTACCTGGAAGTAGAGCAATAATAAAATCTAGAGGCTCTAAGCTCCAAAAGGTTTATGATACCTTTTTCTCTAAGCTTGATAAGTTGAAACAAAATAAAAATACTCTAAACTGTAAAATATATAAGGAAGGCCAAACTGGTTCTCAGTATTCTCCATATTGGCTGCTTAGTTGCCTTAATATCAAACGTTTTAAAAAAGTGTTGCTAGTTGTCTGTGTTTGCTAGTGCCCCAAACACATACTAGGTCTGCCTGTTGATCATTGTAAGCCTCTTGGAAGAGTTGGTGTGGGGGCAGTGACTTCACAGAGGAGGGTATAATTGAGGTGGATCTTCAAGAGTACATAGGCATTTCAGACAAAAGAAAGGGAGAAGAGTATTCCGGGCAGAGGAAATATTAGGTTAGTGCAAAAGTAATTGCCGTTTTTGCAATTTGAAAGTAATGGCAAAAACCGCAATTACTTTTGCATCAACCTAATAGCACATGCAATGCTTAAAGGAATGGAAAACAGTGACATTTTGGACAAATGGTCATTAGCCCCATGTAGAGGAATGGCAGGGCATGAGACTTGTGTGGGAAATAATGGGTAGAAAATTGGAAAAAGCCTTGAATGTCATATCTAGGGATTTGGACTTGATCCTATAGGTAATGGGGAGCCAAAGGAGGTTCTAAGTTGGGCAATGATGACATTCATTCATTTAAGAAAAGCTTACTGAGTATCTACCACCTGATGGTCCAATTCTGGAAAAGACCCAGTCCTGGTCCTCATGGAGCCAGGAGGGGGAGAGTGTCAGTGGACACATTATAAAACAATCAGAGTTTCTACAAAAATCCATGTTTTGGGAAGAGACTGATGGCAGAGGTGAACAGGCAGGGAGGGAGTAACTCATCTTCTTCCTCTTTCCTGCCTTGCTTTGCTTGGGCACACTCTAAACCCACAGCTTCCAGAAGAAGGGAGAAAGGAATGGTCAGCCTTATGAAGTCCTGCAATCTGTGGGGCGGACAGGAACTTTGATCCAGGCACTTCTTTCTACAAACAGGAGAAACCCTTCCTCTATAAAGTCCCTGACCACTATGGCGTTAGGGTGAACGAAGACTTCTAGACCTTATGTGGCTTGATACCTGGAAACTCAGGAGATACTCAGGGATAAGAGTTTGGTTTAGCGAGGGCAGTGTTTATATGCTAAATTTAGATTCCTGCTCTTTATTTTGTAGCTGTAACCCCCAAACACAGATGATATAGGTCATTGATGTTTGCTGTATGTGCCATGTTCATATCCCCTCTAGCTTACCATTGCTTTCAACAGCCAGTGCTTGCATCTGTTTGCTGGAAGTATTCTCTGCAGACAGTGTGCACAAGCCCAAACAGCCAGAGAGTTCATGCCCTCCTCCCAGTAGTCCTCCACCAAGGGTTAGCAGGAGTTGGTAGAGAAATATTCCAGCTCCTTCGCCCTTCTTGTGTAATAACTCTGAGGTGTGTTCTGTACTGACTCCCAGAGTTGGCCAGGGGGATTAAGTTCCAGTTGCCCACAGTGTTGCTTGACAACAAACCCTTATTGGCTCCTTCCCTCCTGTCTCACTTCTGACTCTTCTACAGGTGGTCCTAGGAACTCCTCAAATAAACTACCTCCACTGAAATCTTGGCTTCAGGATCTGCCTATGGGGGAACCCACATTAAGATGACATATGCACGGTGTATATTAAGGAAGCATCCTGTCATTTGCATGACAAGATAAGCCACCTGGCTTACCTCATCTAGGGTGGGAACGAGCTGCTGTCAGTGGAGGCACAGTCAGCTATGGTGACTGCCCCCAACCCCTCTCCATTTCCACTTTCTCGGGCTGCCTTCTTCCCCTGGTATTTGTCAAATACCACCCTTGACTCTGGAGCCTGAGGAAGGGAAAGATCACATCAGAAGTTGAGCTCAGGCAGGGTCTGCTTAACACAGGCAAGACTGATGGAGAAGGAATCCATGGCTCACCCCTTTTCAGTCATTTCCTTGCAAATAGCAAGGAGCAGCTTCACATTTTTTTTTTTCGGTCTAATCACTAAGAACTCCCCTCTGGTGGATACTTTTTTAAGAGCATAATAGAAGGTGTGATATCTTGTGAGAGGCGCCAGAATCACTTGGAGAATGGCAGCTCTGGGATTGAACGAGGAGGTGATAAGTTCCTGGGAATATTAAAGATTAACACCAAATACTTTGTTGCTATTTAACTGTCTGACAATTCATGTTGCTGAAGCGGAAACAGAACATTTCTTTCCCTCCCTTCTGTTTATTCCTTCTCTTCTCTGTTCTGGGGATTCAGAAGCTGTGGATGTCAGATGCCAACTCCTTAAGGGCTGAAATGGTTTTATATAATAACAGAGGCGGGGGCCTACAAAATGAAGAAAGAATCTAATTCAGTGCTTGGGCTGAAATGGGAACTGGAAACGAAGGGGGAGCATTCTTAAAAATAGCTCACTCAGAGAGAAGAATGCAGCTTGTCTCCCAGCGGCAGGCTCAACCCTTGGGTGAATTATAGGAACCTACTGTAGGCCTTGTGCGTTCCCTTTTGAAATGTTGATCGTGGCTAAAAGGAGGTGGTTGAATGGAAGGCTGCTGGTGACTGATGCTCAGAGCAGTTCTTGGCACTGGACGAGGCTGCCAGGCCTCCATTTGCAACCTACACAGGCAACATGCCACTGGGACACATATGCCTCGTTCCCTCCCACTAATTATGTATGCATCTCCTATTGCGGGAACTCCAAACCCTTCACAGAGGCACACACAAGTCTCTAAAAAGGGATGAGGAAGGAGCCTTTGGGAGCCCAGGGAAAGGCGGGGGAGAGTGAGAGAGAATGAAGGGAGAGCAGTAAGACAGGAGATAATGATGTGGCACCTTCGGGACCCAGTGGCCCCGGGAGACACAAAAAGAGGAGGCTGGGGAGTGGGGAGAAGGAGGAGAGAGAGACCAGATGGGGATAAGAAGCCCGCAGGGATAAGCGGAGGGAATCCAGACAAACAGAAACAGAAGGAAGGAGGAGGATTGTCGATGGGAGGAAAAGGAGGCAGTCATTTCCTTGCTGGATAGTAAAGGAATGGGGCACAGCACCCTTCACCCCTCCCACAGGCTGCAAATAATTCCTTCTTCCTGTGCCCCAACCCCACCCTGTGTTTATAAGAGGAGCCATGCTTGATTCTGTTTTGCAGTCATCTTTGCTTCTAGCGGACAACTCCTGGGAAAAGTTTGGAAATCTTACAATTGTTGCAGGCTTTCACTGCAGTCTTTCAGCTTGTCAAGTGGTCACTTAGCAGATGTGCTAGGTTCATCAAGGGATCTCTGGGTCAGTCCTCTTCTGCTCTCTGGAAGGTTTGCCTTTGAGTGATTACCAGTCCACGTGCCCCATCTTTATCTCCTCAGACTCCACCAATCTGGACAGGGTCCCCTAATGGTTTCTTCCCTGGTCTGAGATCCCTGAGAAAGTGTGCAGGCAGGCAGACAAGGCAGCCTACAGCCCTTGCTGTAGCATCTTCCAAATTTAAACCAACAAGGAGGAGGAAGGGAAGAGGGCAAGAGCTTTGTCCTGCATTCCTGGTAGCCTGTATGGCACCACCATGGAGGCTCCTGCTGTGCTCTTGGCAGCTGCCCATCTCCCATGGCACCTTTTATTTCCATATACCTGCTGACCTCAAGCATGCAATTTTTTCCTTTTTAAGAGACAGGGTCTCACTCAGGCTGGAGAGCAGTGGTGTGATCATAACTCACTATAACCTCGTACTCCTGGGCTCAATCCATCCTCCCACCTTAGCCTTCCAAGTAGCTAGGACTACAGGTGCAGGCCACCATGTCTTGCTAATTTTTTCATTTTTAGTTTTTTTGTATTGATGAGGTCTCATTATGTTGCCCAGGCTGGTCTTGATCTCCTGAACTCAAGTGATCCTTCTGCTTTGGCCTCCAAAATTGTTGGGATTATAGGTATGAGCCACCACAAGTGTGCAGCCACATGTCTCTCTCTGCCTAGGGACTTTGACCTGGGAGCAGCCCTAAACCAATGACTGGTGTGCAAATGCACCAGCTTCCTTGTCCCTTGGATGGCACAACTCTGAGGCATGTCCTATCCAGTCTCCCAGAGAGCCATCATGGGACTGAGCCCAGTTGCGCACAGAGGCATCTTGATCAGGAACACCCCCTGTACTGTCCTTTCCTTCCCCGTCTCACTTTCCTTACTATCCTATTGGAATTTCCTGGGATTACCTCCCAAATAAACAATGTGCCTTCGAACTCTAATCTCCTGAGGGCACTAGCCCAAGGCAGGGGCTGTGTGGTTGGAGCAGCTCCTCCCAGATCACGTGAGTGGAGGGGACGTGAAGGGCTGTGTCACCAAGGTGTTAGCACTTCACAAACGAGGGGCTATTTATCATCCACTGGTTGGGGTTTGGGTTTCCTAGAGACCACTCAGACAACTTGCTGGTGTTTCCACAGTGATGTAGTTTGGATATTTGTCTCCACCCAAATCTCATGTTGAATTATAATCCCCAGTGCTGGAGGTGGGGCTAGTGGGAGGTGTTTGGGTCACGGGGGCGGATCTCTCATGGCTTGGTGTAGTCTTTACGATAGTGGTGAGCTCTTGTGAGATGTGGTTGTTTAAAAGTATGTGGGACCTCTCCCCTAGCACTCTCTCTCTCTTGCTCCTGCTCTCACCATGTGACGTGCCTGCTCTTGCTTTGCCTTCTGCCATGAGTAAAAGCCTCCTCAGCCTCCTCAGAAGCAGATGCTGCCATGCTTCCTGGACAGCCTGCAGAACTGTGAATCAATTAAACCTCTTTTCTTTATAAATTACCCAGTCTCAGGTATTTCTTTATAGCAATGCACGAATTGCCTAGTACACACAGAGACTGGCAGGAGCTACCTTAGGTAACAAACAACAGAAAAACAAGAAAACAGTGGGAAAAGAATATGCACAGTAACTTTTGCACGTTGACGGACATACTTTGAGAATTAACAACCCAAATCGAGTGAAAAGCCTTTAAAGCAAAGTATGGGCATGGAGAGAACTGACCTGGCTGACTCTGACCCTTCTCAAACTCTGATCTGTGACGTGGATGCAGGCAATAGAAACATGGAGTGTGGCTGCCTCTGACCCCAAGGAGAGTGACCCTGGGGTCTTAAGAGAGGAGTTGTGGTGTCTGGAAAGAGTCTGATCATTGGAGGAGACAGGCTAGGGTGGAGTCCCTGCTCCCCATGCTCTAATTGTGTTTACCCTGAGAAAAAGATTTAACTTCTCTGAACCTCAGTTTCCCCATCTGTAAAAGGGAGGCCATAAAACCCCACAGAATTGTCATGAAGATTAAAAACAACATAATGCCTGTCTGGCAGCTAGTATCAGTCAGGCTTCCTTTTCTCTTTTCTTTGTCCTTTCAGGGAGCCGTACCCTTGGCCTGACTGAGGCCAGGTTTAGGGGAAAAGGAAGCGTGTCTCAAGTGCCCCGGCCACAAGGTCAGGCATTGGGTTGGCCGACTACCCCAGCTCCCCACATGCAGCCAGTCTGCGTCAGTGGGCGTGGGAAAGAGACGTAAACGCTGAAGGGCACTAAACACGAGTTAGACATGCCATTCCGCACCACCAACACATTTCAAAAGTGCACATCACAAGGCTCTTGTTGAAGCCCTGGCGGCCAGCCAGGGTCAGACCACAAAAGGAAGTTGTTTCCTCGCTGGAGCTGCTGGGCGGCTGGGCGTGGTCAGAGCGCCACATCATTGCAGAATGCAGGGCTCTTTGGTGACTTCCTGTCCTCCCATCCATTTTTTTCTCCTATGGGCCCTGCTGCACTGCCCTGGTAATGCCCCAGCCAGCCAGAAAAGTCAGCATTCACCTGACCTTTCCCTATGTCACAGAAATGGAAGGTCTGTGATATTCACATGGGCCCTGTTGCAGTGGCCACCACAGCCTTCCAGGCCTCTACCTTGGCTTTTTCTCCCCTTGGAGTATAAGGAAACGGTTATTTTATCCACAGTTGGTAGCAATCACATTTCGTCTGTATCATTGAGGTCTGAAAGGCAGCCACGGGCCCCAGAGGTGGCAGAAGGTCTGTGATGCAGCTGGAGTAAGTCAGGCCTCGTTCCCAGCAGACAATCTGCAAATATTTATTGAGGGTCTGCTCTGCACCCAGGGCTGCGGGGCACACAGAGACGCCCCGTGTGAGACAAGGAGCTTGTGTTCTGACTGGGAAGGCCAGACTGACACACAGGAAACCAGGGGGTCCTGTTGACCCTGAGCTATGCTTTTAATGCACGATTGTGTGGTAAGGTGTAGGCCAAATACCAAGACATTGGTCTTAGGCTCCGTGATCTGGTGCATTCTCAGAATCTGGAGAAGATTGTAGAAGTTAATCTTGTTTTGCCCAGGGGCTTTCCTCCAAGCAGCACTAAATCCACTAAATCCCCACATGGTCTCTAGCCCCTTTTCTCTCATTGGTCTTTTTGCCCTTTATCTTTAACTCCACTTAAGTTTTATTCCTTCAAACTAAGACTATAAACATTCAGAAATTGTTTGCACTTATCAATTAGTCCTCAAAAATACCTTGCAAGGGACGTCCTGCTATTTTTCTTTTCCAGAGGAGGAAACAGGCTGAATGTGATAAGTGGCACAGCCAGGATCACAAAGAGGGTTGATCTGTCCTGTGTGGTCCCTAACTCTTAGGGTTCTCATAGGTGGGGTAGAACTGGAAAAGATGCTGGCAGAGTCAGCTCTGTGCTTGGGCTTGCAAGAATGTCAGTCCATGGAAGCAGGATCCTCAAATATCACATAAATAGACTCTAAATCCTAAGAAATGAAAAAAATGAAACTAAATTCACAATTCCTATATGCCTACCCACCTGAGATAGCTACCTATTTGGATAAATACCTATATATACTTTTGCATGCATTGAAATATTGTGACTCAAGTAATGGGACAGTAGAAAGTGCTTTTTAATTTATCTTTATTTTTTATTTGGAGACATGATCTCACTCTGTCCCCAGGCTGGAGTGCAGTGGTGTGATCATAGCTCACTATAGCCTTGAACTTCTGAGCTCACGCTATCCTTCTGCCTCAGCCTTCTGAATGGCTGGGACTACAGGTGTGTGCCACCATATCTGGCTAATTTTGTTGTTGTTGAGACGGAGTCTTGCTATATTGCTCAGGGAGGTCTCTAACTCTTGGGCTCAAGCAATCCTCCTGCCTCGGCCTCCCAACACTGGGATTATAGTTGTGAGCCACTGCTTTGCCTGTTTTTTTTTTTTTAATCTTGAGTCATTGAACTCTCATTGGTTGGACTATGTACTGACATTTGCACCTAGAACTAGTCTAACTCTTTTAGGGCTCCCTTAGTTTTACTCAGCCCATTTGCCATTCTTGCTCTGTACAAGACAACTTCTGTTGTTGGAATTTGAGTCCAGTGTATAGCATGTCTCTTCTCCACCTGGATTCTGAATCATTGAGGCAGATCTAGAAAGCCTCTGGATTGACAACGGAAAATCAGCATCCTCACCAGCAAAGCTGATGGTAGAGAATGAACCTTAGCTATGTGGCAACTGTGGATATCAAAATACCAAACTTATGATTAGACAGACTTACATCTCAAGCAGGCTTTGCTGAACCATTGCAGTCCTCCCCAGGTGGGGGCCGACCCTACATTTGGGGAGCAGGGAAGAATGCAGGTCTCCTGCAGGCTGCCAGAGCCCAAAGACACAAGAACTTCTCAGTAGCTTTTTTCGACCTCATCCAATCAGGGAAGAGTGCAGGGTGGGTAGAGGTCAGGGTTATTAAGCAGGTAAAGCCCCTTCCCCAAGAGTGCAAACCATGCCATAGCTACACGAACGACAGAGTCACTCTCCATAAGCACAGCCTTTCTAACCCCATGTAACTCAACTCTGGCTGTTTCGAAGACCTATCATTGAGTTCAGGGGTTGAAGGTCAATTTGTTGGTAGCTGCCTGGGGTTGTTCATTGGACAGGGATGAGAGGGTGGAGAAAAGGACCTTGACAATCTGTTGCAACATTTTCCTGCACAAAGAGGCCTAGTAATGTGCTCATTAATGGCACGGTGATTAAACCTGGGTTTAAGTCCTGGCTTTTTTCCTAATTTCCTTATCTATAGCATGGAGATAATAATTATACTTACTTTTTTTTTTAAACATGAATTTAATGAAATAATTTCCAACAAAGGCCTTAGCACAGTTCCTGGCACGTAGTAACTGCTTAATGAGTATTTGCTTTTATTACGTCCAGTGGAATGCCTTGTGCTGAGATCATCACGCTTCCGTAGAGCACCTGCCACTCCGTTTTCTTATTTGTACAATGGCAATGTAGTCAGCTCATGTCTAATCCTGAGCATGGTGCTGGACACACAGCATCTGTGTTAGTTAATTCCACCAGCAAGTGCCTTCCTGACTCAAAGCTGAGCTCTTTGTATTATACTAAGGGAATTAGTGTTTGGACTAGGGATAACAGCAGGGGATAATGTGAAGTTGCTGCTCAGTCATGGTGGGAGGAGAACCTGGGGCCTTGGAGGAAGAAAAACATGGTTCTAGCTGGTCAGTGATGAGCATGAAAAGGGAGATGGAGGCAGCCAAAGATAAGCTTCTCTGCTTTTCTACTTTTTTCCTTGCAGAGGGAACTTCTAGGATCCAGGTGCATCATGGATAGCCCCTGAGCTGGTCATTGTGTTGAGTGGCTGGCAAGACAATCTCTCTCTGTTTCTCTCGTTCATTCTTGTTCCCTCCTGCCTTCACACTCTGCCTCCCTCTCTCTGACTCTCCCTTCCTGTCTCTGCCTTCCAAACTCCAGAACCTCCTGCCCTCTCTAATTATTAGGCTTACAGCCTTGGATCTGGCCCCTGCATTTTTCGGGCAATGAGAGCAAGCCCTGACTATGTTGTGACGTTCTTTTCGACAAAACTGCCTTTTAGGTAAATACTTTCTGGGCCAATCTCACTGAATTAACTATCTGGGTCATTTGAATTTCTTCTCCGGGAAATAATTATGGCCTTTGGGAAATGTAAAGTGTAGAGCAGTCCTGTGAGCAGAGAGAAAATACCAGCCTCCTTCTCCCTATGCCACCTCCTTCCAGTTCTATGTGACCCAGGGAACCAAATTAGCAGTGACTCCCATCTCAGGGACCCAGTGTTGCTTTGGATCTCTCTGGGGAAGTCCCTTAGGCACTCAAGGTAGCTCTGCACATGAGGGAGATAATATTCCTGTTACTTTTCTATGTATGAGAGCAGAGACTTCCTTCCAGGCAGCTAAAATTTTTTTGAAAAATAACATTCTGTATATTCCCTCACCAATTCTAGAGAGTGAAATAGAGAATTAAGTGGTGTCATTACCATGCCATAGCATTGGGAGGACCAACGTTTGCTGACAGTGCAAGGCAAGAACAAAAGCTCACAGACCTGAGTTTGGGAGTCAGTGCGGGTAGCTGGGTGGGTTCAATTATGGTAGTGAAACGTTGTAGTAGAAGAAGCCTACAGTGTCTTCTCTGGCTGGGGGATGCAGGAAGTTACCTTGTAAATGAGAATGGCTCCTTTTTGTCATTAACATGTAAGATGAGGAGGCCACCACTGCCCTCGGGGAAGGGAGGACACCTCTTGTGCCTGAACAAAGCTGGCTCTTCCTAATATCCCTTGGGAGGCAGAGCTGGAAGGAGGGATGGTGGGGAAGTTTGCAAGGGGCTTTGTATTAGTTTGCCAGGATGCCATAATAAAGTACCACAGACTGTGTGGCTAAAACCATAGAAATTAATTTTTTCACAGTTATGGAGGCTACAAGGCCAACATCAAGGTGCCGGCAGTGTTGGTTTCCTCTGAGGTCTTTCTCCTTGGCTTGCAGAGGCCATCCTCATCTCCCTGTGTCTTCACACGGTGTTCCCTCTCTGTGTGTCTGTGTCCTAATCTCCTCTTCTTATAAGGGAGCCAGTCCTATTGGATTAGGGCCCACCCATATGACCTAATTTTACCGGAGTTACCTTCTTAAAGGCCATATCTCCAAGCAGGGTCACATTCTGAGGTACTGGGGTTAGGACTTTAGCATGTGAATTTTACAGGGACACTATTCAGCCCATATCATTAGGCTTCCTGGGAGGGGAGGTAGGAAGATGGAAGTTGAGTGAGTGAAGAATAGAGGAGAATGGAGGGGATGTGACTGGTGGGGTACCCCAAGCTGTTAATGTTCTGAGGCATTAGGACCTCTCTGGTACACTGGATTATCCTGACTGAGGCTCCCTGGCAGGAGGACGTCAAGAAGCCCAAAGGCGAACACACCAGGGAGGAAGGAGGCCTGGGCTGGTGAGCCAGGCTCACCAGCAGGGACTAGAGGCTGGTGTGTGGGGGTACAGGGAGTGGGGCAAGAGCTAGGGCCGAGATAGGGAGGAGAGCTGTGGCTGGATGGTCTTCCAGCTGTGCATATGGAACTGGCTGATCATGTGGATGTCAATCAAAAGAACTGCAACCCTGCAGCCCAAGCTGGGGCAACACAGACTGTGCAGAGGCCTATACAGGAGAGGCTTCTGTGCACAGCTGGACCAGCTGCATATGACATTGGTTGTATCCTTCAGTCATGTGACTGTATGAGAACAGCGCTCTTAAGAGTTGGGCTGCAGCTGAGCACTGTGGCTCTGACCCTAGAGGAGGAGCATCCATGCAAGTCTGAAGGAACTCTTCTCTTTCTTTCTGTTTCCTTTCTTCCTTGCCTTCCTCCCTCCCTCCCTCCCTCTTTCTTTCTTTTTTCTTTCTCTTTCTTTCTTTTTTTCTTTCTTTCCTTCCTTCCTTCCTTTTTTTCCTTCCTTCCTTCTTCCTTCCTTTCCTTTCTTTCTTCTTTTTCTTTCTTTTTTATTAGAGGCAGGGTCTTAGTCACCCAGGCTGGAGTATAATGGTGTGATCATAGCTCACTGCAGCCTCACACTCTTGGGCTCAATGGATCCTCCTGCCTCAGCTTCCTGAGTAGCTAGGAATACAGGTGTGTGCTACAATGCCGGGCTATTTTTTTTTCTTTTTTTTTTTGTAGAGATAGGGTCTCACTATGTTGCCCAGGCTTGTCTTGAACTCTTGGCCTCAAGCAAATCTCCTGCCTCGGCCCACTAAAGTGCTAGGATTACAGATGTGAGCCCCTGCACCCGGCCGCAGAACCCATTTTTAATGGTGTCACCATGTGGCAGCCACAGAAACCATAATAGGAGTGGGAGCTGAGCAGATTCGTGTTTTCACTCTACCAGGCATTTGGAAGCAGGATTGACTTCCTAAGTCTGAGTAAGGCCCAGGAATATTGGGAGATGGGGTTAGAGAAAGGCCAAAGGAGGAATTTTATTTCCAGATAAGGTGGGACTTGAGTGATTGAAAAATAGAAGGAATATGACTGTTTTGTACCCTAAGCTGGTTGAAGGCATCATGCCAGTCATATTAAGATCTCTTTGTAGAGAAAAAACACTTTTTTGGAACAGGATTTAAATATGTACTTTTGGAATTTTGGTTCAAAATTTGACCCATTATACCTCCAAAACTATTTCTGTTGTATCAGTAGGTTAGAGATTCATTTGCTAACACTTTGATGGACGCTGAAAGAGAAGTACTGGACTCAAGAAACTTATTGATAGAGAATAAGAAGCCTGGGTTGTTAAGTCAACCCTGTCCCACATACAAATTGGTTCCCTTCAGTAAGGAAATACTCTGTCTTAGGGTAGGTTTATCAGAAACAGACCCTGAGACAGGCATCCACAGAAAACTGATTTATTAAGGAGGTGCATCCAGAAGCAACCGAAGGGATGGGGAAGCAAGGCAGAGTGGGAAACCTCACAAGGTGATCCTAGGCAGAGTCCCAGCCTCTACCTGGTCCTACAGGGTGCTCTGGAAAGTGTCACACCTCAGAGTGTGTCCTGACTGCAGGCAATGGAGCTATGCTTTCATAATCCCCAAACAGTCATTCTTTGTCCAAGGGCCTCCAGGCACTTCCAGGTTTTTGCTCATGTGGGCAGAGTGCTGCTGCAGCCCTTAGACAGTCAGTCCTCTTAAGGGAGAGGTACATGTGGCTGTTAGAAGTGAAGCAACACAGCAGTTGGTGACAGGGTGCACAGAAAGGTTAAAAGGAAGGTCCCTGGGGTCTGGGCAGAGCTCTGTCCACAGTTCCACTTCACTGCAGAACAGCTGGCGTGCTATATATTGACTCCTATCTCCGGGAACTGTTTGAAGACCTGATTCAGTAGTGTAGCATGAATCTTGGGTCAGAACCATTGGGGCTGAGGGTGGCTCTTTGACTTACCAGCTTAGTGACCTTGGGCAGATGACTCTGACCTTCACTTTTTTCACTGGCAGGATGAGAATGATAATCCCTCCCTCACAGGGGGTTGTAAAGATAAAAGAGGCAGTGCCTGCTAAGCACCAGCTCACTGCTTGGCACACCACAGGGATGTGTGACATGTCAACTCCCTTTCCCTACTCCTCCCTCTCTCTTCTTAGGGAAGAACAAGTTTCACCATGTCTGCTGAAAAGTTCCTGCAACCTGCTGACTTTGTTTATGTACCGTTCTGGTGAAGGTAACAATTTAGATGGCAAATTGCACTGCCAGAGCTGAGGAGTTGGTGTATTAATTCCTGACTATTTACTGTGACAGGTTTAAAGCTCAATATCTCAGGGAGTGCTGGAGCTCCCACTCCGCTGCATACAGAATTGCAAAGATGCTACACCTTGCTGCTTCTTGGCAGCATCGAGCAGTTCAAGGGGCTATGAGTTTCCATCATCTCCTCCACTCTGAGGGTCTGGCAGCAAGATCCTGGGAGGACCCAAAGTGCCGTCTGACTTTAACCTGTCTCCTCTCCCAGGAGCCCAGGGTGAGCCAGCAGCCCTAGGCTAGGGGAGCCCACCCTTTCCTTCTCAGGGAGCACAGATAAGCCCCTCCTTAATGCTGTGTAGCTCTGTATCAGTTGGCCGTGGGGTGAAAGTGCCACCTGTGTCAGTCTGGTCACGGGGGCATGCAGCCCGAGTTGACCTGGGAGGAAGCACTGATGAAGCCTTTGTCTCTCTCCTTCAATTCAGGCCTCAGGCAAACGTCCATGTTATGTGGTATTCTCCCCATACTGCAGGTTGGAATACTGAGGCTTGAATGAGCTCTCACAGCCAGTGAGAGATAGAATCCAATATTGAACCGATGTTTTTCTGACTCTCGTGTGGGAGACACCAGTCCGCATGTCTCTCCTTTTTCCTTGCCCTGCTGCCTGCAGGTCTGTGTGGAGAAAAGCAACCAAGGGTCCTTCCTACATCACATGAGTCTTTTCAAAGAGACTGAGGAGCTCCACACGTGCTTCATGCTTCCATTCCCCTGATAGATACCTTTTTCTATCCTCTGCCCCCGCCTCGGAAAATTAAATGATTATAGAGCAATCTGATGAGTACGTTTTATTCCTTGGGTACCACTGCAGAGGCTCACCCTGTGTCCTGAGCAGCATATTAAAGCATTCTTTCCCAAGAAATTACTTAGATTGAATGGAAGAATTTTCTTCCCAGAATTTTTCATTATGTGTAAAGTAGTACCCATGCCTGGGGGTTGTTGGGAGGTAGATGTGTTTAGTGGGGTGCCTGGTGCCTAGTGAGTCCTCAGTGACTGTACATGATTCTAGTCACCATCAGCCTCCTCAGGTGGGGTGCTCCTTTGTGTCTTCGATGAGCAGGAGGATGTACTTCACTTCAAATCTGAACTGAGTCGTGGAAAGGTAATTATGAAACACAGGTTCTCTGTGACAGCTGAGGCCAAAGAGGAATTGTTTCAGCAGCACTATCCAATAGAACCACACACTGTCCAACACACTAGCCATGAGGCACATGTGGCTATTGAGCACTTGAAGCCTGGTGAGTGCAAATGAGAACTCAAAATTTTAATTTTAATT
Source organism: Homo sapiens (assembly GCF_000001405.40). NCBI lineage: Eukaryota > Metazoa > Chordata > Mammalia > Primates > Hominidae > Homo > Homo sapiens. Next base: position 41,109,343 of record NC_000003.12, on the reverse strand, counting down.
CATTTAAATTTAGCAACATGTGGCTAGTAGCTACTGATTTGAACAGCACAGATGTAGCCCTCATTTTTTAGTGACTGATGGAAGCTATAAGAACTTTATACATAAAGCACATATAACCATAGCACATATAAATACTTGAAAATGATTTATTGCTAGAATATACACCCCAGTGAAGATAAGAAACATGGTAGTGGGGTAACAAAAGATTTGCTGATCATTCCTTGGAGGTAACATGCTAAGACAAACACTAATAACTAATTCCTGACTTGAACGTTGGTAAAGGACCCCTGCAGAAGGACCATGACAGTCACATCTGTTTAAATTAGGCTGGTGATGTTCTCAATCTCAAAGTGAAATGGGAGTGAGGGAATTTGGGCCCCTCTGAATCCAAATACTATAGGCAAGTTTCCATTAATGCTTCTGTTAGATATATTCCAAACCATCCCTTAAAAATATACAATGTGCAATAAATGCCCTTACCTTTTAACTTAGTAACTCAATTTATAGGAATTTATACTGAAAAAATAACTCCCAAGTAAGGAAATAAAATTTTATGCACAGAGATGTTAATTATAGTGATACTTACATTGGTAGACCCTTGGAAACAAGCCACATGTTCATTAAGAGAAGGGCTAAGGAACTACACAATTAAATGTTGGAAACAAATCAAATGATAAAGAAGAAAATGGCTAAGAAATTACATGATATCAACTTAATAGAATATTCTGTAACCCTTAAAATCATATTTATAAGGGTAAGTTTTTAAAAAGCAGAATTGTATATACAGAAATTTCTCAAGTGTTTTAAAATGCATAGAAATAAGACAAAATGGATGAAAGTGTTCCAGTAGACTTCTGCCTCTGGGAAGATGCAGTAGAAATACTTTTACTTTTTCTCCCACTAAGCACAGTAAAAACTCTGGACAGCATATATGAAACAAACATAAGAAGACTCCGAAAGATGGAGAATAGCAGGAAGATCAGCTAGAGATCTCTGGACCCAACGAATGATTTGTCGGTGAGTTCTCTGGATTTTTCTTTTTGTCTCATATGTACCAAACTCTGAGCTGAAGAAACTGGCAACCCAAAAACACCAATGGGTACAAATTTTAAAAAGCCCCAACAAAAGCCCGATCTCTTCAGGTAAAGAACCAGGAAGAAGGCAGACTATCAACACAACAAATTTTTAGATAATAACGGCTTTACTCCAGCCACCACAGAAAATGTGTCTCCCCATCCCAACTCATGCAAGCAAAAGCTGAATGGGGAGCACAGATTTCCACCTTCCTGAGACTGTAATGAGGCATTTCAATGCCCTATCAGGGTGGTGTCAGAGAAGGCCAAATAGGGAGCTGGGACTTTCACCCCCACCAGACAGTGATGAGAACTTCCTCCCCAGTGAAACAGAAGATTTAGATAAGAGATAGAGACTTACAGTACAAAAGTGTCCAGGTTTCAATAGAAAATCACCTGTAATACCAAGAACCAGGACAATATCAACTGAATGAAAAAGACAATCAATAGATGCCAACATAATCAACCAGTAGGGTGTAATAGACATTTATAGAACACTTCACCTGGATAGCAGAATACACATTCTTTTCAAGTGCACTTGGAACACAGACCAAGATGGACCCCTTCCTGGGTCATTGGAGCAAACCTCCACAAATGTAAAGGAATTGAAATCAGAAAGAGTGTATTCACTGACCACACTGAAATCAAACTGGCAATCAACAAACAGAAAGATAACCAAGAAATCTCCAAATACTAGGAAACTAAATAATGCGCTTCTTGGGAGGCTGAGGCAGGAGAATGGCGTGAACCCGGGAGGCGGAGCTTGCAGTGAGCCGAGATCCCGCCCCTGCACTCCAGCCTGGGCGACAGAGCGAGACTCCGTCTCAAAAAAAAAAAAAAAAAAAAAAAAAAAAAAAAAAATAATGCGCTTCTAAATAGCCTATGGGTTAAAGAGGAAGTCTCGGGGGAAATAAAAAAAATACATTGAACTGAATGAAAATGAAAATACAACATACCAACATGGTGGGACATAGCTGAAACAGTGCTGAAAAGGAAATTTACAGCACTAAATGAATACACTCAAAAAGAGGGAAAGTCTCAAATCAATAATCTAGCTCCCATCTCAAGAACCTAGAAAAAGAAGAGCAAAATAAACCCAGAGCAAGCTGCAGGAAGGAAATAATAATGATAGAGCAGAAATCAATAAAATTTAAAACAACAGTAGAAAAAATCAATAAAACAAAAAGATGATCCTTTGAAAAAAATCAATAAAATTGATAAACCCTTAGCAAAATTGACAAAAAAAAAAGAAAGAGAGGAGACACAAATGACCAATATCAGGAATGAAACAGGGAATTTCACTACAGATCTTGAGGATATAAAAAATAATAAGGGAACACTACGAGTAACTTTACACACATACATTTGACAACTTAGAGGAAATGAAACTCTCTTTACAAACACAAACTATCACAACTCACTTAACATTAGGAGAAAAGGCCAATTTGAACAGCCTTTTAAGTATTAAGAAAATTGGTCATAATTTTAAAACTCTCAAAAAAGAAATCTCTAGGTCCAGATATTTTCACCGGAGAAAGCTACCAAATATTTAAAGCAATTTTATACAAATTTCTTCCAGAAAATAGGAGAGGAGAGAATACTTCCTGATTCATTTTATGAGGCTAGTATTATCCTGATACCAAAATCAAAGACTTTACTAAAAACAGAAAACTACGGATCAATATATCTCATGAGTATAAATATAAAATCCTTAGCAAGTTATTAGCAAACAGAATTTAGTGATATATTAGAAAAATTTTATACCAGAATCAAATAAAGTTTATTCCAACGAAGCAAAGATGATTCAATATTCAAAAATCATTCCATATAATCATCACATTAGTAAGCTAAAGAAGAAAATTACACAATCATATCAATTAATGCAGAAAAAAACATTTGACAAAATTTAATATCCATTTATGGTTAAAAACAACTCAGAAAACTAGCAATAGAGGAAACCTCCTCAACTGAAGAAAGAGAACCTACAACATCCCCACAATTAACCTAATACTTACTAATGGAATGAATATTTTACCCCTAAATTTAGGAAGAAGGCAGGCATGTCTGCTTTCACCACTCTAATTCCACAATGTGTTGGAATTTCTAGCCAGTAAAATAAAACAAGAAGAGGCAATAAAAGGCATTAAAGTAGAAAAGGAAAAAATGAAATGGTTCCTACTTGCAAATGACATGACTGTCCACATAGAAAATTCCAAGAAATAAAAAATAAAAAGAGAAAACCTCCTACAACTAAAAAGTAAGTTTATTGAGGCCACAGGATACAGGATAAATATACAAAAATTGATTGTGTTTTTATACATTAGCAATGAACATGTGACCATTGAAATTAAAAATACAATACCATTTGTAATTGCTCAGAAAAAAATGAGATACTTAAATGTAAATTTAACAAAAACATACCAGACTAGGTAAGGCTAATGAAATGTGCAACAGTTATATGCTGAAGACCACAAAACACTAATGAAATAAATCAAATAAAATCTAACTAAACAGAGAGACATACCATGGTCAGGAACTGGAAGGCTCAACACAATAAAAATGTCAATTTTCCTTAAACTGATATATGGGTTTAATATACTTCCTATTAAAATCCCAGGATTTTATTTTGTAGATATAGATTGTTCTAAAATGTATATGAAAAGGCAAAGGAACTAAAATAGTTAGAATAATTTTGAAAAAGAAGAATAAAGTGGGAGGAATCCAATTCAAGCCTTCTATTTCCTGAATTAAATTTTGTGTAGAATCCAATTATAAGACTTACTATATAGCTACACTAATCAAGACAACATAGTAATAGTGGAGGTAACACAAACCATATCAATGGAACAGAACATAGGACCTAGAAATGGACCCACACAAATATGCCAAACTGATTTTTGACAAGACGTAAAAATGATTTAATGGAGTATATATAGGCTTTTAAGAAAATAATACTGCAGCAACTGGACATTCATAGGCAAAATAATAATAATTAATCTAATTAATCATAACTTTAAGCCTCACACCTTATATAAAAATTAACTCAAAATGGATCATAAACTCAATTGTAAACTGTAAAGCTATAAAACTTTTAGAAAAAGACAGGAAAGCTGGTTTGATTTGGCTTTCTGGTCCTGATCCTGACTAATATAGTGGATAATAATACCATTCTTGGTCAAAAGCAAGGTGTGGTTTTATGATGCTGCTGCTGGTTCCCTGGCGCCTTGTAAATGGTCTCTGAAGGCCTCCATAGGAGGAGTCTCAAAACATCTCCAGCAATGGCATCACCAGGGTGTAAGATGTGGAGAGTAATGCTTTTGCCCAAAAGCATTACTTACTTTTGCTCAACACAATAAAAAAGTCAACTCTCCTTAAACTGATATATGTATGGGATTAATATATTTCCGATTGAATTCCCAGGATGCCCAAAAATGCTTTTTGCCAAAAAGCATTACTCTGGAAAGCCATACACATATTATCTCCTGGTGATAAGCTTTTGGGGGACAGAGTTCATTTGGGTGTAGAAGTTCTATGATCTTAAAAACAAGAGAGCATTTTCCCTTTATCATCCCAGTTTGTATAATTCCACATTTGGGGTGGTATTTGCCCCACAATTCTGACAGTCTCCGGTACTTTTACCCTTAAAAGACCAGGTGGCAAGAAGGGTTTCTGAGGTGCTGTTCTTCCTGAGGATGAAAAGACCTCTCTCTATGCAGGTTTCCTGGAGAACTCAAGCCCTTCATGGCTAATTCAGGTCAGGGGCCTTAGATGGGAACAAGAAAGAGTGTCATTCTTTCTCTGCAGGTCTGATTCTCCCCTCTGTCAGCTGGAATCACATGAAGCCCTTTTCTCTTCATGGGCGGGGACTCTTTGTCACATTCTCATAGACCCAGGAGGTTTCCAGGACAATTCTGTTCTCAGTCTAAAGGGAATTAAGAAACTTCTGCTGAGCCCCAGGCTCTACTCTGGCCACTCTTTCATTCCTGCTGCTGAGGGACCCCTGCCTGAGCCCCCGGTCTTCCAGTGTGTCTCTGCCTTGCCCTTGATCTTGCCCGCCCCTTTCTGTGTCCCCAGATACTGTTGTCTGGCTGCCAAAGCTGATTGAGAGCTGGGGCTTAGCTCCTGACTCCAGGCTTGCTGGTCCACTGCTGGGCTGTCTTTTGCTTCTGAAATGTCCTGGCTGTCTGTGATTGCCTTACCCTGTGACTTCTTAGTCCACCTGACTGACACATACTACCAGTCACCCTATTTTCCTCAGCCACCACTCTGTCAGTCAGGTGGCTCTGGGGTCCTCCAGGGGAAGCTGGGTTTGGCACATAACTCTGTGCCTTGGTGGGTCCTGGGATGCAGCAGACAGCTAACTTGCTTCCCACACCAAAGTACTAGACTGCAGCCAGGTTTTATCGTAGGGGAATTCCAAGGAGGAGCAATTGGCTTCTTAGAAATTAGAATAGATCCAGGTATAGAACTGGACAGTGCTAGAGAACTGGACACTGGAGAACTGATAAGGAAGTCTCCCTAGGCTCTGCCTCTCACTCCGAGGACCAGACCAGATCTTGGAGGGTCTAGTCCAACTGCACATGCTCACAGGAAGCCCAGCTGATTCCAGGAACCCTAGGAGGCAATATAGTTCTGGGGTCAGTAACAGTGGCTTTGGGGGCTGTAGGCAGAGTGCTCTGAGGCCCTGGGCCAGACTCAGGGGCTGGGCCAGGCTGTTGGCATGCTGCTGTTTCTCTAGAGGAATTATGTCCTGCAGCCAGACCAGGTAAGGATGAAAGCCCTGTTTCTGCGGCAACTTTGCCCTGCCAAGCATGGAACTTGTTCCAGGAAGGAAGCAGAGCTTGTGGAGTTGTACCTGAGTCTGAGTTGTACTGGAGGGCTTCCAGGGCCTGACAGAGCAGACCCAAGCTGTTTTCCTGCAGGAGGAAATCTAGTGCTGGGCCCCTAGCCCTGGTTCTCTAGCAATCCTACTGCATTCCCTAGAAGCCAAGGGGACAGGTCTTCTGAAGCGTGCTGGCCTAGGAGTTCCTGGCTGATTTTGAGGGATAAATTAAGAGAAAAAAATCTTTTGGGGTAGACTGAAAAGGCAAATTCCTATCTCTTTTCTTGAGGCTTCTGTGTCAAATCCTGTTAAAATATGGAGAAGATTCTCAAGCCAGAAGGCCAGGAAGTCCTGTATCTACCCCACAATAAATCTATAAGAGGAGCCTTTTAGAAATCAGAACAGCCAGAGACACTTGGAAGTGAGTGCTCAGAATTCGGTGTGCTTGATGACATACTGACAGGTGACTCAGTAATGTGACCTGCATCGTGGAAACTGCTGGTGCTGTGGACACTATCCTTTATCATGTGGACAGGGAAGTTGAATCAAACAGGCTAGTAAATAACCATGACAGAGGAGAGTGAGGAGAAGCGGGCCTGAGGCTGGCCTTTCTGAACCCTGAAGCTGGTGGGATTGGAGAAGGGGGAAAGAGAGGGAACCAGGGAATGAGGGAATGCAGAAGGGAGTCAGTAGCCCAGGCAAGGATGGGGACATGGTAATGCGGGACATACTGGCCAGGTAATATTTTTCAATTCTCCCAGTTTCTTGGATAAAAAAACTAGTTTTTAATGCTAAAAGGGGGTTTCCTCTGAATGATTTAGGGAAATTCTTACAGGTATAGTCTTTCTGGGAAGAGGTGCCAAGTGCAAACCCAATCTTATCTATAGGCACATGAGAAGTCAAGGCCAATGGAAAACGTGGTTTCAACCAACATTCATTGAATGTCCACTTCACTCCAGGCACATTATGCAAGTTAATTTCTCAGATCATCTGTGCTTGTGTCATCTAGCACACCACATTCCGGGCCTTCGCTTCCAAAACTCTCTACCACCATGTGGATTTCTAAAGATTTCACTTGTTGACTTAGACACACTATTACGTAGCCTACTGACTTAAGAATCTTCTCCATATGTTAATAGGATATGACTCAAGAGCCTCAGGGAAAGCTGATAGGAATGGGCGTGAGAGATAAAGATGAGTGAGGTGTGGCTGTCTGCTGGCTGCTCACAGCAGAGTAAGGGAGGCAGGTATGGTAACCAACCATTACATCATGCAGTGGGTGTTTAAACAAGGCTGAACACTGCACTTTGGAGCCCAGAGGGAAGGAGCCCAGAGGAAACACTGCACTTTGGAGTCCAGAGGAAAGATGAGTAATGTATCCTTTCCTAAAGGAAAGGATAAGTAAAGAGGGTGGAAGGCAAGAGAAGTGTAGCAAGCCTTGCAAAATAAGTATTAGGGGTAGGGAAAGGGAAGGCTCACACCTTCCCTGTGCAGCGTGGGCACAGGTGCGGAGGTCAGCAATGGCGTGGCGTATTGGTGTTTCTGCCTCATATTTAGGAAAGAACAGGGATGACTGTGCTCTGGAAGCTTTCAATCTTGAGGGCTGAGGCTGGAGAGGAAGGTAGCCTTGTGTGCTAGGTGGAGGGGTCAGGGCTTTATCCTGTAGTAACCTACAGGAGTATTGGGGTATTGTGGAAGTTTTTGAACAGGAAGTTTTGTGATTAGCTTTGTGTTTTAGGACTAGGACATGGTCTTCTTCCTTCCTTATCAGGCTGTAGGTATAAATGAAGTTATGTTGAGAGTGAAGTTGGTGTTTTGCTCTTGTAATTTTATATGCCCCTTCCATCTGCTGAACTGCAAGACACCAGCCTCCATTCAACTATGGTATCTTAGGGAGGCCCTAAAGTGGGGGTAGTGCTGCCAGTAATTCTGGGTCTCTTGCTGCCTGGTCACTCAGCAGCTCTCCAGACTTTGGAAGTTTGCTTCCCTGCCCCCTATAGGTTCTCTGCCCTCATTCAGACCACCTGTGCTCATCTGTTTTTTGCAGGTAGGGAAGGTGCTCCTTTGTGTTCTGTCCTCGTCTCTCATCTTTATCTCTCACACCCATTTCTATTTGCTTTCCTTTTAGCTCTTGAGTCAAATCCTATTAACATATGGAAAGGATTCCTAAGTCAGTAGGTTAGACAATGCTGTGTCTAAATCAACAAGAAAAGTCTAAAAAATCTGCAAGCCCATGGCAGAGTTACTTAGGCCTAGAAGTATCACAAGATTTAATCAAACTTGTTTTTTAGTTTGAGAACGATGCCTTTCTTCCCAGTGCACAGATCTAGATTTGAGGCTCGTTTTTAAGGAAACATTTGTTGATTTGGCCTATTGTTGAAAGCTTTTTACCTCCCCTGAGTTAGGTCATCAGTGTGAATTGATGGTTATATTAAAGTAAATTCCCAGCAAGTCAGAAATATTTTAGAAAGCAAACTGAATTTTGGAAACATTTCTATTGTGAATGTCGTGCCTCTCTTCTTTAGTGTCAAGAATTCTGTGGAGGAGAGCGGGGACATAATGGAGAGGGATGGGTTCTGGAATCAAACTGCAGTAGTTCAAATCTGGATTCTGCCACTTACCATGTGGCCTTAGGCAGGTTCCTTAGCTTTGTTCTGTCTCAGTTTCCTCATCTATAAAATGAGGATAATAAGAGTATCTACTACATAGAATTGCTGTAAAACTAAGGGATGAGAACAGTTTATCAGGCTGTGGGTATAAATGAAGGCTCAGTTAAGTGTGATGGTGATAATTCCGAGGTGCCGCTGCTTTCTGTGTCAGCTGACAGGAAGAAAAGGAAGAGAGTGGTAAAATTGCAGCCATGTAGAAAGGGATTAAATTAGTAGAACTTTCAGATGGGTTGAGCTGTGGGACACAGCTTTGCCTCCCAAATGGGCAGAGCTGCAAAAAGTTGGACACTATTTTTCTGTGGATAAGATTCAGGCTAGGACTGACAACTATTTTTATGGGGGACTTTAAATGCAGTTTTGTCTAGAATCAGATCTGACCTGGACAAGTATTGTCTCATTGAGGTGATATGGCTCTCATCATAGGGTGTGGAGGAGTTTGGAAAAGTGAGCTATTAAAAAAGACATGTTGTGGAAGGAAGAAAGCATTCCCCTCTTGCTCTTGCACTCTGGTTGTTCTGAGAGTAAAGTACTGGCAGGCTCAGAAACCAATTCAGTAGTGGCTAAAAGCCCCAAGCTTCTGGCAGCAGAAGCTCCAGGGGCAGAAGATTCCTTAGCTGCTAACCAAGGAAGGTTGGGTCTTTCCTGCCCTGGCCTTGGAGCCTGGTGCTGCTGCTCAGCATTTAGCCTGGAAGGCAGGAAGTGTCTTCATGAATTTCATTGTCTCAAGTTATTCATGTAGTGTGACCACTGGAACCTTAAGAGCACCCAAGCCCAATGTCCTTGTGATTTTCTGTCCCAATCTGGGTATGTAGGATGGATCAAGTGTTCACCATGGCCAAGCTGCCTGATGCTCTGTGAGTAGAAGGCCTGTGTCTCCATGTTCTTCAGCAATCTCAGTGATGGAGGACTTTCTGGGACATTAGTAGTTGACCAGTCACCAAGAGAAGGATGTCTTCCCTTCATTCCTCAGTCTTCCCCTCCATTTTTGTGTAAAAATGATTTTCTGCTATGAAAGGCTTAACATTAAAACTTTAGTAATTAAATAAAGTCAATTTTAGAAAAAAATCCCCTTCTCACCCACACAATTCTTTTTGCACATTCTCCATTAGCTTGGCCATGTCGTGAATATAGTTCTAAAGATTTGCAACCTATAGTCTACAATTCGTAGTCTGGATTTTCACTCGACAGCATCACTGGCATTGCTATGTTTTTTATAATTATTTTTTAGGGATTCATGACGTGTATTCCATTGAGTTACTATGCCATCATTTTTTCAATCGTTCCCTACTGATGCACATTTGGATTATTTTCTATTTTGGGCTGTGATGGTGACCACTGTATGAATGTTTGTGTTTATAGTCAATTTCTTCTGTTAAATTCTTCCTTTGGCTTACTGGTTGACAGTATGAACATTTTTATTCTTCTTAACATATTACCTTCCAAAGGGATCAAACCAAATGTACAATGTTACCAGCTATGTATGATGGTACCATTTCCTTCTCAACTTTTCTCACATTGGCCATTGCCATCAAAATGTGTATTATTAACTTTTTAGCAGAAACATAGTACTCTACCTCTGCTTCCATTGTGTTTCTTGAATTATTAGTATCTCCCATCTGTCTGACTCTTTAGGGCAGAAAGACCTACCAATTCACTGTCATCTGCTGGTTTTAACTTTCTAGGACATCCTCACAAACACCAACTTAATCCTGAATATATTTTCTTTTTTTTTTTCTTTTTGAGACAGGATCTTGCTCTGTCACCCAGGCTGGAGTGCAGTGGTACGATCATGGCTCACTGGAGCCTTGACCTCCTGGGCTCAAGCAATTTTCTTGCCTCAGCTCTGCCTGCCCCCTCTGCAGCCCTCCTCCCCAATAACTGGGACTACATGCCCAGCTAATTTTTTTTTTTAGAGGCCAGGTTTCGCCATGTTGCCCACATTGGTCTCAAACTCCTGGCCTCAAACAATCTGCCTGCCTTGGCCTCCGAAAGTGTTGAGATTACAGGCATGAGCCACTGCATCCTGCTTATTTTCATTGATTCTTAAACCCAACTAGAATCTCCCTGTCTTCCCCTGGACCCTGCCAGATTTTATTTTCTTCCAGCTTCTTTCAGTGTAGCACATTTTAAATCTAGTCAACTTGTCCAGTTGTTTCAATTAAGGAATTATTGTTCCACGCTCTCTAGACAGCATTGCTTTCTCTCCCACTGGTAGGCACTGATTTAGACAATTAGTATAAGTGGTGCAGAAACTTTTCCCATACATTTGATTATAATGTGTTTTCTCTTGTGGGAGTTTTCTATGTTCTTTGCCATTTCATCCATTCATTTCAACAAATGTTACTGAATGACTAAGATATTCTGAATGGTAGAGATATGACAGTGAAGATACAGGCTCTGCCTTGTCCAGCTCTCATTGTACAGGAAGACACACACTATTAGCAAGCAAGTAAGTGAAGTATAAGCCAGGCAGTGATAGGTGCTAAGGAGACCAACACTAACATGGGATAAAGGGACCGAGAATGCTGGAGAGGTGTGGGAAATGATGTGCTGCAGTTGGCTTGTGTCAGCTCTTGAAAATTGTATGCCTCTCTCCCCGGCTTCATGTTCAATGACCTTGGTAGCTTGAAATTGGCCACAGTGGGAGTATTTAGATCCCACACAAAAATGCTACAATTCAGGGACAGCTGGTTCTTAAATATTTGCCAGCATACAACTGGATATGGGATAGCTATTTTGTGTGGGTCAGTCAGGGAAAATCTGAGCAAGAAGGTGACACTGGGGAGAGACCTGGAGGAAGTGAGGGAGGGAACCATCTGGGAGTCTGGGCAAGGGCAGAGGGAAAAGCTGGTGCGAGGTCCTGAGGCAGGATGTGGTGACATGTTTTAGAACCAGCAAGGAGGCCACTGAAGCAGATTTGGAGAGAGTAGGATGCAGGAAAAAATGGGTAAGAGGTGAGCTGGGAGGCAAGGAGGGAGGGGACTGGTAGGTGATATGATCAGATTAGGCCTTGTAGGTCATTGTTAAGTATTCTGGCTTTTCCTCCTGATTTGAGATGTAAGCCATTGAAGAATTTTGAGTTGACAAGTAAAAGGTTCTGATTTATGTTTTAAAGGGATCACTCTGGCTGCTGTGTTGAGAATAGAACTGTAGGAAGGCAGAATTTCAATCATTAGAAAGCTATTAAAATAATCCAGAAGAGAATTGATGGTGGCTTGGATTGGTGGTGGATGTGGTGAGAAATGTATTCTGAACATAGTCAAGGAAGAACCCTCAGTATTTACTGATGGATCAGATAGGCTGTGTGTCAGAGAGAAGACAAGGTTGATGCCTTTTTTTGAAGGCCTTTATATATATACACACACACACACATACGTTTAGAGATAGGTCTCGCTCTGTCACTCAGGCTGGAGTGCAGTGGCACAATCAGAACTCACTGCAGCGTCAAACTCCTGGGCTCAAGTGATTCTCCAACCTCACCCTCCCAAAGTTCCGGGATTACAGGCATGAGCCACCATGCGCAGCCCTTTATTAACTTTGAAGAAAGTGTTTTTAGTTCAGGAAAATTTGTGGCATGGTGGCAGTGTTTGGCTTATACTTCATTCTTCTACAGAAATCTTATTGTGAGCAAAGACTCTCTTTTCACCCTGTTTGACTCTGAGCAGTTTGGTTTGAAGAAGCTAACCAAATGCAGCTGTGGGGAAAGTGCTAGCTGTCTGCGAAACCCCAGTCTCTCCCTTTCCCATGCATAGTAGAGAGTCTGCGCCAGGTATGAGGCAGCTAGATGCATCTTTGGGACCAAGCTTGAGCCAAGGGGAGGTGAGTGGAAGTGTCCTTTCCAGGTGATTGTCACATGAAAGGAAAGCCATTTTTCTGGAATTCCTCTTTCCTTACCCCATAAGCTCAAACACAGGTGCTAGATGTGCCTGTGACTTGGCTTTGACCATACAGCCGAGGACTGTGGAGCAGTAAGGTGGAGGGAACTGAGGTTCTGGGATGACCACGTGAAGCAAAGCTGCTCACCCACTCAGGACTGTTACATCAGAGAGAAAATATAAGCTTTTTAAAGCCAAAGCTTCTTGGGAGTCTTTTTATTACCGTGGCTTAACCTTTCCTCTAACTAATTCAAAAGCCAATTCCAAAACAAACCAACCAATCAGCAGAAAATCAGAATGTTGAAAGTGACATATTCCAACTGATGACAAAAGCCTGCAGGATCAGAAACTTTTGGTGAGTATGAAATGGCAGGAACCCAAGGGAAAAGGGGCATCCAGTAGCTGGAAGCACCCACAGAAGGCCATGATTTTAGGTGGGAATGGTGGAGACAGATTTATACTGGCAAAAGTGAGTAGGAAGACACTGGGTGAAGGAGAGAAAGAATACTGGAGTTTTAAGGCAGGAATATTTTCCCAGCATGAGGTCAGTACGTACTGGGAAGTAGGGGCTGAGGACAAAGTGTGGGCCTATAGCAGAAGTTGATCTACTGTGGAGAAGGCAAAATGTAAGAAGAGAAGACACTCTTGCAGTCACTGAGGAGGTGGGCAGGAACGACCCAGGAGATCTTTTGAAAAATGTGTGGTCTATTGGCCATGCACTAATTTTGATCTATGCCAAGGGAGGGGAAAAAGACACCTAACAAACTTCCCCATTAAAGTTAATGGGGGATCCCCTATAAAGTCTATGGGCAGAATATGGCATGATGAATCTGTATGATTATTTCATGAAGGTTCCGTAAGATAAATAAGGCTCCTAAGAGACGTGTTTATTGGTGAACAATTTATATCGGTGTACATACCATCAGCTGGAATGTAATTGCTGAGGATAAGGTGGGAAACAATTACCAAGTCTGACTCCAGCTGGCGCTACACCCGTGGGAATGCAGTAAATAATTGCTGAATCACAATGAATATAAATTGGCTCACTGGGCGAACACTTCCAGAGAGCCAACACATACCTCCTTATTGTCTTGAAGAAGCTGATATTGTCTGGCACTTGGGGAAAGCAGTAAGATTTCCCTTGAAGACTACTTTGAACGCTAGGAGAATGACTTTGGCAGGAGGAAAGGAACCATGCCCGATTCTTAGGACCCTGTTGAGGCCTCTGTGTGAGCCCAAGTTTCAGCTGGAGGGAGTGGGCTTCCACCTTCTCTGTAGCCCTCAGAGCAAGTCTGCAGCGGGAAGAGCTCTGCCTGTTTCCCTTCTCTCTGCATCTCCCACACTTTATCACTCTGCAGGGACATTCCTATAGTTCTGCTCCTTACCTCCCAAATATTCCTTAGTCTCTCATAATTTGGCCTTTACCCAATTACACTACAAAGGCTGGTCCTGCTATTGCTGCGAAGTATGGTGGTTAATAGACACATGGGCTATGAAGGGGACCTGCTTGAGTTCAAATCCAGGTCATGTCCCATATCATCTCTGTGATGGTGGGCCTCATGTCATTTGTGAAATGAAGATAATATTTGTTTGTGTCTATTCTCCCTAGAGAAATAGTCTGTGACTTCCATGAGGACAGAAACAGATCTAGTTTTTTCCTTATATTCTTAAATACTAGAATACTGATAGGCATATTCTATATGTGATAGGTGAAAGGTATTCGTAAATGCTTTTTTAAAAATAATGAGTGCGTAGAGAAATAGACTGGGATCCAGCTGAGACAAGGTCCCCCAAAGGTAAGGCAATGGGCTCTCTCACCCTAATTGAGTGTGTGTATAGGAGGGCTATCTTTTTGGGCTACAGTTTCCAGGAGAATTGAAGAAGACTATTAGGTACAATATGCAGGAAATGGGGTGGAGATGGGGTGGGGATTGGGTGTCAGCCTCCACCTGGTTAAGTTTCTCCAGGACAATCTGAATTGAATAGGAAGGGGCAGTAGTTAGGACCATCTTGGAAAAGCATGAAGTGGTTACCAGTTACACTTATGTCAAGCCAATAAATAACAGTTATTTATAAAAAGGACCACCATTATTCCCCTCTGTAAGTATGCCTCTTTGCAATATGACTTTGCAGTTCCTCCCAGCAGGAGGTGAAGTCTATTCCCCTACTCCTTGGCCTTAAGACTCGCTTTAGCCAATAGGCAGTGGCAAAAGTGTCAATGTCAATTCTTGAGTCTAAGCCTCAAGGAGCCTTTGTGAACTTTTCTTCAAAACCTGTCCAGTCATGTGAGCAAACCCAGGCTGGCCTGCTAGATGATGAGAGACGAAGTAAACCAGAGCCCAGTCAGCCCAGCTGTCCAGGGCAGGCCTGAGAAATGTGAGAGAGCACAGTGACCATCTGCAAAGTCAACCGACAACTGACCTGCAGGCACACGAGGGAGCCTAGCCAAGAGCAGAGGGACTATCCAGCTGAGCCCAGCCCAGATTGCCAATACACAGAATCATGAACTGAGTGAATGATGGTGGGTTTTGATTGCTTAGTTTTGAGGTTGTTTGTTACACAGCAATAGATAAGTAATATGTGATTTCACAAAGTTGGGTGGGATCTGAGACTCAGAGAAAGTAATGACTTCCAGCTGGGCGCGGTGGCTCACGCTGGCAATCCCAGCACTTTGGGAGGCCAAGGTGGGTGAGGATCACTTGAGGTCAGGAGTTTGAGACCAACCTGGCCAACATGGTGAAACCCCGTCTCTACTAAAAATATAAAATTAACTGGGTGTTGTGGTGCACACCTGTAATCCCAGCTACTCTGGAGGCTGAGGCAGGAGAATTGCTTGAACTCACAAGGCAGAGGTTGCAGTGAGCCGAGATCATGCCACTGCACTCCAGCCTGGGCAACAAGAGCAAAACTCCGTTTTAAAAAAAAAGAAAAAAGAAAGTGATCACTTTCTCCACATTCAATTCTCACTACCGTTGCTCTTTAATTTTATCAGACATTATCGAGGAAATTTCTGGCTGATTTCTGGGTCAGTGGCACAGCAGATCAATTGGATGGTCAGTCCACGTCCTGTCTCCAAAGGCCCAGTTCCAGAGCCCCTTGTGTCTTTGGACATTTTCCTCAAGTAGCGCTAGCTGCAATGGTTACATTGCCCATGAAGGACCTACCTCAGCTCTGTCTGCCGCTCCTTGAAGGTGTGCAATGGTGGGTGAACACAGGAAGTTAAAGGCTGTGGCACTGACAAGTCTAGACTTGAAACCTGACACTGACTAGCTGTGAGACTTAACCTCCCTGAGTCTCTGTTTCTTCATCAGTAAAATGGGGACAGTAATGCTTGCCTCATAGGGTTATTGTTAGGATTAAATGAGTTAGTACATGGAAGGGGCCCAGCTCATTATAGGATTGTTATGAGAGTGGGGGAAATCATGGAGGTTGAGGGGCTTAGAAAAGTCATCTCCTCCCACGTAAATGGGAAAAGAGTCCCAGTGACCCCTTGTCATCTACAGGCCCAAGTTAAGATTATCTGAGAGCCATTAGAGGAGGCCTAAGGCAAGTGGCTGCCCCTTTGCTTCAGAAATCATGAGCTTGGCAGTGGGTCCTGCCTTTAATGCTGATGTCCCGGTCAAGACAGGACTGCACTCTTGGCAAATCTTCTCCACTCTTTGTGTTGGCGACATAGTGTTTAGTGAATTTCTTCCTGTTTTCGAGCCCAGAAATGATTGCCTTGGTGGCCTGGGCACGTGTTTTCCTCACAGTATAACATGCGAGTGGAGAATGGTTTGCTCCTTTGCAACCAGTTCCCTCCCATTCCCCACCAGTATGCACCCCACCCTTCAACATTGCTCTAATTCCTGTGGGTCAACAGGCTGAGCCCAGGGGTGTGGATTTATGCCCATCAGAAGTCTGATTGAGGGTTAGGAAAAATCATTTGGGATGTGATGACAATCACAGGCACAGACCCTAGAGTTGTGGCTGCTGTTTCTTTTCATAGACTATTCCCAGGGGGCCTTCATCATAAGTAGTTGCCAATAGCTGCTAAAAATGTTCATATTTGTCCATGGCTATGGAAAACTTTAAAGGGGAAAATACCTATACTTCAGGTCATCTACTCTCTTTGTCACTCTAAATTTCATTCTATATTCTTCCAGAATTTTGGTGTACATACACATATGTACATACATGTATGGACTGACATACATACATATAGGAATCTTCTCCCTCCTTATATATGTATGAAGAGAGAATGCATACACACACACACACACACACACACACGCATATAATGGGATTACGCTGTAGCTTTTCGTTTTTACTTAATATAACATAGACATAATTTCTGATCAGTAAATGTCTATTAGAAGTCCACAATCTGGAGGCCAAAAGCCAAATTTAGTGCATATGGATGGAAATTGTTTGGCATTGTTTTAAAGACTTAAATTTAAACTCCTTAAGAAGGGGCATAGATCTTCCAATTCCTGACTGGCCCTGAAGGCATTTGAAGTTGTCATCCTGCGTTTTATATCATTGTTTACAATTATTCTTATCCCACCATATCAGTATTTTTCAGTAGGGAAATTTTGGCCATTTTGAGCCAGATAATTCTCTGTTGTGTGGGATTATTTTGTACATTGCAGGACATTTAGCATCCCTGATGCCCACCAGCTCAATGCCAGCAGTGTCCTCAGGCCTATGTGATAACCAAATCTGACCCCATGCATGTCCACACTGGGGCATCTGTTCTTGTCTTGGGCTAATGATGAAATTATCACAGGCTCTCCTCCATAAATACGTTTAAGTATGATGACCTTAAGTCCTAGGATACCTGGGACAGTCCTGTGGTTCAGGTGTATTTATTAATACCCCTTAGTCATTTAATTAATATTAATTAATTAATAGCCGTTAGTGACCCTTGTCACTCTCAGAAGTATCCCTATTTGGATGATAAACCAGTGGGTCGCCCTGAGTATAAGGCCCTGCTTCAGAAATGGTTAGATTTGTCAGGTTCTGCCCAGGAAAGACTAAATGTGCCATTGGTGCTAAGCATGTCTTCCCAGAGTTAATCTATATGTCATGTGGTAAATGCCTTCCACTGAGGATGCTATGATCAGATCCTACTTCCAACTCCAGAGCTGAACATCGGGGTAGTCAGTGACACAGGCACATTTTTTAAAAGGTGGGCAGGAATTGGCTTAAGGCCAGAGCTAGGCTGAAGAAAGAGGATGTCTGATGACCCCTTGGATTCAAGAAGACCTGTAGCATATCATGTATGGTCTAGAGAGGCCTGCTTAGGCTCCATGCTTTACAGATTAAGAAACTGAGGACCAGAGAAAGGAAGGGAAATAGAACCTCAGGGTATGAAAGGCTTAAGAGTCTTCTTGCCCTCCCCAACTTGGAAGCTTTCATTTCCACTGAGCATATTCACAGGTGGAGGGTCAGCCTCCATCAGAACTGCGAGCCATGGGTCATAGATAGCGCACAAGCCACAGGCAGAGGCAGAACCCAGGGATCCCCAGTTTTGGATCACAGCACTTCACTTTGTTCTATTCTGTATCTCCTTAGATTTCCTCCCAAGATACTTAAACCTCCACTCTTCCATATACATCTAAAAGATGAAACCGATTTAGAAGTACCAGATGTATCTGAGAGAGGATTCCTAGAGAATATAGGAGCTGCACACTCAACAGTCGTGGGCTGGTTTGAGAAGTGGATTCCATTGTATTTGACCCTGGGTACTTTTTCGTTATCTCCCTAATACTTCATTCACTCTAAGCCTGGATGAACTTTTATCAGGAATGCCTGAGTGGCAGCTGGTTATCTGGGATGTGGAAGAGGATTCACCTTGAACTTTGTAACTTCAGAAGAGTCGGGGTCTCAGCATGAAAGGTGGCTTGGCTTGACCTGGCTGCAGACCTCGCTTCTGCATGATGCTGTTTCCAGATGGACCTTTAAGTGTTCCGAGCAGGCCCCATGCAGGAAATATGTCCTGCATTGAATGTCAAGCTTCTTGCTATTATTTATTCTTACTTTTGGCTTTTTATGGGATTGGTGCTCCTTTAAAGAGACCTGTTAGCATTCCTTGTGAGATGCTCTGTTTATTAACAAATGATTTGCTCTGTGTTGGCTATAAT
The DNA here is from genome assembly GCF_000001405.40 of Homo sapiens. Taxonomy (NCBI): domain Eukaryota; kingdom Metazoa; phylum Chordata; class Mammalia; order Primates; family Hominidae; genus Homo; species Homo sapiens. The sequence continues at coordinate 41,090,779 of NC_000003.12, read as the reverse complement.
GAATCACTGGCATTACAACAATCTGAAAGACCACAGAGTTCTACAAGTGGTACCTTTTCTTCCATCAAGTTTCTTGAACATCCTTTCTGAACCTGCTCATCTAATCTCACCTTGGATTCAAGTTCTCCACTAGGAGTAGTGTATTGCTCCTGGATTTTAAAAATTAAAATGATTCTGAACAGACAGGGCAGGAAATACTTTGGGAATCAATGCAAGTTAATATACAATATTAATCTAAATAATACTATTATTTTGGGGGCACTATGTGCTAGATCTGTGTTAAGCACTTCCATGAACTACCTCATTAAATCCTCATAACTCCATTGTGATATTATTAATTCCCTCATTTTACAGAATGCTAACTTGAGGTTCAGAGAAGTTGAATAGCTTGCTCAACAGTACACAGCTACTAAATTATAAGATTCAAATTTAGCTCAGTCTGATGCAGGGCCTGATCTTAACTATAGCATTATACCAGCTCAGAGGACTCAGAGGGGAGAATACTCCATTACCCACTCTCTCTGAGGCGTATAAGCTCCCAGTGCCTCTGCTTACCAGGGATACAGTGTGGGGTCACATAGAGAGCCCTGGCCCTAAAGTCAGAAGATCTGAATTTGAGTGGCAACACCTGCCCTTGCCTTTATTAACTTTATTGTGAAGGTTGAATGCTACAATGTAAATGACTAAGGTCTTTACATACAATTGTAGGTTGTGATGGCATGTATAAAAGATGAGTCTTCTGTGTATAGTTATACCTGTTTCTACCTGTATGTATATAGCCCAATTATATCCAATGATGATAGGCTTGTATCAGGTTGCTCACAGTTGGAAAAGCCATTCTTGGGACTAGGATTTCAAACTGGAAGGGAACTAAGAAGTCATCTGTACATTACAAGTGAGGAAAATGAGGCTTGGTAAGAGATTTCTTTGTACTTTTCCCAGGACTAGCAGAATGACATTGAGATTTGGAGACCAATGACTCAGGAGTAGGCAGGGACTGAAAGAGCCATAACATTTACATGCAATATTGAAAAGCCTGGGTCATCTAGTGGGATGAACCCAGTCTAGTTGGAAGAAGAGCAGCCTGAAGCCAGAGAGATGGTTAAGATTGCTGTGGAGAGTAGGAAGAGAAGGTTCCAAGTGGATGGACAGTGCTGCCTGTAAGGGAGGGTATTCTGAAAGCTTCACCACGTGAGACAACCTGATGCTGTTTCTTCCTCCCATGTCTTTAGGTCCCATGTGCAATATGCAGTGTTCATGGCTTCCTACCTGGAGAAAGTTAAGTTTTATTGTGTTCAAGGAGGTTGAGAGTATATATTTGATGTCCCAAGATTGAGGAAGTGGTCCAGCAGGAAGACTGCATTGAGTTACCAACTTGGGTGAAAAAGATCAAGGTGAAGATTTTATTCCACAAAGTATAAGGGGCCAGTAGGTCTTTACAGAAGTAAGTAACTTGAGCAAAATTCCATACTAATTCCACCCATGATGCCTTCAGACTTCACATCTACCAATTCTTTTTTCAGAGGTCCAGTTGACCCCACACTCATATTTTCTAGTCTTCCTGAAAATGCCTGGTTCTGATCCAAACTAGATGAGAGGGTACAGACAAATAATCCAAGCCCACAGCTGACAAAACAACCCACAGCACACGTCCTGTGTCCAGATGGGGACTGAAGGTCAACTGTGTCATCTGTCTTTATGAAAGACAGCATGTTATTATACTGATTACAGTGTACTGGGCTTTGCTGGGGACTAAAAATAGATAAATGTGGCTTCTAGAGACAGGCACTAACATTCCTTTGGCTTCCTTTACTATGTGCTTTTTTAGAGAAATCTTTGCCTTGATTAGAAAAGAAAAAAAAAAAAGACTGCCAAAAGCTGTGCTGCCTTAGGCATTTTTCGAAGGGCAATTTGCACCTGACCAGTGCTGCTGTCATCTTTGACATGTCCCTGGTGCTGCTCCCCATCATCATGTTTGTGTGTGTTTGCAAAAGGAACAAAACAGGCAGCCCCACTCTGCATTCCTTTATTCCAGCTTTTCCATTTCTGGGCTCTTCATATCTCTTAATGAAGAATTGCACACCACAGCCCAGCCTGGGTGAGCCCAAGAGATCTTTTCCCTGTAGAAGATATTGGAGAGAGGTTTGGGCTGACTCTGCAACAGGATGAGAGAAGGAATTAGCATTTATTGAGTTCCCGCTGTGTGGTCCCCTGTGTCAGATGGTTTTGCTGATCACTGCAGAAACTCTGGAAGGCAAATGAATTGGAGGCTCTGGATAAAGAAGCAAATGATGGAGCTAGAATCTGGGCCCAAGTCTGTTCATTTCAAGCCCATGTCCTTCCTGTGTTGTATCGGGATACAATTAATCTAGAGCAGGAAGTATAAACTTCTTTGTGCCCTTCTTGTCCATGTAACATCTCTTGGGAGCTATAGTGGAGGTAAAATGAAAAGGTAGAAAACATTCTTATTACTTCTGTTCTCAGGCAGGCATAATAAATTTATATTCACAAAATCAAATGCCTTTGATGGTCTCGTGGGATATGTAAATGTGAGTGATGCGGTGAATAGGAAGTTGGGGAGAGGGGTGCTCTAATGGAACCAGGCCCCATAGACATGCTCCATTGAAAGGCATCAATATTCATCCTTTAAAAATCGTTGTTGGTCAAACCAATCATTCCTGTGAACCAATCAGGATCAAGGGCTGTCATTTAGGAACTCCTGACCCACGTGTCCTTCTAGGTGTTGATGACTGTATCTTGCCAGGTGCCAGTGTATCCTGCTTAGAGTCTCCTAGGTGTTGATGCTTGATTTGATTTCTTCATTTACTAAAAAGGAGAATATATTACCTATACAAGTTAAAAGTGTACACACATACACACATATACATTCACCCTGAGCAGTAGGGGTATAAGTGGTGCTACATTATTCTTTCCACTTTACTTGCAAATTTCTTTTACATATTAAAAGAAAATGCAGCATGTAAGGGCTGAAAGCATCTTTAGTGTCTTAGTCCACCTCATACATGTTATAGATGAAGAAACTGAGTCCAGAGAGAAAAGGAGCTTTCCTAGTTTCACAGAGCTAACTAGGAGGAGGGCTGGTATTGGAGGACCTGACTCCCAGGCCAACAGTTCTTTCACTACATATCCATCCATGCACAAGTGTGTGGGCCAGAGATGGGTCAAAGTATTATGTATAGAAATACTTGCAGCAGCAGTTACACTGCCTTAAGGTCAGGTTTAGGCAATGTGACTCTGTTCGGCAATCATAAGAGGACTGGTCAGAATTTACCTGCAAGGCCTCCTGGCTGAGTGTCTTTGTATGAAGACATGAAGATGTGAGCCTGGTATTTTAACCCAACCTACACTCAACCTGGGCTATATACCTGTCATGAGAGTCTAGGTGGGAGATGTCCCAAGAAGGATGCTCTTGGTCTGAGCATGGAGCAGTGAAGTCCTCTCTGAATGGAGCAAGAGGCTCTGAGTGAATAAGTGAAGGGAGAATTTACTTTAAAACAAATAAAAACACTCAACTTCTTTGGGCTGAAGTTTGTTCTAGGTCTAGATGAAAGGTGCTTTGCATTCCTTAGGGAAAGAAGCAGAATATTAGAGGTGGAAGGAATTCTGAAGGAGAACCAGTCAAATTTTTCATTACCAATGGGGAAACAGATACAGCATGATCACTCTTAGGGTGTGGGAGCCCTGCACAAATATTTTTTGCAGGGCCCCTGTCTATGTAGACCATTAGATGATACATTTATTAGAAAATTCAAAGGTCCATCTAAGGCATAGTGATTTATCAGTAAAGATTTAGAATAATGTGTAGAGAAGAGGTACTTACGCATTTGTTTATTGTCCTATCAGTGCACGTGAAGTTTGTGGTATCCGTGCACTGTCTCCCCCTTTGTAGGTCTAGGAAGCATCCCTTCGTGTTTTTTATTGTGAAATTCACCATTCCTGGTTAATTTCATATCTCCCACTGTGAGAAACAGGTAACAACACTCATAATACCATGGGTCTTCGGAATCTCTTTGTACTGAAACAAAATAGATTTTTCTTGCCTCTGCACTTCCCTAATGCCATGTATTTAATGCTGGCTTTATCATTACTCATGACACTGCATCATGTACTATGCCGCTTGTGAATAATGGTTTCCAGTGACTCTCTCAAAGATTGCTACTGTGCATCACTGATGATGACTGCTATATCAGTCAGGGCCAACCAGAGACATAGAACCAGTAGGATATGTATATATATTAAGAGATTTGTTGCAAATAATTGGCTTATGTGATTGTGGAGGCTGGCTATGGCTAGGCAAGTCTTAAATCCACAGGGGAGGCTGCCAGGAAGGGCAGCCTGGAACTTCTGGACATGAGCTAAAGCTGCTGTCCACAGGCAGAATTTCCTCTTCTTCAGTAAAGCCTCAGCTCTGTTCTTTGGCCTTTTAATTGATTGGATGAGGCCCACCCAGACTATCAAGGCTAATCTCCTTTACATAAAGTCAACTGCCTGTAGATGCTAAGCATGTCCGCAATGCCTAGATTTGTGTTTGATGGAATAACTGAGGTAGGTCTATAGCCTAATTGAGTTGGCACATAAAACTAACCATCACAACTACAAGTGCAAGTCTTATCCAGAGTATGCTGGAAACTATGAATGAGACTCCATGTTCTGGTCATGTTAAATTTACTGTTTAGAATTTTGTAGTACAACATGCAACATGTCTTCCAACCCTGTCTTCTCTTGAACTCTCTAGGCTATAATCAATATATTCCTAAACTGTGATTGCTTTGAATGTTGACTGCACCCTTTCCTTTCACACCAGTAGATAGGCTCAGGCCCAAGTATGGTGGATTAAGACTGACCTGAGAGAACACGATATCAGCACATCCATTGATGGGAAGGAAGGACGTTGACCCAATAGGCCATTGGCTTTGTGGAACAACAGTCTTGAAAACCCTTGGAGAAGATAGGTGCAGCCAACTCTGGAGGACTGCCTGAAAGGGAGCAGAGCCTGTAGAGGAGGCATGGTGAGTGCTCTGGGTGTCCAAACTATGGGGTACAGAGCAAAATTTCCTGCTGCCCTCAGATGTCACAGATGGAAGGCAGCAACATGGTCAGAACACGACTGGGCGAGAACCAACACAGGGGCATAGGCATGTGGATGGGCCAACTCTTGCACAGGTCCAAAGTCAAGAGCTGGTGTTGAATTGTTGGTAGCCCACAGCCCTGACATTGTCCTGTGTCTGATGTGAGTGAGCGTCACCTCAGATCAGCAGTATCAGCACCATCTGGCAGCCCAATCTTGTGAGATATCTTCTTTTTTAAAAAAATTATAATTTTATTTATTGTTTTTATTTTTTAGAGACAGGGTCTGGCTCTGTCACCCAGGCTGGAGTGCAGTGGCACAAATCATAGCTCACTGAAACCTTGAAATCCTGGGTTCTAGTGATCCTCCCACCTCAGCTTCCCAAGTAGCTGTAACTACAGGTGCACACCATCACGCCCAGCGAATTTTTGCATTTATTTTTTAGAGATGGTGTCCCTCTATGTTGCCCAGGCTGTACTTGAACCCTTGGCCTCAAGCAATCCTCCCACCTTGGGCTCCCAAAGTTCTGGGCTTGCGGGCAGGAGCCACCATGCCTGGCCAAAATTTCTTGAAAGAAATACCACACCAGTCAGTGGAACAGTCTGTGCATCAGGTGGCCCTATGACCACTCCGTAAACACAAGTCCTGGAGCTCCTCAGCACAGCAGGGCAACCCTATCCATGGAATAGAGGGTGAGAGAGCAGTTCAAAAAGGAGAAATGGAGATTGGGGCTCACATGGTTCTGGTCCATGCTCAGGATATACCACTCAAATAGTAATGCTGGCCCTGGCTGGCTCCAAACACTGAAGTGTGCTTAGGAATGCCTTGAGGAAGGCATTCCAAAATAGGGGTTGGGGGTTGGAAACATTTAGGGGACTGGGAGTTGGGGGGTGGTGGAGGTGGTGCTAAGGAACAGGGATTGGAGCAAGGACCCCACTTACTTGTTCAGAGCTGAGTATGGTGCTAAGGGAATGAAATTATTCAGGATCACATGGCCGGGTGTTGGCAAACCTGTGTTGTCAGTGAGGTATGACCAAGAAGTTTATTACTAGTAATTATTAAGGGGCTGAAGCTTGCAAATGCTTTACTAAAAAAAATAGGACAGATTTATGGTAATTCCCATGATAACCCTCCTCCTACTCACTTACACTAATGTGCTTTCTTGAGAGGCAGAGGGAAGGAATTGAAACTAGCCCAATGGGAAGATAATATGGCTACATCTATGAGTTTGTTTTCTAGAGCTGGGTAAGGCAGGGATGGCCCATTGGGAGCACTGGCCCAGAATGCCAGTATACAAAGAGTGCTAAGTACTAAAGCATCATTAAAATGTAACACAATAAAGACAACTGCAGTTCCCAGAATTCCTAGAAGGCAAACCATACGTAAGTGGTTCAGGGATGGAGGGGTAGGAGTGGTGACCCTGCTAAAAGACATGTGAAAAAACAAATAAAAACCCCAGAAAACACTAGTTGTTGGTGAGGATATAGAGCAACTAATACTCTTCGATATGCTGATGGAGTCTAACCAAGTACAGTCACTTTGGGCAGCTGTTTGGCAGCATTTACTAATGATAAACATGTGCCTTCCCTATGATCAAACGATTTGTCTCTCTCTATTTCTATCTATGTCTATGTCTATATCTATCTCTCTGACAGAAATGTCTACCAAATGTTCACCAAAAGATATTCTAGATTGCTCATAGTGGCCCTATTCATAGTAGCAACAACTGGAAACTTTCCAAGTGCCCAACACCAGTAGGATGGATAAATAGATTGTGGTATATTTACACCCTGGAATACAATCAGCAAAGAGAATGAACAATCTTCAACTACACATAACAATGTGCATGAATCTCACTTGATGACAAGCAAAAGAAGTCAGACACAAAAGACAACAAGCTATATCACTTCATCCACAAAAAGAACAAAAACTGGCAAAGCTAATCTCTGCTGTTTGATGTCAAGATAGTGGTTATACTTGGAAGGAGGCAGGGAGGGAACATAAGCGAGGATTCTGGAATGCTGGTAATGTTATCATTATTTGTAAAAATCTGGGTGCTGGTAACAATGTGTGTTTAGTTTGTGGAAACTCACTGAGTACTCATGATATGTGTACTTTTCCATGTGTAAGTTACATTTCAGCAACAGGTTAAAAGAAAAGTGGGAAGCTCTGTTCTTCCTCCACTTAGTATTCATCTCCTCTACATAAATATTGAACTAATATTGAAAGAATATTGGTTTGAAGGTGTGACAAATTATTAGGCTGTCCTGAATCCCTGCATGTTTCCCTCTGGCTATTGTCCCACCCATTGGCCATCCTGTGTGTTATGGGGGAAAGGGACTGGATGGGGAACTGCTATCTGAGATACGATTCCATCCCTATTACAGCACGAAGAGCTGAACACAGCAGGGTCTTACCCTTGACATCTTTTCTTCCCAAAAGCATTCAGCCCCTTCACATGAAAGGAGTTTGATTCTCCCTTAGCAGCTAGGTGATACTCCAGAACATTACAAGAGAAATGCTTGTAATAATCATTTTGGTCGCAGTTCCACACCATACCATGAGGTCCTCTGTTTTCTCCTCTCCTTTCCCTGACTTCTCCTTTGCCTCATTCCTCCTTGTACCACTTTTTCTTCTCTGCCTGACTATGCCTTCAGTCTCCCAGGGATGTCCTGGAGAATTCTGGGGACACTGAGATACTCAGTAGATTCAATGGCTCGTTCAAGAATCAGGCAAATCTGACTTTAAAATGTGACAATCTTGGCTGGGCAATGGTGAAACCCTGTCTCTACTAAAAATACAAAAATTAGCCGGGCGTGATGCGTGGTAGCATGTGGCTGTAATCCCAGCTACTCGGGAGGCTGAGGCAGGAGAATCACTTGAACCTGGGAGATGGAGCTTGCAGTGAGCCAAGATCACATCGCTGCATTCCAGTGTGGGTGACAGAGTGAGACTCCATCTCAAAACAAAACAACACCTAAAATGTGACGATCTCTTACCAAAGAATCGGCAAAAATCATTTAGCCTTCCTTGACTTCAGTTTTCTCATCTCAACAAAGGGAAAATAATGACATTTATCTCAGCACATTACTGGAGGACTAACTAAAATAAAATAGATGATGTCTGTCATACAATACATGCTTAATACATATCTGCCTCCCTGCATTCTACCAAGTTTTGTGGAGAAGTTTCTAATACTGGTTGGGACACAGATGAGTAACAGACTATTGTTTTTCAATATAGATTATCTGAAACTTTGCAGTGATGTTTTTGGTTTTCCATGATTGATTACCAACACCTAAAGCCATTTATGTAGCATCAGGAAAAGTGATTCAGCAAGGCCAGAAGTGATCGATTTCTAGAGGATATGGGGTTTATGACAGAAGGCCAAATATATTCCCCATATGACCACCTGTGCGTAAGGCTGTCAGTATGGCCTGAGGGTGGAAACTAGAACAGAGGACTCAACAGCATCATTGGTTGTCAAAACAACTTGGTAGATAAGGAGGGGTATTTCTCATGGGCCATGTCCACTGACAGCATTTACCCTCTTATGCTATTTAAATGGCAGTCTTAATTCTGGATTTAATGAAAGTCAGTGCATTAGCAGAGAAAGGAAAAACCCCAAGTTTAGACTTTGTCCTTCTGAGATTTTATTCTCTCTCTTTGATCCCACTATAGTTCATCCCATTGTTTCTAAGGTGATAAGGAAAGGAGAGCATTTTATAAAGAGAAGGATCCAGAGGACTTATCCATTCTTTTCAATCCTCAAACTTTTCTGTTTAAATTTTAGGAGGCTCCTAGCTTCAATGGTGACTATTGTCCTAACTCAGATGCTCTAGTTATTTCCTGAAGAGCATCATGTTGAAGCAGACCCAGAGGTTCATGAAGGAAAAGCAGAGAGAGGCAGTGATAGAAATATCACAAACTCCCAGCAAAAATCCAGCTCCCATTCGAGAGAAAAAGGACTGAGGGGACATGAGTTACCTGAATATTTGTCTTCTGTCTAACTTCCAGAGACACTTTGCTTAAGCCTCTGTTTCATTTTCTTTCTGTGCTAAACAATCTCAGGGTTAACCTCTACTGGTCCCTTTTGGCCATTGGGCTTCTAGAAGGCTTAGAGCTTTGACCTTCCTTGATTACACCAAAAGCTCTACCTCTAGACCCCATGTCTCAGTCAAGGTCCTCAAACTGGACCCAGCCTCATCATAGCCCCTCAAAGAGTGAAGGAAGTGGTAGGAAGAGACCTAGAATTTGCCCCAGGTACTAACACTGAATAGGAGTTTCCCAAGGAGATGAGAATGGAAGGCATTGCAGGCAGAGAAATTAGCATGGGCAGAAGTGTTGTGTCTGGAATTACCATTACCTTTTCAGGGATTGTAAGTAACTTGAAATGACGGAGACACACAAGAAGAAGGAGGGTAAACAAAGCTAGAGGGGATGGGGGTGGTTAACATTGATGGAAGGTCTTGAATTCTAGGCTAAGGAGTTCTGGATCTAACCTCTGCCCCTCAAAGTTCTCCTGCAATAATATAATTTCCTCAGCGAAAACTCTCATGTTCAAGATGTGATATTTTGAAACAGTGGCAGGAACCTCCTTTCTGCCATCTTCCATACAGACCAACACAGGTACTGTAATGCAAGTAGGATTAAGCTATGGCCCTGCCCATGATAGTGCATCTCCAGTCTATAGGATTGTTATTCCCTTTGCCTGGCGTTCAAGGGCATGCAGGGTCTGTCTTTGCTCGTTCTTCAACTGCACACACCATTGTTTCTAGGTGATGTAATACATTTGGAAAGTGGGATTAAGCCAGACACTGGAGCTATGAAGACGAGCGAGATAAAATGTCAGTCTAGGTGGTGGGACTGATAAGCAAATGGGCTGAAAGCTTTGATAATTCCATATACAGGGTGTCAGAAAAACAGGAGTATTTAACAGTTCCATTAGTGGAAATTTTAAATATTGACTATTTGCAAGGTAAACGGAGAGACCTGATCCTGGAGTCTTGACTGAGACTGAGGCTGGCGTCCCAGCCTGGACAGTTCTAGCTGGGTGCTACTTACTCTCTCTGGGCCTCATTTTCTACTTTTCCAAATAAGGAAAACCACCCTTGCTCTGCCCAATTTGCAGAATGAATTTGCAAGATTTAGATGAGATAGTGTGCCCAAACCTTCACAAACTATGATGCATTTTAGAAATATAAAAGGTTATCGAGGGTATCAGCACATGTAGGGAGCTGGCAGGCTCTGCCTCTAAGGAATCCGACCTAAGAAATGTGAAAATCTAGTTCCACTTTTGCCTGGAGTCACATGGCTCTGGTTGGATTCTGTTACCTTGTTATGCAAAATTACCATAGAAATGGAGATGTCACTAATGGGTGTGTGATTTTGGCCCCTGATGTCCAGAATGCAGCTGGACTCCTCCAAGAGTGGGTCAGCAGGAATTGACTGGCTCTGCAGGAGTTGGCTGGTAACCTGTTTTATTTGTGTTTCCCCCAGGAGCCTCTGGATGAAGGGCCGGTGCAACATTCAGAGTTCAGTATTGATCGTGTTTGTGATTTAAACACTCAGAGACCAAGGAATTGACCACTTTGATGTGGATTGATGGTTTCCTGATGCTTTATGACAGGTGTGGCCCAGGGACCTCTCCCCCAAGCCTGGGAGAATCATCCTCTGCTGTTAAACAGCTCAATCATTTCTCATCCCTGGCATCCTCACTGGTCCATTGGCTCCTCCCTTCCTCCCCTCTTACCTACAAGTGCTGACCCTTCCTGGGCTGCTGCCAAACATGACCCTGGATACTGTGAGTCTCAGGCTGCTGGGCTACCAGGATCAGAATCAAGAAGGGAAAAGGATCAAAATTTATAGAGTATCTTTTAGAGTACTAGCATGGTCATTTCATTACCAACTTTGCAAAATAGGTATCATTGATCCCATTTTATAGACGAATAAGTTGAGTCTGATGGATAACTTGCTATGTGAGGGACCCAAGCCTGCTAATTCTACACTTTTGCACACTCTCACTTTATTGCCTACAGAAGAGCTCAGAAGGAGAGGGAGGGAGAGGGGGACGGGAAGTAGAACTGTCCCTGGGGTAGAAATAAATTGGAGTGCTGGACATGTGCATTAGGAGCCTACTAGGCTGTATTGCAGATGACTCAGTATGCAATGGGCAGGAAGGAGGGGTGAAGAGAGGAGTAGGCAGTTTTCTCCAAAGCTGCTTTACAACAACATCCCTGAGTGTGAACATAAGTGAGTCTACATGTCTATCTCTGCCTCTTCTACACATACCTTTGCAGGTTGCTGTGTGGAGTTTTTTGGTGCCTTCTTTTCTAATTTAACTTGATTTCCTTGAGGATGGCAGAGCTGGACATGTTCAGGAAACCTCAGAAAAAGAGCTGTATGTCACTAAGTCAGGAAGAGGGCCCAGAGGTCAGGGTTTCTCATCTGGGGCCATCAATACCGGCCTCCTTCTAGCTCTGTCAGACACTTGGCCCCTTCTGGGTACTCTGGCAGAGTTTGGTACCATTCTCTCACACTGAAGAGAGACCCTCATAGGTAGAGGCATTGCAAGCTGCAGGCTGTGGCTCACATTGCAATGTAGCTGTATCAGCCATGATTTTTAGTTACAGGCATCAGCCAACTCTGGCTGACTGAAGCCGAAGAGAGTTTGATGCAAAGAACACTGGGTGGCTGGAGAATCAGTAGGAATGCTGACAGTAAGGCTGGAGAATAAGCAGCCTGGAGCAGCACCGAGAATCACATGGTGGAAGGAGTCTGGAGAAACTTCTACTGCTTCAGCCATTGAATGTTGGGCACTATCATTGGCATCACAGTCACCTCTGTGCACAAACTTGAACCTGCAGTAGGGAGAGAGAGAACTCCACCCTTCCTGTGTCTAGCTCCAGAGTCAAAACCCAGGGTGGCACATGGTGGATGGATCCTGTGTACAGCCTGTGCCTGGCTGCAAAGGCTGCTGGGAAAGCCAGTTGCTGCATTTTTGGCATCTACAGTGGGAAGCAGCCACTGAAGACAATGAAGACTCATGAAGTGGGAACTTCTCAATGAAAAAGGAGTTCAAATATTGGGTGGCCAAATAAAATGATAAATATTCACTATCATTGCCTTAGTTGAGAATCGAGAAGCTGGGGGCAGTGTGAGGGTACTGATGGCAACATTCTCTAACAGGTATTGAGTGATTATTCTCTGGGCTAACTATTCTAAATGCAGTATCTCATTTAATCCTTCCGACAAATCTCCCAGGCAATTACTAATATTGTACCTATTTTCCAAAGGAGACAACTGGATTGTAGACATGACTGTGGCACATACCTAGTAGGTGTCTGAGCTGAGGTTCTGGCGTAGGCAGTCTGTCTTCTGAGACTGTGCTCACATTTTCATGATTGAGGGCTGGTGAGGAACTCTAGGGGTATTTCTTTAAGTTAAAGCATTAAAACCAGCTGTCCCTAGTGCTCATCATTCCAATTATGCCACATTAACTCCAGTCTTTTAAAAATCCCGTCTCAAGGTACTTCTAGGAGTCTCCAAGATGGCTTGTGTGAACACGTGTCAGACCAGGTTATTGGAGGCCACCGTGCTGTCACCTTCCTCTGCCAAGTCCAGGCCCACTGTGGGGACCGCTGTCCAGGCTTAGAAACTCCGGTATGAACACTGGTGGGCGGGCACTCTCCCGTAGCTGCCCTTGGCCACAATGGAGATCTCCCCTGGCCCTCTCCCAGACTGAGTCACCTGTACTACACAGTTTGCCCTGTTTGACACAACTGCCAGCCAAACCTGAGATCCTCCTGGGTCACTGGCCATGCCCAGGAGAGGCCTCGAGGAGCCAATCTTTGCAGCCCAGCCACAGATGCTCTTGGCCATCAAGGAGCTTTACTGAGCCCTGTCAGGGGACAGGAGGATTCACTTCCCTCAGCTCCCCTCTGTGAGACACCTATAGTAAGGCTACAGATTTCAAAGGGACGCCAAATTTGGTTGTTTCCACCAGCGAAACCCATTTTTGCCCTAGGGCCCACATAGATCATCAGCATAGTGATGTCAGCAGCACCCTTCAGGCCCAGGGGCAGAAAACTGCTGGTTGTGACATCCTTCCTCTTCTCCTCCCCTTTAAAGACCCTGCCTTCCTTTTTCATAATTGGCTCAAATCACTCTCCTCCCACTCTGATCTCACATTCATTAATTCATCTGGTCAACATCAAATATTCATTATGCACCAATTATCTGTAAAACGGGGATAGGAATAATGATATTTCATTGTCTTGGTTTCGGTCTTCGTGCAAGCAGACTTGAGACAAGGGCTTGGTTGCAGGCTTTTTATTCGGGAGGTGATCCCAGGAAGCAGGAGTGAGGGAGCAGGAAGATTGAGCAGGGAAGGAGGAAAACAGTAACCTAAGGGTGTGCTATTGGTTACTGCTGCTGGCAGTGGGAGCCCAAGTGCATTGGCACATCTGAGAAGCACACAGAAGCATCCCAGGATTGTCCTCCTGAAGGAAGGGAGGCAAGAGCATTTATCCATAGCTCCTAGCCCCCTTGGTAGATAGTTGCCTTGGGACAGGGAGTGAGAGGTTGGGGGTTACCTGCCCTGACCTTTAGAGGGCTGAGCTGATTTCTGCAGCTTTAGCAAGTCTTTAAGGCAGAGAGGAGCAAGCCATGGGCACATGCCTAAGTGGCACTGTCCAAGGAAGAAGCTCCTCCTTGCAGTTGGACTGAAGTCAAGAGTGGGATGAGGGGCCGTGATACAGCACGGAAAACATACACTACACTTTCTCATGAAGTAGTTACCATTAACTGAGTTAATTTATGTAAAACACCTAGAACAATACCTGCCCCCAATAAGGCTATATGTGTGTGTTTGCTGCTATTATTTGTGTGACTATTACATGTGCCTGGTGCTTCTCCAGGCTCTGTAGGTAACACTCTCATGAGACTTACTTTCAGCTCACAAAACATGCCTTGTTTATGTGTCAAAGCTCTGATTCTTGATACTGTCCAAGTTCTTTTGCCAGGAGATTCTCAGCCCCCATGTTTGGGGATGGCCAGGGGACATGGCCCCACTTGACTGCCTGCCTTGCCAGTATCTCTGATCCATTTTGGAGGCCTGCCCTGCCATGCTCTGCTTCCCAGGATCCTGAACAAGGATTTGAGAACTAAGGTTTGAATTCTGCATATGAAACAGTCAAACTCAAGTTGTCCATCTGCTGGGAAAAGAAAATAGCTTCAGAGCAAAGTCACTTGCCTTTTAATAATTGATGGATAAAAGATTGCAGCATGTGCAAAAACACACTTTCCAGATCTGCCACTAAGAACGGTTCGGGCAGAAGAAACTGCTCTTTCCATTGCCCCAGAGGCCAGGCCTGCCCTCAGCTAATCTGGTGACCTAATCCTTTCACATGGGGGAGGACCAGAGCATTTGCATACAAGCAATGAATGCATCTTTCCACCAGAGGCTTCCAGAGGCAAGTCCAATCTAGTTAGTGCTTATCTGTCCAAGCTGGCTGACCTTCTCCCAGTGCACAGTCCAGTCCCAAGTCCTCCCACCCCTGCCTTGTTCCCAGAACGAGTCTTGACTATTCTAGCCTCATACCTCGTCCCTAAGTTGCAACACTTGATATGGCTCCTTGAGGACTGCCTTGGCCATCTCCTTGTTGCCGCTCCCACTGACTGCTTGGGTTTCAGCAGTTCACGGCTTCACGAGGCAACCCCTCCCTCTTGGTTCTATGATAACATAACCGGTCACAGGCCTTTTGCCCAGCCCAGGCACTGAGGGACTGGGACCTGCCCTGGCCCCATCTTGGCTTTCACAAATGGGAGCTGGTGAGGTCTCACCCAGGTGAAACCCGGAATTCACTTTCCTTTCAAATGTTAATATGTTGCTGTGAAAACATGCCTTTATCAGTCCAGAATCCTGTGTCTGTAATCTCAATATCTAAAAGCTCTGAAAGCCAAAAGTTGGTTATAATCTGCATGGTAGCAAAATCTAACAGGGTTAATTTCATTTTCCAGAATTATCTGACCTGCACTAAGTGGAGGCTATCTATTGCCTTTATTGATCTCATTTGGTGTGAATACGCATACATGCTGCTGGAGAAATATTAATGTCATTGATTACGAGGTGTCCCAGAGCTCACTGGGGTGTTGATGTATGAAGTGGTATGTGCACCAAACTGCCTTTCTAAAATACATTCTGAATTCTGAAACATACCTGGCCCCAAGATTTTGGATGAGGAATTTAGGCCTGTATTAAAATTAACCCAGGGAGGGTTAGGGCCTGGGAGAAGTGACCATGAGTGGCCATTGTTATCTAAAGCTAATGCAGGGAGCCAGGGGCAGCAGTGGCCTGAGTTAAATATCACTGGATCCTTTAGTATAATTACAGAGTCAGGACTTAAGGAGAGTCATTGACATCCCTTTCATCAAAAAGAAAAGAAAGAATTGCTCCCTGTAATCCATACCCATTAATTCAGCATCTCCCCTAGATAGCTGAAACCCCTTCAGAAAGACTGGAATATTTTCTAGATAATAAATCTGGGTCTTTATCTTTCCCTTTTCTTCTTTCCCCTCTTCCCTTTGCCCCATCCCTGAACTTCCCCCTCTTCTTGTGTTTTTGTCCATAAAAGAGCAGCTTCTGTCATTCATGTGACAATGAGCCTCCTTAGGTAATTAAAGGGGAGTCTGCAGCCTGAACTACAAGTGAGAGGTCATCTTTTTCAGCTTATAGTCCTACCTCTACTGGGAGTGTGATTCTGGGGACAAGAAGGAAGAAACGGTGCCAAAGCGCATGGATGGCCAATTGTGCGCCTGGCTCTTCCATGTGGAGTAGGCAGTGGGGCTGCTTGGAGCACACTTAGTGTTTGCCCTCCAGATTTTTCCAGTCTCCTCATAGATGACCCATGCCTGATCTAGAATAGGGAGGCAGGGTTTTAGATTTAACTAGAAGTCTTCATTTGTATTCTTCCCAGAAGCAGACCCTGAGATGAGGGTTCTGGGAAATAAGGAGAACAGCAGTTGGGAAGAGGAGAACAAAGCCAGGGGATGACTAGAGCTTAATCCTTTGGGGAAACTCTGGGTAACAGCACAGAACACACCTCAGAGTTATCTTCCTAAGGTGCCAGATGAGGGAGTTGAGGTATTTATACACCCTCTCCTGAGACTCATGGGTTGAGGGCTGCTGGAGGCTGCGATGACAATGCCCTGACACATGGGCCTGCTTCCTGGGGGCAAAAGCCTCAGGCACAGACATACATACACTGGGGTTTGAAGTTGATTGTTACATACTGTAATAGTAACATCCAAGCAATACTAGCAGGGCACTGACAGCATCTAATACAGTTTTTTTTTTTTTCACTAAAATGCAAAGGAATGTTTGCATTTCTTTATCAGAAGAAGGAAAAGAATGCCAGTCTTCCCATTTTGATGGTTGTGCCCACAAGAACCAGCAGAGCCTGGAAGGACAATATGCTTGGTAGTGGGATCATTTGGGGCTAGTGAGGGGGCAGGGTCTCGGGAAAAAGGGCACGGTGCCTGGTGAAGGGAGTCATTCTGGGGGTGCTGCAGTGATGATGCTAGTGGCAGCTGTGCCCTTGGCAATGGGAGTGGGGGTCTGCTACTGCAGTGAACCCTGAAAGCAGTAGGGAGGTGCTTCTTTATATCCCTTAGAGACTTCAGCAAAAAATATCCTTGAATAAGGCTAGGGTAGGCAAGGGAAAAATGGCAGGCACAGCAGTGGACTCAGCTTGATTGTGAAGCCCTTTCTTAGGCTCTGTATGGGGCTGGAAATACCACATGTGTCCTGTTTGGTGGGGAGGGGTCCTGTTGGGTGGATAAGTGATGCTCAGAGCATTTCTAGGGCAGGAGTTGTCAAACTTTTTCCTGCTAAATATTATAGGCTTTAGGGGTACTACTGTCTCTGTTGTAACTACTCAGCTTCCCTATTGTATATCAAGAAATGGTCACAGACAATATGTAAGGAATGCGTATGGCTGTGTTCCATCACAACTTTATTTATGGATGCTGAAATCAGAATTTTATATAATTTTCATGTGTCACAAATTTTTTTTTCTGATTTTGTCCATTCATTAAAAAATGCAAAACCTATTTTTACCTTGTGAGCCACACTGAAACAGGCTGTAGGCTGAATTGGGCCCGTGAACTGTATTTGCAGACCCTTGTTCTAGGGCTTCTCTCTGACTTGGGCTCCAGGGTTAAGGGCAGATTTCCAACCGATTCTTGACAGCGTAGGAGGGGCAAACCTCCTCCTCACTCCAGTGAGATAAGTGACTCATCCAATAATGGCAAAGACTCAAAAGCAAGGAGATAGAACCTCATGTATGCGTGGACATTTAACTGGCTCCGGTGAAGGCTTGAAGCCCTATTTGCTAAGCTTCTGCTCATTTGCTGCTCCAGAAAGTGACAGCCTGCATGACCAGTCCACAGCCTGTTACTTTGGGGATTTTACAGGGTTCATAGAGTAAAGAGGAGACTTTGGGTAAATACAGATCAAATATTTGGGTGACACTGGTAGAGTGAAAAGGTAGACTTTTAAGCCACATCGCCTTGCACGCAGCTTCCAGCTCTGCCATTTACAGCCTAGTAATCTGAATCAAGACACTTAATTACTCTGGGTCTCAGTTTCCTCATCCATAAAATGAGGAGCAATAATAACCCCCCTTTTAGGCTTATTATGAGGATAAAGTAAGACAATACGTGAAATGACCTTGGATCAAGCTCAGCTTGGCATCTCATCTTTACTTAATGGATGGTTTTAAAATTATTTTTAATGCCAACTTCACAAAGTTGTGATAGAAATTAAATGAGATAAATGTGTAAAGGGCTCAGGGACATAGTATGTGTTAAGAAAATTATTGCTACTATTAAAAATATGATGGAGAAAAAAAGGTTAGGTATTTCTCCATCTTCTCTTTGGGATGATGGCTCTCAAGAGGTGGGAAGAGGAGGACAATGGCACCTGCATAATTTTGATTGCAGGATATTTGTATTCTTTCCCTTTCTGAAGTTCCTGAATAGCAAATGTTTTTGACAGCAATTGGGTCTGGATGCCACGTTTTGAAGCCCAACTAACAAACAAGAGATTATGAGACTGCAGTTATCTTTTACCAGCTGCGTGGAAAAATCCTGTCATTTGGCATCACACAACTATGAATTCTTTTATCTCTTTCTCCCTTCTTATGTGCTCCTGGAGCATATGTAAGCAAGCTCTGACATTGATAACACATTCTTATTAACCATTATCTGAAAGATGGGATGCCAACTTAGGAGTTTTGCATTGCATATCAGATGGAAATTTCCATTGGGGAATGGAATGTTATCCACTCCTGGCCAATGACATCCCAAGGCTGAAGTTACCTTCTACATACACCATAGTCTGAGGTCATGAATTGGCTAGATTTCTGCCCAAATCTTTGCCTACTCCTTCAGAAGGAAATGGAATATGAGGCAACTATGGGCACTTAGAGGGAACAGAAAGTTGATTTTCTGTCATATAAACGTTAGCTTCTTAGGCAGTGTAGATGGAGCAGGTGACTGGAGCCAGAGGGATGGGGTTGTGCTTGTAGAAAGGCCAAATGAACAGGCTGAGTGGAGACCCTGTGGGGGCCCCTGAGATGCACCCTTTAATATTCATCCCACTCCATGTGGTCAGTCTAAGCACATCATGTAATTCCCATTTTCCTTGACAGAAATTGGTTAAGTAAAGGGCATGTTATCCACTCCTGGCCAATGAGATGAGGAAAAGCCTACAGTACGTGTGTGTGTGTTGGTTGGGGGGCAGTCTGGGGAAAGTTTATCTTCTGTGAAGAAGGAACTCAGAGAGAGAGTGCCTTTTCGCCCTGTGGACTTTGCCATGAGCGCCTGGTGCTAAGGTGTCATCCTGCTATCATCCCTCTGAGAGACCAGCATCAAGTATTCCTGAAAGGCAAGAGGGATGGTTCCTGGATCCCTAAGGACAGCATTGCCTGGCAGCTGATCTCTACTTGCCTTCAAATTATAATATCTCTGTGCTTGCTCATTGTTGAAGTCAGTTTGAGTTGGAACTCTGTTCCTTGTAACCAGAAGGATCCTATCTGGGGGCCACATTTTTGACATTGGAATATCACCAAGGTGAGAAATAAGGGAAGGGTGTGCACTAGGCATTTAGAAGAGGGGAGCGGCTGGGCACTTTTAATGGGTTAGTGTGAAACATACCTTGTACTCTATCTGGAGCATCCTATATTAATTAACTAACTTATTAATGAGCCTGTATAAGGCACCTACTACATGGTCAGCATAGGGACAGGTCTTTCTGAGAATAAAAGAGTCATATAAAACATCATTCTAGTTGTCAAGCATCATAAAATTTAGTTGGTGGAGACAAGACTAGAAATAAAACAAAATAAGTGGTTTAGAGAAGGGCGTGATGAGTGAGTGCTAGAGTAGGTAAAAGCTTCGTGGGAGATGGAGAAAGCTAAGCTGGGCCTTAATCAGCAGAAAGAATAAAGGTGAGGACATAGAGACGTTAAGTCACATGCTCCAACACAGCCAGAAAGTGGCAGAGCTGGGGTTCAAACCCAGTATGTCTGACTCCTTCCAACCCTGGGCATGTAACTACTATGCTGGAGCATACTTATGCTCCCAATGTGTATTTGTAAGCCTGGAATGCTCATATATTAATTTATAATGAGAAATAGAACTGGAAAACATTATGAATTCAAAATCTGTGAAGCCAAGTTATATTCAGAAGGTTCCCAAGGCAGCTTGAAGCTGATTAACAGACAGGATATCCCTGACACCAGGATGGAGGCATGTGTCTTGAAGGGCTAGTCCTTCTCTTCCTGGCTAGGTACTGGTAAGAGAATGGCCAGTTTTGGAGTCTTGGGGCTCCCATTTAAATGCTCCAGGCTGTTCCTAAAGTCCTTCTTCAGTCATGGTGTAAGTCAACTGGTCAGGCCTCTAGGTGTTCATTATGTTCACATTTAATTCAGTGGTGTACTAGCAAGTGTTTAACAAATGGCTCTCTGGGGCACTGGGGGAAGCCCTAATTTGTAACATTCACCAAGTCAAGTTCCATGGTGTAAATACTCCCTCCAAGACTATTTCAAGCTACCAGCAGGAAGAGATGCACACAATCAATGGCTCTTGAGTGCTGGTACCGGCAGGCTCCAGCACACCACTGTGCTCACATTGCATCCTGCCTCTCAGAGCCTTCCCAGATGCCTTGATGGGAATTATGGAATGTTCTCAGACTTTTGTAGAACATTTACCAAATTAGTCACAGCCATGTGTGTGAACTTTTTCAGTTTAATTATTGGAAAATGGCCTCACTTCCAAATTCTTGGAGAACACTGTTTTTACCTTCATGTACCGTCAACTAATAGAGCTGTAAGGTGGCCAAAGAAACCAAAGATGGATTTCCTTTCTGTATTGCCTAAAGTCCAGAGTTCTGTTAAAAATTACTGTCAAGAGTGAGGCTTGGGGTCTGTGCTGCACTGAGTAATACCATGGGTAGCAATAGATAAATTGGCACAGAAGAATCTTCTACAGCACCACCGCCATTCACCCCCTGCCTCACTTTGCTGTCTTACCCAACATTACATGACAGAAAAAAGAAATTGTGTTGCCTAGTAACAGCTCTGAGCAAGGGGAGACCAGTCAATACAATTCTGAATTAAGGCAACATCCACAAAAAAATCCATCTTGAGGATTTATACGAAAACCAAAGTGTAGTTATAGTCTTACAAGCTGGTGGAGAAGTCCCATTAGCTTTGGGTATTGGATTATTTAGAATAATATATCTGAGATATAGATTTCTTTTTCTGGGAAGAATAATCTACTCTGAGGCCATGAAAATCAATAGGCCACTTTGAAGACTGACTTCAGCTGTTATTGGTAATGTTTTGGTTGTGTTTGTGAATCAACAATCAAGCAAAAATAAGGCCATTTAGTAGCTCACACTAAAGAGCACTACTTGTCAATTTTGCAACGAAGCCTCTCCATCCATTGAATGAAACAGCATCTCCCAAGGGCTGCTGTGAGCCTATGGAGACCCTGAAAGCTGACACCAGCACAAAGAATTAAGGATAAGTCTTCCAGGGTGGCCAGTCATCCCAGCATATTGAGACTGAGGAGTTTCCCAGGATGCTGGACTTTTAATGCTAAAACTAGGAAACTCCTTGGCAAACTGGGACAGTTGGTCGCCCTGGATCAGTGGTTCTCAACTGCAGATGATTTTGCCCCTCAGGTAGGGTTGCCAGATAAAACAGAAGATACTCTGTTAAGTTTGATTTTCAGATAGACAATGAATAATTTTTCAGTATAAGTATGTCCCAACTACTACAATGGGACACATTTAGAGTTAAAAAGAATTATTCTTTGCTTGTCTAAAATTCGAATTTAACTAGGCTTTTAACATTTTTTAAAAAATTTTTTTTGTAAAACTGACAGTCTTACCCCCAGGAGATAGTTGGTAATGATTGGAAGCCTCTTCGGTTTTCACAACCACAACTTCATCAGGGATGCTACTAGCATCTAGTGAGTAGAGGCCAGGCATGCTGCTAAACTTCCTATAAGGCACCAATGCAGACAACAGCTGCCTAAAACAAAGAATTATCTGGCCTGAAATGTCAGTGGTGCAGAGGTTGGGAAATCCTGCCGTAGACCTAAACAAGCTGGTGCCACGGAGCTCCATCTTCCTTGAGAAAACACTAAAGGATGGACGTGGGCTTCCCTGCTTCATGCACACAGATGGAAAAATGTCACATACATTCCTGACCTTTAACACTTTCAGTCTGATGCGTCAAACAGCCATTGGGAGCTTAAGAAGTGTCTAGCAAAATGGGACAATTCCCCTTGCCGGACTCCCCCTTCCACACTTGGAAGGGTGAGGCAGTGTGTGTCATCAAACAATAGAGCAGATAAAAGCTGAATCAGGGTGGTCTCCAGGACACCCCCATCTCCCC
Organism: Homo sapiens; assembly: GCF_000001405.40. NCBI lineage: Eukaryota > Metazoa > Chordata > Mammalia > Primates > Hominidae > Homo > Homo sapiens. The sequence goes on along the minus strand of NC_000003.12, from coordinate 41,068,723 downwards.
AGACTTCTATGGTGACATTTCTTGCACTCCTCAAGTTTGTTCATGGCTTTGAAAACACAGTTTCAGAATGTCTTCATTGTTTCATACGGTACTGGCCGCGCCTGGAGTTTTCCTGAAGGAAACTGTAGCAGCAGGAATTTTGTGCAATACTATAATAAGGGGGCTTTATCCTTCCAAAAATACATCCTTTCTCCTTGTTGCCAGCTCTCCCACAGCCCTGTGAAAAATGTAGCTCAGAAGTTACTGAGGCGTTTTTCTGTTTTTCCTTTCTCACTTTAGTTCATATCAAGCAACAGAAAGCAATTCTATTATTCACACTTAGGCGTGCTAGCTTGAATGAATGAACAAATCAAATATCAATCCTTTTCTCATTTCCCTAGTGTGTAAGAACTGAAATGTAGAAAGTGGCATCTGCTTAAAAGGAATTGGTGAATTTGACTTCTCTAGGTACCTTATCCAAGTGGAATGAGTGTTTAATGGGCACAGAGTTTCAGTTGGGAAGATCGAAACGTTCTGGTAGATGGATGTTGGTGATGGTTGCACAACTATGTGATTATACTTAATGTCATGGAACTGTACACTTAAAAATGGTTAAAATAGTAGATTTTATGTTATGTATATTTAATCACAGTTTAAAGAAAGGAATTGGTGATGCATGTCTATGCATGTAAGTTTTGATATATGCTTGCTGATTGATTATTTATCTAAGGTCTGTTTACATATTTTCCCCCAGTAAACTTGGTACTTGCCTCATTGTCCTGTATCCTTATCCTTAAATTAATTGGACAATGCCTCTTTCTTCTTCTCCCTCTTCTTAACTCCAGCAGTCACATGAAGATAGAAATATATTTTGTCTTTGGAAGTTACTCTTTTTTAATTTTTTAATTTTTGTGGGTACATACATAGTAGGTGTATATATCTATGGGGTACATAAAATGCTTTGAAATAGGTATGCAATGCATAATAATTACATCATGGAAAATGGGGTATCCATCCCCTCAAATATTTATGTTTCATGTTATAATCCAATTATACTCTGGAGTATACGCTGAGTACTCCAAATGTACTCAATAGTACAATTAAATTACTACTGACTATAATCACCCTGTTGTACTACAAAATACTAGGTCTTATGCATTATTTCTAACTAATGTTTTTGTACTCATTTACCATTCCCCCTCCCCTTCACAGTCCCCCATTACCCTTCTCAGCCTGTGGTCACCATCCTTCTACTCTCTATGTCCATGAGTTTGATTGTTTTGATTTTTATTAACAAATCCTGCAAATAAGTTAGAATATGCAGTGTTTGTCTTTCTGTGCCTGGCTTATTTCACTTAACACAATGACCTACAGTTCCATCCATGTTGTTGCAAATGACAGGATCTCATTCTTTTTTATGGCTGAATAGAAGTCCATTGTGTATAGGTAGGATATTTTCTTTATTCATTCGTCTGTTGATGGACACTTAGGTTGCTTCCAAATCTTGGTTATTGTGAACAGTGCTGCAACAAACATGGGAGTACAGGTGTCTCTTCACTATACTGATTTCCTTTCTTTTGGGTATATACCCAGCAGTGGGATTGCTGGATCATATGGCAACTCTATTTTTAAATTTGTTGAGGAACCTCCACACTGTTCTCCACAGTGGTTGTACTAATTTACATTCCCATCAACAGTGTACCAGGGTTCCCTTTTCTCCACATCCTCGCCAGCATTTATTATTGCCTGCCTTTTGGATATAAACCATATTAACTGGGGTGAGGCCTGCATGTCTTGTTCTTGAAGTCTCCCACAATTTCTCCACTAAGATGTGAAAATGGAAGACTAGCAGGCAAGCCTGTGGGAACCATCTGCGTCACTGGCATCTGGGAAAAGCAACCACCCAGGGCAGGATGCCACGGGACAGGGGAGCATAAGCAACTGAAAATGAAGCGGCCACAAGGCCAGAGCTTGGGTCTGTGGGCTTCACTAAAGAAAACCCAACACGGGCAGCTCTTCTAGCTGAGGAGCTAGGTCCCTGGGATGGGCCCTGATGGGGGAATCTAGACTGGGAAACTGGCATCAGCCCTGCCAAGATCCTGTTTTTGGAATCTTGATGCTAGGCACTAGGCCTCTCATATCACTCCCCTCTGGTCTCTCCACCCCTCTCCTTAAACCCCTCCAGCTCAGACATAGGACACTCTCCCAGGCTAAGGTCTCTGTTCCCTTTCACATGGAGTCTGGGGCCTGTGTTCCTGCCATGTTTACTATACTGAATCACTCCTGCCACAGCCTAAGCCCACTCCCCCTGTCTGAAATCAAGGAATCTTGGCCTGGTGAGAACCATGAAGGGACCTGAGCACTCTCTGTAAAATGTGTACAGTGATCACAGAGGAACAAATTGGACAGTGGCCTCAAAGTTCTTGGCCACCATGAGCAGCTACACATCCAAAGATGTGTCTGTGGATCCTGTCTCTTGTTCCAACCAAGTGTTCTACTTTTCTACAGAGCATGGAGCAAAAACCCTGACATGATTCACTCTGGCAAGGACGTGTCCAGGGAAAAACTGGAGGGGAGAACATTTAATGTGGGTAAAGGAACCTGGGTAAAAGTTAAAAACACACACTTTCGAAGGAATTAGCTCTGAGTGCAAGAATCAGTTTGAGTACAGTCATGGTCTTCTGCGTTAGGCCTTCTTTGAGCCCACAGAACTTTACCTATGTGGGTTGCCCAAGAGCAGGATCACAGAGAAGCCCACCTCCACCTCTTACTCATACCCAAGTCTCACTGCAAGGCAAATCTCAGGCATGTGCCTCAGCATCATATGAGGTGAAGGTGAGTGTGAAGAGGCTCTGGCAGAGGGGCTGAGCAGAAGGGTGCATGGGCACATGCCATTCCTGGCCCAGCAACTTCTCAGCTGTGAGTACTCAGCCAGAGAAGTCTGCCTAAGCCTCGGTTTGTTCATCTGGGAAATTGAGATAATAGCACCCATCTCAAGCTACCTTTGTGAGGGCTCAAAGGGCACCTGGTGCCTAGCAGCATCCACTTGTGTGAAAGTCTCTTTTAGGTGAGGTAACCTAGAGGCAGAGCCTGAGACAGTGATTCAAGTGCATGCAGTTTATTGAGGGCGTGCTCTCAGGAGAAAGAGAACAAGGAAAACAAGATGGGGCAGGGGAATACACTAAGCAAGGAAGTGGTCCTGCTGAGTCTGCTTGAGCTTATCCCATGGGGAGCCCTGCAGCATGAATTGCAGCCTTCCAGACTGGCCCCTTCTGGAGGCCAAGGGCAATCATTGTCTACAGGCTGCCTCTAAGCGGGTAGGGAGGGTAGCAAGGAAACTCTACCTTTTAGGGGTAGAGGTAGCTCTCTGAAAGAGGCAGCTTTCATTTTGCTGAGGCCAACATTTTGAACTGCCTCATTCAGCACAGGGCAGCTGTGAGCACTCTGTAGTCAACATTCATCGCAGCTGGGGATGGGCACCCCTTGGTGAAGGAGATCTGGGTAGGGCACCATCAGCATCCACCACACGTCCTTGGCTTTTTAGAACTTCCAGCAGTAAACTACCTTGTTCAGTTGGCACAGAGGCATACCTGCCTTGTCTTGAATCTGGTGCTATCCTGAGTTGCATCATAGCAAGATGCTACTGGATGCCCCATGCCTGCAGCATCACACCATCACTGGGTGTGTCTGGGTACCACTCTTCTGATCTCACAGGAAGTAGCCAAGCCGGGGAGTCGTTTTGCCAACAGCAGTGATGAATTCATACTGACCAGCCACACCCTTTTCTTGTCACCATTTTGATCAAGTATCTCTTCTCAAAAGGCTGAGATGGGCCTGTCTGAGATCAATAACTAGAACCTTGCTTTTCCAACTGTGGCAGACAGAGCAGCAGCCTGGGCATCACCTAGGCACTTCTTAAGAAGGCAAAGTCTAGAGGCTCAGAACCATTGTCTAACAGGATCCCCAGGTGATCCACGTGTACAATGAAGCACGAGAATTGCTGGAAAAGACACTTCCCCTTTCTTTCTTCCACAGCACCATTGCAATGCTTCAATGTTTACACTTACCATGTTTGTGTCCCAGAAGAGTGGTAGCATGAAGCCAACAAGGACTTGGGTTTGAAACCCAGCTTTGTCACCAGCTAGCTAGGTAACCATGGGCAAATGGCTATACCACTCTTGAGCACTTTTTTTCTCTACAGGTAAAGAGGATAATTTCTAAATCATAAGGTTGTCATGAGACAATGTATTTAAAACACCAAACTGTGCAAAGCCCATAGTAGGCATACCAAAAAAAAAATTCCCAAAGAACTAGCTTAGTGCTTGACATGAACTCGCATTTAGAAAATTTAATTGAAATGAACTGCATTTAAGCAGGCTGACTTTCAGCCTCAAGAGCCAGAATGTCTGCACATGGAGGAGGAGGGAGTTTCAGAAACTTTGATCTCACTGCCTGTTCTCATTCCTCTTGCCCTTGATGGTTTTCACAACATGTCATCAGCTGTTGACACATGGATGGATATGTCCCTGCCTATGCAATGTCTTTGCCTTGCAATGTCTGAAAGGATGGATGGAGACTAAAGGGACAAAGAGCAGGGACAGAGGCTATGTGGCCTTGGCATTTGGAGAGCACAGGCCACCCTCCAGACTTCAAAGCAAATATAGCAATCCAGCAGAACATGCCAAATTGAGCCCTGGCTCCCATTCTGTTTGCCCTATACAGGTTATACATTTTTTAAATTACTCGAAGATCCTACATAAGCATTTTATGCCTCTCACTATTTGAGCACTTGGGGTATGCCAAGATTTTTGCATAATTTTTGTGTTTTATCTTTACAGTGGCTCTGTGAGGTGGATGCAATGAGTCTCATTTGATGGATAAGAAAAGTGATGCTCTGAGAGACAAATATGATTCCTAAAACCACACAGGAGGCTAGTGGCAGAACCACACAGGAGGCTAGCGGCAGAACCACACAGGAGGCTAGCGGCAGAACCACACAGGAGGCCAGCGGCAGAGTCAGGATGTAAACCTGGATCTGGCAGATTCCAGAGTTCCTAAGCCCTTGACTGTAGGCTTAGCATCATATAGGTGTGTATGTAAAGAGCTGCAAGCTGGTAAACCCCCACAAAATAAAAAAGAACCAACTAACTCCATTATCAGTTATTTATAAATTCAGAAACTAGTTGAAAAGAAAGAGAAAAAAAATGACAAATTTTTTAGGATGCCTACTCTTTCATATGCCCTTGAATGTGTGATCAAACTCACTAGAGCAAGCCCTCCTCTTCACACAAGTGCCAGAGTAAGAACAGGACCCCTCTAAAGCCTACCGCACACCCCCACCAGCAAGCTAAGGGTTGACTGGGTCCTTGAGCTACAGCCAAACCTTCAAATGGGGCTTGTCCCTGGTGACCAGCAGTTCTGCAGAGTCCTGCTCATCTGTAGGAACTATGGGGCCCCCCTTGTCACCCAGCTCTGATGCTGCCTTGTCATTCCCTCAGCTCACACTCAGAATTCGCCACCCTACCATCTCCTGCCAGGAATATTCCAAGAATGTGGAGTAACAGGGGACAGCTAGGCCCCAAATCACTTCCAGTCATAATTTTATATTATATTAGCACCCTCAAACTGTGGTTCCTCTTAAAGATATCCTTTCTGGCTTTCTGTCTTCTGTAGAGTCTTGCTAGATTTACACGCTGACAGAATGTTAAAAGTGGGAAAGGTTCTGTTTCCTCATTCATACAGACCCATCTCCCACCCACAGGGATTCCTTCTTCAGCACCCCTGACAGGATGGTGATGCAGCCTATGCTTCTTCCTTTGGAAATATAAAATGTATTACCTCAGAGGGCATTCTGTACTATATTTCAGAGCTCTGAGTTTTAACAAACCCTTCTTTACACCTACCTGAAATCTGCTCCATTTTTATACAATGTATCCACCAGCAAACCTGTGTTGAGCATAGTATTAGTTATGACATAATATTACAAGTGACAGAAAACCCACTCAAATTGACTTACCCTATAAAAGGTATTACTAGAAAAAAAATGGCTCCAAGTGAGGCTTGTCCCAGAGTTCAAAAATGCCACAAAAGACCAGGTGGTGCTCTCCTTTCACTCTGCCTTCCATGGTTTTTTATTTATTCTTATTTATTTTTAGTTTTAGTTTTTGAGATGGAGTCTCACTCTGCCACCCAGGCTGGAGTGCAGTGGCGTTATCTCGGTTCACTGCAACCTCTGCCTCCTGGGTTCAAGCAATTCTCCTGCCTCAGCCTCCCGAGTAGCTGGGACTACAGGCACGAGCCACCACGCCCTGCTGATTTTTGTATTTTTAATAGAGATGGGGTTTCGCCATGTTGGCCAGGGAACTCCTGACCTCAGGTGATCCACCCGCCTCGGCTTCCTAAAGTGCTGGGATTACAGGCGTAAGCCACCGCGCCTGGCCTCCATGTTGTTTTTCCACTCATCTTTAAGCTCTCATGGCCGTCCTGGGTCAATGAGGTTGTGAGCAAAATGGCTGCTGCAGACCAGGCCTCTTACCTCATCCTCCAGGAGAACTAAGAGCAACTCTTGTTGCCAGCGCCTCTCACAACTCCTAAGACTCTCTCTTATTGGCTCACATTGGGTCATGTGCCCATCTCTGAACCAATCACTGCAACCAGAGAGATGGGCTATGGAGGCAGAGAAGGGAACAAGAGACAGGGGAGCCAACTTGAGGGTAGGGGGCGGGAGGAGGGAGAGGATGGGAAAACTACCTGTCAGGTTCTATGCTTATTACCTGGGTGGTAAAATAATGTGTACACCAAACCTCTGTGACACACAATTTACCTATATAACAAACCTGCACATGTACCCTTGAACCTAAAATAATAGTAAAAAAAAAAAAGACTTGAAATGAAAGAGGGGTAAATTCTCTAAAGGAAAATGAGAACACCATTGACAAGAGAAGGTGGGAATAAACACTGGTCAGGAACCCACAAATGCCTCCTACCATTATTTGCTTATTGACAGCCACCATGCTGGTTACTGAGGATGGCAAGTTGACTGAAACTCAACCCCTACCTAAAGAAGCCAATAGCTACACACGAACAGAAAAACAAATACTGCATGTTCTCACTTATAAGTGGAAGCTAAACATTGAGTATACACGGACACAGAGAAGGGAACAAGAGACAACGGAGCCAACTTGAGGGTAGGGGGTGGGAGGAGGGAGAGGATGGGAAAACTACTGATCAGGTTCTATGCTTATTACCTGGGTGGTAAAATAATTGTGTACACCAAACCTCTGTGACACACAATTTACCTATATAACAAACATGCACATGTACTCTTGAACCTAAAATAAAAGTTTTAAAAAAAGAAGCCAATAGCTTGGTGGGAACACTCATTATTACTGTACAAGGTTCATATCAGTGCTACTACATTCTGGAGTAGAGAAAATACATCCTCTTTTTATTGAGGGATCTTCCAAGCATCTGAAGACAACTTGCCCACCTCTTCAAAATCTCCCCTAAGTTAAACATCCCTGGCGTATCCAGTTTTAAGCCCTCTGACTTGGCTGCAAGACTCAGACTATGACAGTCCCTTCCTGGGAATAATATGAACACAGTGCACGGAATTGAACCTGATCTCCGGAAACAATGGGACTGCCTTAGGCTGGGATCCCCAGCAATAGAATCTGTGACGAGGATTGATACTGAAAGGGCGAAAACTAAAAGCATTCCCCTCAAAAACTGGAATAAGATAAGGATGGTCACTCTCACTACTCCTATTCAACATAATACTGGAAGTCCCTGCCACAGCAATCAGGAAAGAGAAAGGAAAAAAAGGCTTCCAAGTAGGAAAAGAAGAAGTCAAACTATTTCTCTAAACTGGTGATATGATTCTTTACCTAGAAAACCCTAAAGACTCTGCCAAAAGGCTCTTGAAACTGATAAATGAATTTAGTAAAGTTTCAGGATACAAAATCAATGTACAAAAACTAGTAACATTTCTATATACCAATAACATTCAAGGTGAGAGCCAAAGCCAGAACACAATCCCGTTTACAATAGCTACAAAAAAAGTTACCTAGGAATACATGTAATTAAGAAAGTGAAAGATCTCTACAAGGAAAACTATGAAACACTGCTGAAAGAAGTCATAGATGACACAAACAAATGGAAAAACATTCCATGTTCCTGGATTAGAAGAATCATTATTGCTAAAATGGCCATACTGCCCAAAGCAATCTACCGATTCAGTGCTATTCCTATCAAGATACCAACATCATTCGTCACAGAACTAGAAAAAAAAATCCTAAAATTCATATGGAAAAAAAAAAAAAAAAAAGAGCCCAAAGAGCCAAAGCAAACCTAAGCAAAAAGAACAAAGTCAGAGGCATCACATTACCTGACTTCAAACTATACGTAAGGCCACAGTAACCAAAACAGCATGGTACTGGTACAAAAACAGACACATAGACCAATGGAACAGAATAGAGAACTCAAAAATAAAGCCATCCACCTACAGTCAGCTGATCTTCAACAATGCCAACAAAAATAAGCAATGGGGAAAGAACTCCCTGTTCAATAAATAGTGCTGTGATAGCTCTCTAGCCACATGCAAAAGAATAAAACTGGGCACCTACCTTTCACCATATACCAAAATTAACTCAAGATGAACTAAATATTTAAATGTAAGCCCTCAAACTATAATAATCCTAGAGAAAAACCTAGGAAACACCATTTTTGACACCAGCCTTGGGAAAGAATTTATGACTAAGTCCTCAGAACAATTGCAACAAAAACAAAATTGGCAAATGAGACGTAAATAAAGAGCTTCTGCATAGCAAAATAAACTGTCCACAGAGTAAACGGAAACCTACAAAATGGGAGAAAATATTCACAAACTATGCATCCAACAAAGGGCTAATATCCAGAATCTATAAGGAACTTAAACAGTTGACAGAAAAAACAAACAACTCCATTAAAAAATGAGCAAAAACATAAACAGACACTTCTCAAAAGAAGACATATAAATGGCTAACAAACATGAAAAAATGCTCAACATTACTAATCATCAGAAAGATGCAAATCATAACCACAATGAAATATCATCTCACACCACTCAGAATGGCTATTATTAAAAAGTCAAAAACAATGAATACTGGCGAGGGTGTGGAGAAAAGGGTATGCTTAAACACTGTTGGTGGGAATATAAATTAGTTCAGCCACTGTGGAAAGCAGTTTGAAGATTTCTCAAAGAACACAAATCAGAGCTACCATTCACTTCAGCAATCCCATTAGTGGGTATTCATCCAAAAGAAGATGAATTTTTCTATTAAGAAGGCACATGCATTTGCATGTTCATCACAGGACTATTCACGATAGCAAAGACATGGAATCAACCCAGGTGCCCATCAATGGTGGATTGGATAAAGAAAATGTGGTACATACATACCATGGTATACTATGCAGCCATATAAAGGAACAAAATCATGTCTTTTGCAGCAGCATGGACGCAGCTGGAGGCCATTATTCTAAGTGAATTAATGCAGGAACAGAAAACCAAATACCACATGTTCTCACTTTTAAGTAGGAGCTAAACAATGGGTACTCATGGACATACAGATAGGAAAAATAAACACTGGGGACTACTAGAGGGAGGAGGGAAGGGGGCAAAGGTTGCAAAACTATTGGGTACTATACTTAATAGCTGGGTGATGAGATCAGTTGTACCCCAAACTTCAGCATCATGCAATATACCCAGGTAACAAACCTGCATGCACATGTACCCCCGAATCTAAAATAAAAGTTAAAATTATAAAAATAAATAAATAAATAAATAAATATTGTAAAAAACAAACCAAAAAAACACAATGATATATTTAGGTTTATTTATTTTGTGTGTCAAAATAAATTCTTGTTTTACTCAGAAAAAATAAAGGATTTATCTGGGAGGTGATCTCAGGAGATACCAGTACGGTAGGTAGGGTAGAAAAACTGATGCAGAGTGGTTAATGAGCAGGTTATCACCATGGGCAACTGGGGCTCACCCCTCCCAGGGAATTCTGGGAGACCATGAAGAGCATGCCATAGAGCAGCCCCAGTCAAGGAGAATGAGGCTAGGTAGTTAGTTCTCAACTGCCATCTGTCTATTGGTTAAAGCTGCTCCAAGGGTAGTGTTGTGATTTGAGTATGGTTTGTCTGGTTCTGCCAAGTCTCATGTTAAAATTTGATCCCCAGCGTAGGAGGTGGGGACTGGTGGGAACTGTTTGGGTCGTCGAGGTAGATCCCTCATGAATGACTTGGAGCCATTCTCTCATTCTCTCAGGAGTGAGAGCTGGTTGTTAAAGAGCCTCCTCCCTCCTCCCTCTTCCTCCCTCCTTCCTCTTCCTCCTCCTCCTCCACCTCCTCCTCCCTCCTCCTCCTCCTCCTCCACCTCCTCCTCCCTCCTCCTCCTCCTTCTTCTCCTTGTCCTTGTCCTTCTCCTTCTCCTTCTTCTTCTTCTTCCTCTTCGTCTTTTCTCTCTCTCTTCCTCTCTCAGCATGTGATCTCCACACATGACGGCTCCCCTTCGCCTTCCACCATGAGTGGAAACAGACTGAAGCCCTCACCAGAAGTAGATGCCAGCACCATGCTTCTTGTACAGCCTGAGGAACCGTGAGCTGAATAAACTTTTTTTCTTTATAAATTACCCAGGCATAGGTATTCCTTTATAGCAACACAAATGGACTAAGCGAGTGTTAACTTCCTGGCACCCTGGCCTGCCCCAAGCACAGGCCAAACACAGCCCTAAGGCCAGTGAAGCCACAGTTAGACAGGTGGGGAGGCTGTGGTCTGAAGGACAAAGACCCCAGTCAATCAATCAATAGTTTGTGCCAGGCACAGTGGCTCACACCTATAATCCCAGCACTTTGAGAGCCTGAGGCAAGAGGATCACTTGAGCCCTTCTTCATTAAGAAGTTGTTGGCCTTAAGGGGACCGTGAGTGGAGAGGGAACATGGAAAATCATTAACAGCACTTGTGACAGGGACTACTACTCCCCTCGAGCTGGACACTCACTCCGCTTCTACATGAACAATGTTAGCACCCAGACATCTTATAAGCTAAGACTGAATCTGTGGTTTCAGAAAATAAACAACCCAGGGCTTGATCCCACAGATCAAGCGTTTGGTGCCCACCAGCACTTCCCATTACTTCATCCTGTACCAGTGCCCTTGGGTTTTGAATTAAATGTTGGGTCATGCATTTCTCCCTGGAAATTTTCACTGTTATGGTTTCAGCCCAAGACTCCAGCCTTTTGAAATCACCTGGTCTCTTGACTGGATTATCCATTGCACTAACTCTGCCTCCCTGCTTCAATCATGACCAAGTCTTAAATGTTGCCTTTTGTCTTTTTGTTTTCTTCAACTTTTTATGATACAAGCTATACCTATTCATAAGGAAAATTCATTAGAAAAATTAGATCAGTAAGATGAAGGAGAAAAAATTGCCTACTCTCCCATCACCCAGGGGTAGCTGCTGTTAATGTTGTAGTTTGTTTTCTTATAAAATTTTATGAATGCATGAAAATATTTTTTTCTACAAAAATGGGATCATATGATATATTATTTTACACTCCTCCCTTCAGAAGGTGAAATTTAATTCTCTTTCCCTCAAATATGGACTGGGCTTAGTGACTTACTTCTCACATATAAAAAAGAAAAAAATAATAGTTTTATAGTGGAAAAATCTGGCAAACACCACCTTAACCAAGTGATCAGGTTAAAATCACCACTGATAAGTCATGTTGATATCACATGCTCTCTGTTGCGATGCAATGAGAAGGGCACTTCGCCTCAGTGGCAATGTTCTTCCCCAACACCTGTAACTCTATCTAATCTTGAAAAAACATCAGACAAACCCTAGTTGAGGGACAGCCTCCAAAACATCTGGTAAGTCTTCTTCAAAAGTGTCAAGATCATGAAAACAAGAAAAGACAGAAATGGCCACAGATTGGAGAATACTAAGGAGACGTGACAACTAAATGCAATGGGTTATCCCAGACTGGATCCTGGAACAGAAAAAGAGCGTTATGGAAGACTGGTAAAATTTGAATGAAGTTGGTAGTTTAATAAATAAAATTATATGGTTACTAATATCTTAGCTTTGATAAATCATGGTTATGCAAGATGTTAATATTCAGGGAAGCTTGCATGAAAGGTATACCAGAACTCTCCGTGCCATCTTTGCAACTGTACTATAAATCTAAAAGGATTTCAAAATAAAACCATTGTTATTAATAAATATATACGTGCTAAACATCTTTCCAGTTCAGTTGAGATCCACAATAACATTTTTGATGGCTGCCCAGCATTTTATTATATAGAGATACAAAATTTTACTTAATCAATATCTAATGTTCCCCCTCAATGTTTCTATTTTGACAAACTGGCATGATAATTCTCTTAAATTTCCTTTGTGCACTGCCTTTAGGATAACTTTCAAAAGGTAGAATTTCTGGGTGCAATCTCTTTTCTAGTGTCTGGAAATACCTGCACCATTACTACCTAAAAAGCTTGTCTAAGGTGCAGTTGCTTAGCTGACACCCTGGATGAGCTGAACTCAGATATCTAGGAGTATAGGCCTAGGAATCTGCATTGTCACAAGCAGGGGCAAAGATTGTCATAGGCAGTATTGTTTGAGAAATATCGCTTTGGTCTTTGATAAACTAAAAAGGGTCGCAGATGCCATGGTTGGCCCAGGCCCTCCACAAGGCCTGCATTGACACCCCATGTACCAACTGGACTTTTGTAGGTGGGGAATCTGTGGTCTGAAGGATGAGGAGCCCAGTTAATTAATCAATAGTTAGTTTGGGCCAGGCACAGTGGCTCACACCTATAATCCCAGCACTTTGAGAGGCTGAGGCGAGAGGATCGCTGGAGCCCAGGAATTGAAGACCGGCCTGGGCAACAAAGTGAGACCCTCATCTCCTCATCTCTACAAAAAAAAAGAAAAAAAAAATTATCCAAATCTGGTGGTGCACGCCTGTAGTCCCAACTAATTGGGGTGCTAAGGTGGTAGGATCACTTGTGCCCAGGAGGTTGAGGCTGCAGTAAGCCATGTTCAGGTCACTGCACTCTAGCCTGAGTGACAGAGCAAGACCCTGTCTCAAAAAAAAAAAAAAAAAAGAAAAGAAAAAAGTTACTTCGGGGCCGTAGGCTTTGCAGAGTGTGCTGAGGGAAACATAGGCTGTGGCCACGGCAGTGGAGCTTTGCTCTTTTAAAATCCAAAAGCAGAGCTAAGTGGGAGAAGGTGGGTAGCTGAACTGCCCATCACCTCAGACTTCCTTCCCCTCTACAAACCCAGGAGCTGCCGGTGGATATCACCTCCCTTGCCTGGGCTTGAGAAAAGGGGAGAGTGGTGCTTCAATTTGTCAGAAAAGTGGTCTTTCCAGCTTTCTGGGTGACCAACTCATGCTGACTTGCCTGGGACTTTTTCCATTTTCACTGAGAGTCCTGCGTCCCGGGCAACCCTTTAGTCCCAGACAAACCTGGGCGTTTAGTTACCCTAAGTGGCCCAGAGAGAACCCTGGGCCCTAAATCAGAAATCTGGCCCTACTCAATGATGAGGATAGAACAAATCCCAGAGCTCTGAGGTTTGGAGGGTTAACCAAGGGGAGAAATCCAAGATGCTCCTGAGCCCTCAATCTGCCTGTTTCCACAGCACATCACTGTCTGCTTCCAACACCCTCTATGTGCCATGTCGTCTGTGTGGGCAGCTGTCTCACCCCTCTAGTCTCCTTCTAGGCATCAGCCAACACTTACTCAAATATTAAAATTCAGTTCCAGTATCACCTCCTCCAGGTATCCTTCATGTCTCTCCACAGGCTGGGTTAGATGGCAATGCCCCTGTGCTCCCTTTTTCAGGGAGCACTCAATCTCTCTCCAGGAGAGAATCACAAACACCAAATTCCTACTCTCCCACTTAACAGCTATGTGACATTGGGCACGTGACTCAACCTCTCTGAGCCTTAATAACAGTACCTACCTCCTAAAGGGAGCACGGGATTAGATTCAGTGAGATAATGTATGTGTATATTTAACTCCAGTCAGAGGAGATCCAGGTGTTGTGAGGCCTGAGGCTTACACAACTCAGGAACTCTCTTTAACTGATAAAACCCATAAAATTACCAATATAAAATTAGGTAAGAAAATGAATACTTAGGATAAGAAACAGCAACGAATTATAAATTTTTAAAAGCTGAGTGATATGGTTTGGCTGTCCCCACCCAAATCTCATCTTGAATTGTAGTTCCCATAATCCGCACCTGTAATGGGAGGGACCCAGTAGGAGTTAATTGAATCATGGGGCAGTTACCGCCATGCTGCTGTTCTCATGATAGCGAGTGATTTCTCACGAGATCTGATGGTTTTGTAAGGGGCTTTTCCCCCTTTTGCTTTGCACTTCTCTGTCCTGCTGCCCCATGAAGAAGGACATATTTGCTTCCCCTTCTGCCATGATTGTAATTTTCCTGAGGCCTCCCCAGCCATAATGAACTGTGAGTCAATTAACCCTTTTTCCTTTATAAATTACACAGTCTCGGGTATGTCTTTATTAGCAGCATGAGAATGGACTAATACACACCCAAGAAATTACAAAATCAAAAAAAAGCGTGTCGTTTTTATTAAATAACTGTCCCCTCTAAAAATACCTTTTCCCCTGATTTTTTTTGGCTGCTTCTCTTTGATTACCTCCTGACATGGCACCAAGTTTATAATGTTATTTTTCTCTAAAGCCAACAGTTGGATAATTTGGACTTTCCTCTACCATGGTTCATCAATTATTTTTCATTATCAATAGTTTTTTAAAGTTTCTTGTAGCTTCACAACTCATCGCTGGTAAGGTCATGTACATTTTTAGGACTATTGTCAAATTTAGGAATCTCCTCTGAAGCCGACAAGTTTCAGGGTTTTGTGTTTTCTTATGCAGTGACCCATCTTTAACTATGCTTTGGGTTGACGGTGCTCATTAACCAGTTTGCCATTCACATAATCATCATGGTGGCGCACTAGGAGGCCAATGCCATCACATCTGACAAGAGATAACATTCATTGTGTTGAGGCATTGAGTTAAACAGAATCCTTCACTTACAATTTCATGTGTCTAGTAACTGGAGGAAATTTCCTCAGAATATATTTCAAATCTTGTTTTTCCTCCTTCCATCATGCAGTTCCATTGTGAGTGCTGTGGCTTGTGTTTCACATCGTGTGACAACCTGTGGCCCTGCATCTCCCAGACACAGTGCCAGGTGAGTCAGCTGTGTGGGTGGCAATTGAATTCTTGAAAGTCATTCTTACACTGGGACATCCAGCATAACTTAGCTAAGCCCCAAAGTGACGGTGAACCACATCCCTCCACATCCAATAGCATGAGTGACCAGTTCATCACCACCTTGGCCAGATCCCTGAACTGCCTGTGACTACTGCAACTGCACCCCACCCTAAGGGCAGTGTGACAGAGCAGGCATCACAGTGGAGAAACATGGTGGTTTTCATGGGTTGTTATTAAAATATCTTGCTTTTGTAAATTTACAAACACATGGCACCCTGGGTCCCAGGGCCTTGGAAGAAGCCTGTGTAAGGGAAGGGAACTCAAGCTTACATTTAGTTAGCTTCACAAAGATCAGTCCTGCTTCCAGCAGCAGGTGACAGAATATCCAGCTCAAAGTGGCTCCCAAAACAAGAAATCTTACTGACACACATAACTGAAATCAGAAATGAGCAGTCTGAGGAATTCATCCGTAGTTTCTCATGTTCACCAGAGACCCAGGCTCTCTCTGCATTTCCTCTCTGCCTTCTGCAGAGCCAGCTTTGTCTTACACCTGGATCTCCTGCAGTGCTTGAGATGGCTGTCAGGAGCCACCTGTCTTTCTGCCTCCTTCAAGAACTACTATAGACCCTTCAACCACCCTCTACTTGAGTCTCATTGACTTA
Organism: Homo sapiens; assembly: GCF_000001405.40. Classification (NCBI taxonomy): domain Eukaryota; kingdom Metazoa; phylum Chordata; class Mammalia; order Primates; family Hominidae; genus Homo; species Homo sapiens. The sequence continues at coordinate 41,052,791 of NC_000003.12, read as the reverse complement.
AAATGGGTCACTCACTGGTCTTAAACCGATCGTAGGCCAGGCCATAGGGATTACTTCTAGCCCATCAAGTCCATGCCTGGAGCTGAGATCAAGGCTCCAATCCTCACTGCTACTCCTCCATGGGGATGGAGGAGCCAAGCTGTCAGAGTCTCACAAAGGTCAGAGGTCATCCACAGTCAGTAGCCTACAGGGAACACACAGAGTCATTTTCAACACTCTTTCTGTGGAAAGATGCCTTCAGAGCTCCAAACCATCTATTCACTCTTTTGTTTATTAAATAAGCTTGTACAGATGCCTACTGGGGCCAGGCCCTGTGCTATAAACTGGGAAATCAAGATGGGACTCAGATATAGCCCTCACCCTTCAGTGAACAGTCTAGTTCAGGAGAAATGAGAGCATATCACTGCAATAGAGAATGAGAAGCTCAGCCTAAGCACAAAAGAAGGTCCAGGAAAAACTTCGAAGAGAAACACCACTAGATCATCTTTGAGGAGAAAGAGTGAGGGAGAGGATGTGACAGGCAGAATGATCCAATTGTGCAAAGGCCTAGGGTATAGACAAGGGCATGTGTGGATCCACATGGCTGGAGGATGGGGAGAACTTGGTGTCTGCTGGGTAAGAACTGCCTCCCACCTTCCAGTTGGAAGTGAGCACATCATGTAGGTCTTTGTGCTGGGCTTTGGGCCTGGGCTTCACCCTGAATGTGATGAGTGGCCAATGAAGATTATTCAGTCAGAGAGCAACACAGTTAAATTCAGATTTAAAAGCCTGCTTTTTAAAGTAGGTATGGAGGAGTGATGGGAGGAACACCATTTAGGAGTTGAGCAGAAATTATTTCAAATTCTGCTTAGTTGGCTGGAGTGGTATTCCCTCTGAAACAGACACCTCCCAATTCCCCAACACACACATGTGCACGTGTACACACACACACACACGGAGCTTCTACCAACCACTTCTGAGAGAACCCTAAACACCACCAAAAGTAGCTTCTTTCCCGGTGTTGGCCATTGTCAGCCATCTCACAGCTCCTGGTGTGTATGTATGTTAGTGTGTATGTGTGTGTATTGGGGGTTGGTAGGGGCTGATCAGGAACCAGCTTCTACCTCTCACTACTTGATGCTCAGACTCTCTGCAAAGAGACCTGGAATCGTGTATGAAACAGAAACTGAGCCCTTAGTGTCCCTTTGAAACTCCCTCTGTCTCTTGAAAACCCTGAAATGGCGAAAGATAAGGATGGGACAAGGAGAGAGTACCAGCTTTGCACTCAGTCACTATATGATCTTGAGATAGATGTTTTATGTTCCCAAGTTTCTGTTTCCTCATGTGTAAAATGGGAAAGAGTATTCTCAGTTTTACCTACTTCCTGGGAGACTAAAATGGAACTAAGAGAATAAATTGCTGGAATGGAAGAGCTAAATGTTTCTTTTTAGGAATATCTGTGTGGAACAGGCATATAACAATATTAATAACATTTAATTTATTGTTATGTATGTGAATAACATTTATTGAGTACTGTCTTTGAGCCAGGCAACTTCATTACCCCTTTTAATTCTCAAATGACAGATAAGGAAGGGGATGGCCCAGAGGGGTTAACCAATGTCCTCACAGTCACAGGCCTGGTTAGGGGCAAAGCCAAGATTCTAACTCAGTGCTATCTGGCTCCAGTGGTGCTCTATTGTTACCGCTCCAGTGGTGCTCTATTGTTACCACTCCAGACTGTCAGCTGAGAACAACTTAGAAGTTTTATGATTTTCACTCCAAACAAAATTTAAACCGGAATGGCATATACCATTTCCACACTCTTGGAAAAGACAAGAGGTCCCCATATATCAGGTACGTATTTGGAGCAAACCAAGACTTAACAGGATCTAACTTCAGAAGAGTAAGAGTAACTTCCAGGGGGCAGAGCAAGATGGCAGAATAGAAGGCTCCACCCATTGTCCTCCAAGCAAGAACACAATTTTAAAAACTATTTATACACACACACAAAAAAACCTTGATAAGAGCCAAAAATCAGGTGAGCACTAAAAACAGTCTTTTTCCTGTCTCTGAAGGGTAAGTCCCAGGCCAGGCACACCACTAACTGACTGAAGAACCCTTGGACCTTGAGGGAACATTGGTGGTAGCTTGGCAATACTCTCTGTGGGCCTGTGGTGGTGGCGGCCACAGGTGAGGCTCCTTTGACTGTGGAAATGGGAGGGAAGAGTGGGAAGGACTGTGTCTTGTAGTTTGAGCGACAGCTCAGCCACAGTACAATAAAACACCACGTAGACATCTATGGTTTTTGACTCTAGTTCCTGGCTGGAGCATGGTACCTCGATAGCTGCCCAGGGCCTGGAAGAACTCACCACCCTAAAGGAAAAGACACAGGCTTGACTGGCTTTGCCACCTGCTGATTGTAGAGCCCTAGGGCCTTGAATGAACATAGGCGGTACCCAGGGAGTGGTTACAGCAAGCCTTGGGTGAGATCCAGCACTTTGCTGGCTTCAGATCTGTCCAAACACAGTACTAGTGGTGGTGGCCACAGGGATTCTTGTGTCACTCTACACCCAGCTTCAGATGGGTCAGAACAGAGAAAGACACTCCGTTTGTTTGGGAGAAAGTAAGGGAAGAGAACAAGAGTCTCTGCCTGGTGACCCAGAGAATTCTGGATCTTCTCCAAGACTACCAAGGCAGTAAATCTATGAGTCTGCAAGGACCACAGCATTAGTGGGCTTTAGATAGACCCCTCACAACACCCAAGTCCTTTAGAATATATGGAATGCCTTCCTTTCCAAGAAGGATGAGTACAAACAAGTTCAGACTGTGAAGACTATAATAAATACCTAACTCCTCAATGCCCAGACACAGACAAAAAATCGATAAGTATCAAGACAATCCAGGAAAGCAAGACCTCACCTAAAGAACTAAATAAGGCATCAGGGACCAATCCTGGAGAAACAGAGATAAGTGACCTCTCAGAGAATTCAAAATAGCTATTTTGAGAAAACTCAAATTCAAGATAACACAGAAAAGGAATTCAGAACTCTATCAGACAAATTTAACAAAGAGATTGAAATAATTACAAATAATTAAGCAGAAATTAAGCACACCCCACCTTCAGTATTGGACAGATCTTCCAGACAAAAAGTCAACAAAGAAACATCAGACTTAATCTGCACTATAGATCAAATGGACTTAATAGATATTTACAGAACATTTCATCCAACAGCTGCAGAATACACATTCTTTTCCTCAGTACATCGATCATTCTCAAGTATAGACCATACATTCAGTTACAAAACAAGTCTTAAAATATTCAAAATGTGGTGGCTCATGCCTGTAATCCCACCACTTTGGGAGGCCAAGGCAGGCGGATCACCTGAGGTCAGAAGTTTGAGACCAGCCTGGTCAACATGGCAAAACCCCATCTCTACTAAAAATATAAAAAATAGCTGGGCATGGTGGCACACCATTGCAATCCAGCCTGGGTGACAGAGTGAGACTCCATCTCAAAAAAAAAAAAAAAATTAAATAATATCAAGCATCTTCTCTGACCGTAATGGAATAAAAGTAGAACTCAATAATGAGGAATTTTGGAAACTATACAAACACATGGAAATTAAACAATATGCTCCTGAATGACCAGTGGGTCAGTGAAGAAATTAAGAAGGAAATTAAAAAATTTCTTGAAACAAATGATAATGGAAACACAACACATCAAAACCTATGGGATACAGCAAAAGCGGTACTAAGAGGCAACTTTATAGCTACAAGTGCCTATATAAAAAAAAAAAAGAGGAAAAATGTCAAATAAACCACCTAACAATGCATGTTAAAGAACTAGAATAGCAAGAGCAAAGAAACACAAAAATAGTAGAGGAAAAGACATAATAAAGATCAGAACAGAAATACAGGAAATTGAAAAGAAGAAAACAATACAAAACATCAATGAAACAAAAAGTTGGTTTTTTTTAAAGTTAAACAAAATTGACAAACCTTTAACCAGGCTAAGAAAAAAGAGAGAAGACCCAAATAAGCAAAATCAGAGGTGAGAAAAAGACATTACAACTGACACTGCAGAAAGTCAAAGGATCATTAATGGCTACCATGAGCAACTATATGCCAATAAACTGGAAAATCTAGAAGAAATGGACAAATTACTAGATACATACAACCTACCAAGATTGAACCATGAAGAAATTCAAAAGCTAAACAGATCAATAACAAGTAATGAGATAGAAGTCATAATAAAAATTCTCCAAGCAAAGAAAAGCCCTGAACTGATGGCTTCACTGCTGAATTCTACCAAACATTTAAAGAAGAACTAATACCAATCCTACTCAAACTATTCTGGAAAATATAGGAGGAGGAAATACTTCCAAACTCATTCTATGAGGCCAGTATTACCTTGATGCTAAAACCAGAGAAAGACACATAAAAACAACAACTACAGGCCAATATCTCTGATGAATATTGTTGCAAAAATCCTTGACAAAATACTAGCAAACCAAATTCAACAATACATTAAAAATATTATTCACTGTGATCAAGTGAGATTTATCCCTGGGATGCAAGGATAGTTCAACATATGCAAATCAATCAATGTGACACATCATATCAACAGAATGAAGGACAAAAACCATATGATCATTTCAATGGATACTGTAAAAGCATTTGATAAAGTTCAACATCCCTTCATGATAAAAACCCTCATGAAACTGGGTATAGAAGAAGCATACCTCAACATAGTAAAAGCCATATATGAAAGACCCACAGCTAGTATCATACTGAATGGGGAAAAACTGAAAGCCCTTCCTCTAAGATCTGGAACATGACAAGGATACCCACTCTCACCACTATTATTCAACATAGTACTAAAATTTCTAGCTACAGCAATCAGACAAGAGAAAGAAATAAAGGGAAAGGAAGAAGTTAAATTATCCTTGTTTGCAGATGATGTAATTTTATATTTGGAAAAACCTAAAGACTCCACCAAAAAACTATTAAAACAGATAAACAAATCAAGTAAGGCTTCAGAATACAAAATCAAAAACCAAAAATTAGTAGCATTTCTATATGCCAACAGTGAACAATCTGAAAAAGAAATCAAGAAAGTAATCCCATATACAATAGCTACAAATAAAATTAAATACCTAGCAATTAACCAAAGAAGTAAAAGATTAGAAGTAAAAGATTACTATAAAACACTGATGAAATAAATTGAAGAGGACACCAAAAAAATGAAAAGATATTCCATGTTCATAGATTGGAAGAATCAATATTGTTAAAATGTCCATGCTACCCAAAGCGATTGACAGATTCAGTGCAATCCCTATAAAAAACAAAAACAAAAACCAATGACATTCTTCACAGAAATAGAAAAAACAATCCAAACATTTCTATGGAATTACAAATGACCCAAAATAGCCAAAGCTGTCCTAAGCAAAAAAACAAAACGGGAGGAATCACATTACCTGACTTCAAAGTATATGACAGAGGTATAGTAACCAAAACAGCATGGTACAGATACATAGACCAATGGAACAGGATAAAGAACCCAGAATCTAATCCACACACCTACAGTGAACTCATTTCCAACAAAGATGCCAAGAATTTACAGTGGGGCAAAGACAGTCTCTTTAATAAATTGTGCTGGGAAGACCAGATATCCACATGCAGAAGAATGAATCTAGACCCCTGTCTCTTGCCATATACAAAAATCAAATCAAAATGGATTAAAGACTTAAATCTAAGACCTCAAACTATGACACTTCTGCAAGAAAACATTGGGGAGACTCTCCAGGACATTGATCTGGGCAAAAAATTTCTTGAGTGATACCCCACAAGCACAGGCAACCAAAGCAAAAATGGACAAATGGAATCACCTCAAGTGAGAAACCTGCCGAGCAAAGGGAACAATCAACAAAGCGAAGAGACAACCCACAGAATCGGAGAAAATATTTGCAAACTATCCATCTGACAAGGGGATAATAACTAGAATATATAAGGAGCTTAAACAACTCTGTAGTAAAAAAATCTAACTTTTTAGATTTAATTGGATTTTTAATCCAATTTTTAAAATGGGCAAAAGATCTGAACAGACATTTCTTAAAGAAAGACATACAAATGCTAAACAGGCATATGAAAATGTGCTCAACATCATTGATCATCAAAGAAATGCAACTCCAAACTACAATGAGATATCAGTGAGAGTGTGTCAGAACTTTTGGGATTAAGTTCTTATCTTCATTGTCATGAGAGGTATGTGTGAGCTGTCATTCTGGGGCCCTGGCAGTGGATCTTTTAGGAAAGCCAGGTTCCCATATCTCTAGCTTTCTGGACCAGCCTATAAACTTGGTCTTTAGCAATCTCTGCACCACTCTCTGGGGAAACTGGAGGAAGGGGGCTCACTGCTTTCTAGTCAGGGCCTGTATTGGAGAGAACAAATTCGAGTCAGCTCTGTAACTCTGAGTTTGAAAAGATACAAATCACAATGGAAATTCTGGCCAAGCATAGTCCTGTTGGAGCAGTATGTATGTGTTACTTCTTCCAGCACTCCTCCTTAGTTACCAGAAATGTGCTCTTATGCCCTAATGAGAACCCCAAGGGTTTATAAATTTCCCCTGGCCTAGCTGGAGACTCTCTGAAGACAGAAGAGGTTAAAAATGTGTCTTAAGCTTCAGGCAATTATAGCAACCTTGCAGAACCCCTGACACCAAGGGGATTTATATTGGATTTTCTCTAATATTAACATGATCGAGTACAGTTGAGCACAGGTCTAAGGGGCACCTGGTTCTCCAGGAAAGTATCTTCTGGTTTGGGACTTAAAGAAGACAATATGATGCTTGGGGTCCAGACTTTGCCAGAAAAATATAATCAGGACATGAAAGAGCCCAAGAATTAGAGCCTCACGCTCCTGTTTTTAACACCTGTGCTGAAGGGAGGCTTTGGAGAGACAGAGGTCACACACACAACTTCATTCACAGAATGTCCTGAAGGAGAGAGCAGACCTTTTCCACTCAAGCCAGTAGTACATCATGGGGGCAGAAGGAAAGGCTGGAGACCCTCCGGGGGGGTCTACAACAGCGGTGGATCTCAAAGTGTGGCCCCAGGATCAGCTGCATTGGCATTTCCTGGGAAGTTGTTAGAAATGCAAATTTCTGGCCTCCAACCCGAGCTGCTGAATAAGAGACTCTAGGGGTAGAGCCCAGCAATCCGTGCTATTACTAAGTTCTGAAGGAGACTGTGATACCTACTTACATTTGAGAACCACTATTCTACAACAAACAAGGGAGACTGGATCCAGCCTTCAGATGCACTTTTATTGACCAGTGTAGTGTTTTGAACATTTTTAAACTAGTTTCCAATGTTTCAAAATGGGTTTTTTTTTTCATGAAAATCCACATTTCTGGCTTTTCTTGGGGAAAAAAAATAGGAAAATCTAGACACAGAGGACTCACACACCTATTTGGAAATAATTGTCTGGAGCTGAGAAGAGGCTGCCACTCTGAGAAAGGTCACAAGCCCTCCTGGGAGCAGCGGCCCCTCATTACCTATCTCACTGGCCAGCTTTGCTTCTTTCCACCTGGAGGCATTTGAGCCATTGGCCTGTGATCTATATAATGTCTGGTGTCATCTCAAGCTGAAGTTCATTCAACACACATTAGCTGAACGCTGAGACTTTCTGCTGCCCTCATAACCTTCTCTCCCTGACCCTTATAATTCTCTTCCTACCCCAACCTCAACTCCTTCTACCTTTTGCTCAGATAGAGAAAAAGGAACAGACTTAGTGTTCCCAGACTTAGCACAATATCCAGAGCACAGCCATGGGGGTCAGTTAATATCAGCGAGAAAGAGGTTTATTTGTTTAACCTTCACTCCCCTCTGGTCTTACTCTTGAGAAAGTGATCTCATTATTGCATTCAGAAAGGAAGGGACGGTGCTCTTCTGTTAGGCTTAGAAGGCTTTTATCTATGGTTTGTGGCTCACAGAGGTGGACAAGCTCATCTTTCAGCAGCGGGTGGCCCCTCAGACGGATTGCCTGGGACATTTGATACTCATCGACTATCTTCTCTGTGCCAGACACTGGGCTGGGCTCCCAGGAAATACAGGAGATGGGATCCTTTGTCTTTTTCTTTTGGAGAGGGTTGGCAGGTCAGCAGGTGAAGGCCAGCCTTGCACTATCAACCCCAAACATGTGGTCCTAAACGCTCCCTTGCTGGTGGCAGACACACTACCCTTTATAAAGTAATTCCTTTGGCTCTTTGCTGTGTCTGTTTTCACAAAGGTAAATATTTCTACATGGGGTCCATTAGGTCAATTGGTGATCCAGCAAGGTGTAGGTTCTGGGGAAAGAATAAAAATAAAAATTGGAGTGTGAGGGGCGTGAGCAGAGTACATGTGTAGGAGGGAGGGCATATTGGCAAAAGTGCACTTGACTTTTTCAGGTTGGCCCTGACCTGGGTGCCCAAGGTACCCTCAACTGAAGACAAACTTTCTCATTTGTGAATGTACATCTCTAAGGCAGCTTGTGAGCCATGTACTCACTGGGTCTCACTCTCCACGGGGATCCAGTGGTGACTGAGTAGGAATGGGGCAGAGCAGAAACAGCGCAGGATTTTTCTGATGGGTGCCTGTGGCCTCTGACTACTTACTGGGGCCTATTCATTCAAGGAAGCAGAGGTGAAAAAGGTGAGGTAGGGCCTGGGGCCAGGTGGAGCTGTGGGGATGGGGATTGTGACAGGAGGCTGACATAAGAGTGAGGTCAGGGAGGGGAAAGATGGAAAAGGGGTCTGGATGAGGGTCCAGGGACAAGACAGAGCCACTGAATGATGAGCTCCACGATGGTGCTCCCTCCAGCTTGACTGGCCTCTCGTGGCTATGGGCAGCCATTGAATGGCGCCTGCCATCAGCAGCCACATTCTTCAAAAGGGATGGGAGGTGGAGAGCAGGCAGGAGGCATAGGAATCAGGAAAAGTAGTCATTAAATGAAAGCTTCACCTCAACCCTGCAAAGCTTGAGATTATATTCCCATGTGGATCAGGTATCGGTTGAGGTCAGTTTATCCTTTGCAACCAAGCAGAGATGGCTCTACCTCTGTTGCCAGCCTACTCCTCTCACCATGCTGTCTGTGATGCCCTGGCGCTGGAGTGCTTGTGGCCATTTCTCAACTCCCATTTTCACCTCCACTCACCTCCTAGGGCCACTTTCCTCCCGCTGCTCTGTGCTGACTCTTCTCCTTGTCCCATGCCCAACCTCCCTCCTATTTTGCCCTAAACCACTTTTTTTGTGTGTGTGAGTAATGGACTTTTTCACATGTTTGGGAGCTGCAGATAGTTTTTATTACAAACAGTGCAAAACAATACTAGCTATTCTTGATGTTAAAAGTTTTCTCTTTACCAGACCAGTGCCCACACCTCCTCTTCCCATCTCAGTTTCTCGTCTCTGCCTTCCCACCTGATTATCTCCCAGGCCCAATATTGCTGATACATTTTTCATGCAGAGCATGTTAGTGACCACCTCGTTTCATGGTCTTCTTACAGACCATTCTCTGGGAGTCTCACCCTCCTTACCCAAAGTGGCCCATCACTTTGTAGTTTCTTGAACAAATATGAGAGATGCTGTTGCCAGCCAAAATGCTACAACCATTTTACAGGTAAGGACCCTGAGGCTCTAACAAAGTAAGCAACCTGGTTGGACACAGTTTCTGGGCTACTTGGGGGAGAATTCTGAAGGGGATCCCTGCCCACCAGGAGGCTGGAGATATGGAGGGGCTGGCTGTGGTGTGGCGGGGTCTTGCCCTGCTCTTCTCCCCCTCAGGACATGAGGCTCATCTCCTCCCATTGCTTGCTCTTTCCAAGCAAGGTCGTGCAGGGAGGCTCTGATGCACTCGGCTTCCTATTAATTTGCTCTCTGGGGAGAATAACCAGGGGTGTTGGGTAGGGCCAAAGTGCTGCGCTGTCAGCAAGTTCCATCTCTGCAGCGATAGACAGCCCAGCACACTTTTCTCAGTTTAACACACCGACGGGTACATTGTACCTCATAGCTCAGAATCAATAAAGTCAAGGCAATTTCCTTAACATGCCATCAATAAGAGATTATGGAAGGGGGAGGGTTTTCTTTAGAAGCTAATGCCTTACGAAAGTTCAAATGAGGCAATATATAGTAAAATAAATTCAATCTCTATTTTCACTCCTTGCAATTTTAGTGGAGACTAAATGAAATGGAACTGTGTTGATCCTAACCCGTTCAATATATCTTCACTTTCTAAGAACCAAGGTCATTTTTACCTTCATGGGAAGGGAGGCAAAATATAAAATACTCACCCATACTGAACAGAAATGCATTTGCAGGTTTTTGAAAGCCAGGTAGATGACTGATATATTATGTAATTCATTTCATGGCACAGCCGAATGTGTTTTATAGATAGTGTTTAACCTTGCCAATTCTGCTCGGAGATAATCCCCCTTCTGAGGATAAAAATCATATATTTAACATAAAGGGAAAGGTTGGGAGGAGAAACAAAGCATAATGTATCCTATACAACAGATAACCAGAAGTTGCTTACACAGAAAGAGGATCAGAGCAGGTTCATTGCTGCTTTGCCTTATTAGCTAATCATCATGTTATGCTAATCAGGAGTGAGGTGATAACCTCTTGAGTGGCACTGTGGCAGTGTGCTGCTGAATGACAAAATGCACCCAATGCTGTGTGGCAGGCTGGCATGTGGGCAATGACACATACCACAGCGGGACAGACCCTGGATTGAATTCCTGCTCTATGCAGTGTGCCATCTATGGCCTGGAGTAATTTACTTAACCCCTCTTAGCCTCAGCTTCCTTGTGTGTGAAATGGGAGTAACAACACTCACTCCAGTAGATAACATTGGTTATTTACCTATCATCCATTTCCCTTCCTCCTCCTTTCCAACAGAATCACGATTTCATTCAGCTTTTCCCAACTTTTACTTCCAAAGAGAAATCGTGATTCATCTCAAGCAGTATATGAAAGTCCGTGGCACTGTTAATGGTTCAGAGAAGGGCATGTGCTCCCAGTTGGTCCAATTAGACTGGAAGAGAGATATTTTTACTTTCTCCTGGGGGGATATGAGCAAGGAAACACATTGTCCCAATGGCCACTGGTCACTGTCTTGCATCCACACAGGAAACTAGACGACGTGAAGGCTGACACATCAAGTGAGAGAAGCAAACACTGAGAGGGAAAGTCCCTAAGTCCTTAATAACCTCACTGACTGTGCTGGTCCTGGAAACAACTGTTTTCTGGACTCTCAGGTATAGATAAATATTATTTATCTTAAAATCAATCATGAATTTATTTTCCTTATTTTATTCTTATGTATTTATTTTTTTCATCTTCTCAGAGCAAGAAAGGAATTATCAAGCCATTTCCAACTGGGGTTTTTTGTTACCAGCAGTCCAATACATTCTAACTGATAAACTACCTCAAAGAACTATTGCAAAGATTAAGGGGGAAAGGTCTGTATATAGGGCTGTCCAGTGGACACCTCCGTGATAATAAAAATGTTCCGTGTCTACACTGTACAATTGAGCAGCCACAAGCCACACATGACTGTTGAGCACTTAAAATGTGGCTAGAGTAACTGAAGAACTGAATTTTACATTTATTTAATTTTCATTAATTAAAATTAGAAATTTAAATAGCTCCATGTGGTTACTGGCCACTGTGTTGTCCAGCACAGATCTATAGAATCATCTGGTACAGTATCTGAAACCTAGTAGGGGTCAATGAATGTTGGCTTCTCGTGTCCCGTGTAACCCCTCCACACCTCTCTGAAAACTTACTTGGTCACAAATGTCTCAACAGGCAGCAACAAGAGCAGGAGGCATTAATTTTGGAGGTAAGGGGAGCCAAGTGTTTGAAAGAGAACTAGATTTGAGGGTCAGACCTGTATAGATGTTTCCAATAACAGTGTTTGAACTTTGTTCCTAGTCTAGTTATCCGGTGAAGCCAGGACTCTGTGTTGTTGGAGGCCCAAGAAAAAGCCACTTCTTGCCATTGTATATCCTTTGCCAGTGTTATCCTTTGGGCTGCATAAGAAGCTGGTGTGCAGATAAGTACTGACTTAGGACTTAGCAGAACACTTCTAGACAATTTAACAAGCCAGTGAGTATGATAAGTGTCTCCTAAGAGCCTCAGCCTTCTGAGGGCTCATATCTATGAAGCAGCTGAGGCTTGGGTGGTATGTTCTGTGCTGTGACCATTTTAGCAACCATCATGGCAGATAATGTCACCTCATAGAATGGCCTTCAGAAGGAATTCTGGGCTGCAGGAGTTGGGATCTTTCACTGGGTGACTGGGACCAATGTTTGTTTCCTGCAAGTCATGTTCATTGTCATTTGCTAATTCACTTCCTATCCTCGTCTTTATTCCTCTACCAACCCCATCTTCCCCTCTACGTTCAACTTGGTACCACTTGGCAGCTGTTTTATTGACAGAGGGAAATATTAGGGTACTCATAACCCAGCCAGTGAAATATCAATGTCTAACATGGTTGGGGAAAAGAAAGAACTTACTACATCTCCCAATCCTATCAGGACTGAAGGTATGGTGTGCCCAGAGGCTGACTCAGTGCCACAGGCTCTGAGGGAAAGTGTGCTGTTGTTGGCTCCCCAGTACCTAGGCATGTTGGATTCAGAATTGTCTGCATTTGGGGGGTATTTATTCTTTTAAACAACATTTTCATTAAGATGTAACAAAATAAAGTGCACAAATCTTGAGTGTACATCTTGACGACTCTTTGACGACGATACGTGCACCTTGTAACTCCCTCCCAGAATAAGAAATCCCAGCCCATATCTTCCCTCAAAAGCAATCACTTTTCTTATTTCTGTCTCTATTGATTGGTTTTGCCTGTTCAAGAACTTTGCATTATTAAATCATGCAGTTTCTCTGCTCAAAATGTTGTCTGTGAGGTGAATCCAGATAGTTGCATGTAGCAAAGTGTGTTCTTTTCCATTCCCATATTGTACTCCACTGTATTGAATATACCAAACTTTATTTATCCATTCCACTGTCTCTGGACATTTGGGCTGTTTCCAGTTTTTGGTTATTATGAATAAGCCACTACATACATGTTTGTACATGTGTTTGGCAGACATATGCATGTAGTTTAATTGGGTTTATATTCATTAGTGGAATTGCTGGATTATAGGCTGTGTATGTTCAGCTTTAGTAGATACTGTCAATGTTTCCCAAAGTGATTAAACTGATTTACACCCCCATAAACAATGTATGTAAGTTACAGTTTCTCCACATCCTCACCCAAACTTAGTTATGTCAGTCGTTTTAGTTTTAGTTATTCTTGTGTGTTTGGCAATTCTGGTGCAAATATATTACCAGATTTTGAAGCTCAAAGACAGAGGTTGGAAAAATATTGCCTGCAGGACAAATCCAGCTCACTATTTTTGTACACACAGTTTTATTGGAACACAACCACGCTCATTGATTTATAAATTGTCTATGACTGCTTTCGCACTTAAACAGTCAAGCTGAACACTGCAACAGAGTCCATATGGCCCACAGTCCTTAAAATAGCTGGCCATTTATAAAGTTTGCTGACCCCTGCTTAAAGTAAGTAGTTCATGAAAAAGACGGTTTCAGTCATCATTGTAGACATCTTGTTGCTGTTTTCGTGGCTGTATGGGGCAGGCAATAAGGCCCAACTGCCCAGCTGTTATGCCTTGGTACTATGATGCTAGAATGTTTTACAGAATGCGGAGATATTTATCCCCTCAGCCCTCAAGGCAGCAGAACAGAGCTTGGGGCAGTCAGAGTTCCTGGGATGATCTTTGATTTTGAGCAGCCTCAGTGGTTTGTCCCAGTGTGTTGTGTAAACACAGTTTTCTGTGTGTACCATGACTTTTAAAAGTTTGGGAGACCCTAAGACAGTCCACATCAGCAGTCTTCATTTTCAGAAGCCTGCCAACTGGCTTCTACTTGTTTCTGCGCACTGAAATAACAAATCCTGGTTTTTAAAACATTTTTCTCAAGTCTTCATTTTTTCTTAATCTCTTTGTGGTATTGGATACTGTTTGCTATCCCTTCTGCAAAACACTTGTTCATCTTGCCTATATATTAATTTTAACACTGGTTAACATTCATTGAATCCCTACTATGGGACATAAGATTGACATACAGCATCTTAGCTGTTTATGACAACAACCAGACATAGTAGGTATTGTCACCCAGACTTAGAGTTGAGGAAATGGTTCCAGCAAGTCTCAGTTCCCAGCTGGTAAGTGGAAAAGCAGGGATTCAAGCCTGGGTCCATGGGATTTGACTGTCAATACTCCCTAGAAGGTCAGTTGTTACCTTTCACTGCATGATCCTGTTGCTGTTCCTCCAATTTTAAAGATACTCTTTTGTTTTTGGCTTTTGTTCCTTCTGCTGTCCCCTAACTCTTGTTTCCCCCAAGGCTCAGACCTTAATCTCCTCTTTTTACTATATACTCTTTCCTTTAAGGTCTGACTTATGGTTTTAACTTTAACTTTGATCCTGAATGTGAATTAATATGGATTTTTCTGAGGGTGCTATGAAGACTTTACTTATGGTTTCTCATTAAGTCCTCAACATAACCCTGAAGGTCAATGCTGCACTCACTTCACAGAGGAGAACTGAAACTGAGAGGGGATTATTGACCTGGCTGAGGGGCATTCAGTTGGAGGGTGATGAGAGACAGGACACCTCAAACCCAGCTCTGTGGTGACCCCAAAGCCCATGAGTATGTAGGACAACCCCCACCCCACCTGCATTTCAGAGGTATCTTTGAATTTGAGATTTAGGAAAAAAGCCTTCAAATTCATTCATTCTGCGAAGAAGCACTGAGCCCTTGATATGTGCAAAAAAAAAGCATCAGAGGAGGCACAAAAAAAGGTGCAAGAGAAGTAGGAGAGGAAGGTTGAGTGTCAGTCAGGTCATTTCCCTGCTTCCTCCTTCTGGATCTAGTTTTCTCATCTGTGAACGAAGGGCTGCACCTGTGAACAAAGGGTTGTACCAGATCGGTGTTTCTCAGAGGAAGGTATTAATAGAAGGCCACGTGCATTAAAATCCCAAAGGTACTTATTAAAAATGCAAATTCTCAACCTTACTTCTTACAACTTCCCTACTTCCTACAGGATATGTCTGTTTATATATTTCATCAAGAACTTGAATACAACATGTCTAAAAGCAAACTCACCTTTCTACTTTCCTGCTTCGTGCAAGTTCTGCCTTATAGATTCTCTGTTTCCCACTGTTCTGTTGGCACCTATGTTGATGGCTACAAGTCACCCTGGTTTTTAGATTCCCCAATCTGTACCTACATGCTGCCACCCAACCCCACTAGATTTTGACATCTCCTGTTTATATATTCATGCTTCAGGTCTTGGTAATGCTTTTTCTATTTCCTGACACCATGCACAACCATCTAGATTACAGCCCCTTTATCTGAGTCTCCAGCAATCCTTGCCTGTCCATTTCTTCTGAAATTTAGTGAAGTGTCATCTGCTTTCACCTATCTGATTTTGTATCCACTGGGGCTTGTACATGTCCCATCAGGTCAGCGTAGACCATTCATTATCATCTCTTATGGTGGCTCTCAAACTTGCCTGAGCCTTGGAATCAAGTGCAGTTTTTGCCCAAGCAGGTTTCTGACCAACATCTGATTCAGTGAATCTGAAGTAAGCTCAAGCATTTGCATTTTATTTTATTTTTTATTTTTTTATAAACACAGGATAAAGTCTGCAAGGAATTTGCATTTTAACAAGTACCTTTGGGATTCTAGTACAGCTGTCCCTCTACCTCACTTTGAGAAACACTGATCTGATATACCTGTGCGTTCTCAGGTGCACCTCTTCCTTCACAAAGGAGAGCCCAGAGACCCGAAGGAGGTGGGGAAGAGAACCAATTGGCACTCAACCCGCATCTCCTGCTTCTTTTGCATCCTTTTTTGTGCCTCCTCTGATGCTTTCTTTGTACATATCAAGGGCTCAGTGCTTCTTGGTAAAATGAATGAATTTGAAGGCCTTTTTCCTAATATCTCAAAGTTATTCTCTGGTTGTGCAGTTAAGAGATGCCTATGAAAACTGCATGAGGTCTGTCCTCTGGTAGGATATCTTGGGTAAAAAATGGTGGGACTGAGGAACATTCTACAAAACACCTGACCAGCACTCCTCAAAATTCTCAAGGTCATTCCAGACAAGCAAAGTCTGAGAAACTGTTACAGCCAAGGGGTACATAAGGAGACACAACAACTAAATGTAATGTGATATTCTGGATGGGATCCTGGGACAGAAAAAGGACATTAGGTAAAAACTAAAAAAAAAAAAAAGTCCTTTAATTAATTTTTTAAAAAGAAGTGGTAGAGCAGGAATCTAAACTACTCATGCTGTCTTCCCTTTAGCACATGGGGAGGTAGATTCAGTCATGACCTCAGTCCAGGGTCAACATCTTAGCCTGTTCACAAAGTCGACACTAGTTGTGTTTGCAAAGACTGACACTAGCTCAGCTATTGCTTCGTTTCCTCCCCTTGTTTATTTTCTGAAGGCTTAGATGGCACAAGTGGGTCATTGAGAGAAAGACCTTGACTTTGAGAGCTGGTGGAAAGACAGCACAGTAATTTCAACAGAACTGGGTGCCAAACCTAGCCCTGACATCCATCATCTATGTGACCATAGGTGTGTTACTTAACCTTCTCATAAGTTGAATGGAGGTGACGGTACCACTCTTGCAAACTATTGCATTTGGTGAATGTAGACGGACAGGGCATAGTAGAAAATAGCTGGAAGATGGTACTTTACTTAACATATTTTTTGGTCAGGGATTGGGAGTTTCAGATTGGCTAAAGATAATAATTCTGGGACCTCTCAGAACTTCTGCCTCCAACTTGTTTTCCAAGTTGGCCTCTGTTCCATCCCTGCAGTGCTGGGGGTGAACTTCCTCTCAGAAGTCCCCTGGTTCCCCTGTCATACTTGGCTGGGCAACCTCAGCCATCTCTCAGACTTCTGGTTCCTTATAAATGGAACATTTATCTGCACTGGTCCCAGATGTCATTTTTATTGGTGTCTAAAAATAAAAATAATAGTAATTTCCTAAATGTCAGTAGCCTCAACTGAGCCAGCTGGAGTTCTTCCTCTGGGCATGCTGTGAGAAGCCATTCACACCACGTCCAGATTGCAGACTTCTGACCTACCATCAGCCTGTTGGAGTGAGTGTGATGCCTGGGAAGAAAGTGCAGGCCAGCAGTACAGGAAGGAAGCTTCCAGTCTGTGCCCAGATTGCTGGGGTTCTTCCCCATCTAGCTTGCTCCCTCTTTAAGGTCATGGACGGGAGTGGGGAAGAAGGGGAGAAGGAGGGGAAGGAGGGGAGAAAGAGGCAAAAGGCAAGAGGCAAGGGAGGCAGGGAGGGAGAGACAGAGACAGAATTAGAAAGAAGACCCTGACAGCTTAAAGGTGAAAGAGGTAGTGCTGGCAGATAAGTAACAAACATGGCTACCTCCTGCATGAGATGCCCATGCAGCTGATTAGATTTAGAACCGTTCTCTGATGTGCTCCGTGCCACGTGAGGGAAAGATTTACAAGTGCAATTCTCAGAGATGCTGTTCTGGGGAGTTATGGCATCTCTGCACAGTGCAGCCAGGGAGGCCAGGAAAGTCTCATGCAATTTAAAACACTCCATAGATCTTTCTGGACAGACAGATCTTTCTCCTTCTTGATGCATCTCTGTGGTTGTTGGCCAACAGAGGCAGGGAGTGGGTTGAGGACTGGCCGACCCCTGCAAGGTACAACACTTCTAGAGGGCCTCAGACTCCACTCTGGGGGGCCCCTAACTTAAGCAGAGATAGTGGGATCCTCCTTGAGTAAACTCAGTCTTGGTCCAAGGGGCCTGGATTCCCAAGGGCTGGTGTACGTTTTAAATGTTTTTAGTTACTTAGTAATGCTTGAAACATTCTCCTTGTAAAAAGAACATTAAAGCAATACAGAGAATCTTAATGCATCATTCCTAAACTTTCCCTCACCTCAAGAAATAACTACGGTTACCATTTAGTCGGGCTTTTCTCAGAACTTTTTAATGCATACCTATCCATATATATGAATGCGGGGGTTATAGCTCAGGGGTAGAGCATTTGACTGCATATATGTGAATACATAGAAAAAATATGTTTGTGTGTGAGGTTTATTTCCTTCCTTCCTTTCTTCCTCCATTCTTGTATTTTTCTTTTTCTTTACCTTTACAAAATACTTATTCATATAGGTGTTTGTTTATTTACATAATGGTATCTTAGCGTATGCAGGGTCCTGTAACTTGCTATTTTCATTAATCAATGGAAGTGCCAGTTCAGGCATCCTCTGGGAAGTGGACACTGAGAGGAGTTAGGAGTATAAGGCGTTAATTGGGGGTGATGCCTGTGAAAGATAAAGGTAGAGGGAGCAAGGGAGCAGGGCTGAGCAAGGAGAGCAGTCTGTGATGCGGGTCTGACAGTCTCACCTGCCCAATGGGAGCTCAGAGTTGACATTGCCCTTTGGAGGATTGCCTCATTGGGCAGAAATGGCCAAGCTTTAGTTCCCCAGCCATGCTCAGTCACCTGCTGGGAGACTCCCTGGAAAGCATGGCCTCAACTCAAATGCTGTAGTGAATCCTAAAAGCTCCACAGCTGGAGACTGTTAGCTCACTGCACTCCTTGCAGCTGAGTGGCAGTTGCTTTCTTGAAGGGAAGTCTGAGTGGCACAGCTCCATGGCTGGCTCTTGGATCTTGGACTCTTCATGTGAGGTATGTGTGTCTTTGTTGGAGCATGTTCCTCTGAGTGGGTTTATTACAATTGACCCAGCCATTCCCCTCCTGATGGACACTTAGCTTGTTTCCTTTGCTATAATGAACCATTTGGTAATCATCATCCTTGAAGAGGACTCTGTGCCTTCCTTCCACAGCAGGAGCAGATAAGGGTTCCTTTGGGGTAAATACGGGGAGAAGGAACTTCTGGCTCTAAGGATGCCCATTATGAATCATAGACTCCAGGCAAATTGCGTTCTTGAGGGGCTGTATACAATGACCTTTCTCCCTACGGCAGGGGTCCCCAGCCCCTGGCCACCGACCAGTACCAATCTGTGGCCTGTTAGGAACTGGGCTGCACAGTCGGAGGTGAGCACGGGCGAGTGAGAATTACTGCCCGAGCACTACCTCCTGTCAGATCAGTGGCGGTATGAGATTCTCATAGGAGTGTGAACCCTATTGTGATCTGCGTAGGTGAGGGATCTAGCTTGTGCACTCCTTATGAGAATCTAATGCCTGATGATCTGAGGTAGAACAGTTTCATCCCAAAACCATCCCCTTCCCCCATCCGTGGAAAAATTGTCTTCCACAAAACAAGTCCCTGGTGCCAAAAAGGTTGGGGACCGCTGCTCTATGGGATGGGAAGCCTGCATTTCTCACCCCCACAAGAGGCCTGAGTTTGATGAGAGATTTCTGCATTTGAGGTTGGCCTCCCTGCACTGGACCTCTGACCCTGTTTGTGCAGGCTTTGGCTCCTGACACCTGCTGCTGCTTCCTCAAAAGATTCCTTTACCTAAACCTTTGTCCTGTGTTTGCCTGGCTGGCCCTTGGCCAGCTGAAGTGGCAAATGTAGGGTTTATAATTGTGAACTCTAGAAACAACTAATAACATTTAATCCCAGCTCCTGCAGTTACTAAATATGATGCTGGATGAGTTACTTAACCTCTCTTTGCACCTCAGTTTCTCCATATGTACAATGAGGATAATAGTACCTACCTCACAGGATAGAGTTAGTACATGTGGCATGCTCAGCACCCTGCCTGGGACATAGGAAAGTCAGTGCAATAAATATTAGCTATTGCTGTTATCTGACCATCAGGCTTGGACCTTGGCACCCTGCCAATTATAAAGCCAGTTTTTTCCAGTGCTGATTCTTATTTCCCAACGTACTGCCCTTGTGAATAGTCTCCCCAGGTGGCTCGGCACAGTAGCTCACACCTGTAATCCCAGCACTTTGGGAGGCCAAGGAGGGTAAATCATTTGAGGTTAGGAGTTCGAGACCAGCCTGGCCAACATGGTGAAACCCCATCTCTACTAAAAATACAAAAATTAGCAGGGTGTGGTGGTGCGTGCCTGTAATCCCAGCTACTCAGGAGGCTGAGGCAGGAGAATCACTTGAGGCTGGGAGGTGGAGGTGCAGTGAGCCGAGATTGTGCCACTGTACTCTAGTCTGAGCGACAGAATGAGACCTTGTCTCGAAAAAAAAAAAAAAAAAAAGAACAAGCTCCCGAAGTTCTAGACTGGCTTTAGTTTTGGTCTAGGAAACATGATCACCCCATTCTTTCATCTGGCTTGGGATATGCCACTCTCTCTGCGTCAGTTTTCCTGCTCAGACCCTGCATACCTTTCAGTCTCCGAGATGCAACCCCTGCTCTATCTTGTAGTGTGGCACAGTTGGATAAACACATGATTTTCAGCTCTTTTTTTCAAATCTTAGTTTGACTATTTTGATTCCAAAATACAGCAAAACTCCAGTTGTTCAAATATTGACTCTAAAACATGTGAAACTTAGTTCCCTCATCTGTAAAACGGGGTTGGTAATATGACCTACCTTATAGGGCTATTGTGAGGATTAAAGGAAATAACACATACAAATAAATTAATGCTGTGCTCATCAAATGGTATTAACACTATTATCTCCCCCAGAATGCACTATACTTCAATGCTGTTCGCTTGCACCTCTGAGTTAACCGAGGACTTAGCACTTCCATTCTTACTATAATCAGATGTGACTTGTATTTAGTTAAGTGTATAATAACAGGGCCTGGTATAAAGAGATGGGTAAATTCTGAATAGGACAAAGATGGTAAAAGCAAAGGAATCAGAGTATCAACAGCAGAGTTACTTTTCCTCTCTGCTCAAGCAAAACATCTTCATTGTGATGTCAATATAAGTACATGCTGCAAGGTCAGTGCAGTGCAGAGAAATGTGAAAGTGTCCCCGTCTAAAGAGGAAAAGGGACTACCCAGCTACCACTCACTATTATCTTCAGGATCTTGGGCCCAGCATTGTGAAGGTCAATTTTCAGAAACAGAGAGAGAAAAAACAAAAAACAAAAAACGGAAGTTAGGATTTTTATGAGAAACTTCTCAATTTTATGACATTGACAACTAATTCAAGTGAACCTAGCCAGCCAGTTGGTGCTTCTGCTTTAGGGCATTTCTTCACAGTGTGACTATAACTTCCCATGTCACCTGAAAGCTGATGGAGTTTTTCTCTCTAAAGCGCATGGTAGCTTCACAGGTTGGTAACATTTAAGTGGCAATTATGGGGCACTTTGGAATTTCAGTGGCCAGCATTAAACACTTCCTTCTTTGGGTTTCCTGGTTTTATTTCTCCTGGGGTCCTGTTCCACTTCTGTTAATTAGGTCCTTCCTTCCCCACTTTCCACAAGGGCAAGTGATCAAGTGGGCTGCCCGGCTCATAATATTCATTGAATAATTGCAAAGTTAGGAATCCAGGAACTTCTTTCCCCCAGTAACTCTTTTAGTTTGTATCTTTTTTCCTGGAGTGAAATTAAAGCAATGTTTCAGCAACCTGTTTAACCAGATGGAGAGCAAGGCTTCTCTGGGACCACAAATTTCCCTTTGGCCCTCCTCTTTGTATCTAGGGGGTTGCATTTTTCATTTCCAAGGGCTTTATTTACAAGTTGCCAAAGCTCCCTTCTTTCTGGCTCTGTCCCTTGTCTATGTCTGAGCACCAGCTCATTGTGACACACTGAAAAGTGAAATATATTCTCTGCATATTTATGTTTAGGGACTCCCACAGAATTCTGTGAGTGTAGCCAGAGCAAGGACTCGGGGTCTCCAGCCTGGTGCAGGACCTGGGGGCGGGGCGTGGTGTTCCTCAAGGGCTGGGATTGTTGCTGTCCCAGGATAGGGTAGATGACTCCTCCCAAGGGCCACCACACTGATTTACCATCCTGATTTACTCTGCCCACCCTACATGTGGAGGGGATACAGAGCTATTGCAGGATGTTTTTCCAAACTTCTTTTCAGCAGGGGAAGCCTTCCTTTAAACGACGTTGTACATAAAAGGCAATAAGTAAAAGAACGGAGAGAGAAGCTGCTCTCATTGGAGATCCTGGCATGCTCAGCCCCTCCTCGGCCCTCCTCCTAATTGGAGTGGCTCCTTAGATGCTCCTCGGCAGACTCTGAGGTTCTACAGAGGAAATTGGTGTTCAAGTCCGAGTGTTTCTGTTGATCATTCCTTCCCCTTTACAGGCAGGGATTTGTAACTGAAGTGAACATTGCGCCCTGCCCAGATTTATTCATGTCCCTTTATCTGATCTGTGTGTCTCTCCCTGGCTTTGGTGAATTGTTGCTTCCAGTAATGGAGCACTGCCCTCCAACTCCTGGAGCCTGTCTGCTTAGGAGGCGCTGGGAGTGCCAGGGAGTGTACATCCCTAAGGGTAACTACTGACCAATGCCCAACTGGAGAAGGCTTATGAGAGCCAGCTCCCTTCCCTAAAGCTGGGTGGGGAGGAGCAACATGAGATGGAACTTACACACCAGGGCTTCCCCGAGGGATCAGGCTGAAGCTACCCTCTGAAGGATTTTGCCTGAAACCACCAGTCTTGTTTGCCTTTCTCTCCGTCTTTGTCCTGCTTCCTTCTTTCCCATACTAACCTTGCCTGTGAGCATATCCTTAATATATTACCTGTATCCAGAAGCCGGGCGCGTTGGCTTATGCCTATAATCCCAGCACTTTGGGAGGCCGAGGCAGGTGGATCACGAGGTCAGGAGTTTGAGATCATCCTGGTCAACATGGTGAAAACCCATCTCTACTAAAAATACAAAAAAAATTAGCTGGACTTGGTGGCACGTGCCTGTAATCCCAGCTACTCGGGAGGCTGAGGCAGGAGAATCGCTTGAACCAGGGAGTCGGCGGTTGCAGTGAGCTGAGGTCGCACCACTGCACTCCAGCCTGGGGACAGAGCGAGACTCTGTCTCAAAACAAAAACAAAAACAAAACAAAACAAAAACCCTGCATCCAAATCCTCATCTCAGGTTCCCCCCAGTTCTGACTATCTCTCTCATGCTGTGTGCTTTCCCGGGGCGATTCTTCCTTTCATTGGCTAGTCTTCAGCCAATGAAAGGTACAAAGGGGCCTCTCCACCAGTGGCCTTTCAGGATCAGGGCAACTGTTCAGTTGGGCCTGCAGCCATTTCTCTCTGCTGTGTGTTGATGTATTTCAGGGAAGCACAACTCACTGGCCAATGTTCAACTTATCAGGGACTTTGTTACCTTGGAAACACAGGGCTAGGAGGCTGAGGAACCAAGCATGCCTAAGTCAGAGAGCTGGTGCCTGGGGCATCTTTTGAGGTGAGGGCAGCTTCTTTGGGGCATCTGCCAGGACAGAACCCACTTCATAGCCCGCTTCTTCTTTTGCGTAACCACTGACCCTCACTCAAAATCTGATGCTTATTAGAAGTTTGAAGATGTGCCTTTCAGGCTTTTGATTAATAGTTTCCTTTATTAATCCAATTTAAGGCCAGGGCATTTTCCCCATCTCTAAGACACCAAAGAGCACAGCAAAACACAGCCTTTCCTTAAGGCGCTACATCTGCCTGGCTTTTATGTGGTTAAGGTCTCATGTGCATTTCTCCTGGGCCAGGCAGTGAGGGAAATGAGGGAGACTGACATGACCTTTGGGTGCCAAAAGCCTTTCTTGACCCTTGCAAGGCTGGGTTAGGACTCTTACTAAGCATCCCCACAGACCCCTACTGCATCGTTTCATATACCATTTTCT
This sequence comes from Homo sapiens, assembly GCF_000001405.40. Classification (NCBI taxonomy): domain Eukaryota; kingdom Metazoa; phylum Chordata; class Mammalia; order Primates; family Hominidae; genus Homo; species Homo sapiens. Next base: position 41,028,991 of record NC_000003.12, on the reverse strand, counting down.
AATTGCTGATTTGCTTGTCTAGTTGGTGAGGTTGAAGGAGAACCTCTAGGTCTGAAGGATTTAAAGTCACTGAACAATAATATTTAAAAGCAAATCATGATGCCTTAATCAAGTGGTAAATTGTATTTGCTGGCTTTGCCCACTTGGCAACAAAAGAACAGCCTGGGGTGAACATGAGAATGTAATTTGGACATAGAAGAAAATAGGTCACTATTCATATTCATAGACTGTGTTTTTTGTTTGTTTTTTGTTTTTTTTTTGAGACGGAGTCTCGCTCTGTCCCCCACAGTGGTGTGACTCAGCTCACTGCAAGCTCCACCTCCCGAGTTCACACCATTCTCCTGCCTCAGCCTCCCCAGTAGATGGGACTACAGGCACCTGCCACCACGCATGGCTAATTTTTTTTTTTTTTTTTTTGTATTTTTAGTAGAGATGGGATTTCACCATGTTAGCCAGGATGGTCTTGATCTCCTGACCTCGTGATCCACCTGCCTCAGCCTTCCAAAGTGCTGGGATTACAGGCGTGAGCCACCGCGCCCAGCCCACTGTGTTTTTTAAATTGCAAAAAGTCAGGGCACAAGATCTCATACATGCTTATGGGAACTATGGGAGAAAACAGTTGTAAATGCAGAATGGGTTGCCCTTGTCATTAAGCCAGCCATGCCTAAGTTTCTAGCCCCATAGCTCTCCTACTGCAACCCTGGTCCTACCTTCACATTCATCAAAGGTGATGGAGACTGGATCACTCCCTTCTTCTCCATCCCATTCCTGCCTGCATCCTAGGCAGTCTTGGGTGATCCTGCTAACACCCTACAGCTCCTTGATCTGCTCAGTTCTCATGGCCTTCCCCCTCCACTCTTCCATGCCTGTGGCACCTGCTGGACGTTGTCATCCCCAGAGCTGCTATTGACTCTACCTGCTCCTCTGAGCTCAGCCTCTTGACCATCCTTGGCTTCTCAGTCTCTGATTTCTTCCACATTTACTCTTTGACTTCACTATGCTTTCATTTGCATGTGTCCTCTCTATCTGGGGGATTCATCAGCTGGTCCCCGCCTGGCTTTACTTTCCTGCTTATCTTGGGAGGCTTCACATCATCCTTGGTTTAGCCAGCACCCTCATCTGCCTGCCCCTTAGCCTGCAACACCACTCTGCAGACCTCATCCCTGCTGTCCACTCTTCTCTAGTCTTCTCAGTGCTTCTAGGGGCAATCACAACAGTCCCATCCGTACCTTCAATACTGCTCAGCATGTATATAATGTGCCCAGTTTCTTCTGCCCTGTCATTGCAGCTGTTCCAAGCCCATTCTCAGGTCTCACAGAGAATAACTTGCTGCATTACAGAAGAAAAGAAGTTTCTGGCATGAATTCCTCTACTTTTACCCCTATTTACTGCAAACCCTATTTCACCTTGTCTCCTCCTCTTCCCTCCTGTGCTGTTGCTGCCTGTCTCCTGTCTAGGGAAATCAGGTCTAAGGCTAGATATCACTTCTTCCAGAAAATCTTTCCTGTGCACCCTCACTTCTGCTGGCCAAGGCTAGGTTAGGGTCTCCTGCTGGGTTTCTACTGAACCCTGATTTTCACTCCATCCCACCACATTGTAATGGTTGATTTACTATACATCTCTTTTGCTGGGCTGTATGAGCTCTTTGAGGGCAGAAGCGTGTTTTTCTTGTTTTCTTTTATATACCCAGCACCTGGTAAAGTAAGTGCTTGATATATGTTGTTGAATGAATGAATCTTATTTTCTTTATACATAGTTTATTCAACTGCACTCAGGATCCCTTCCCTTCCTGCCTCTTTGTGCTGTCAATTGTTCCTTTTCTGGGTTGTGTCCTCAACCTGCCTTCTGGTGGTGTTTTATGTACAACTGCTATTATTGTTATTATTAATGATATTATAGCCACTGTTTATTGGACACTTACTATGTTCAGGCACCTTGCTAAACACCTTACATGCATGCTGTAGTTTAACCCTTACAATAATCCTGTGAGGGTAGTATTATTATTCCCACTTTCCCAATGACATTTAAGCAGAATTAAATCTCCTTTAAAGTAAAGTCCTTCCTAGACTCTGTATGCTCCTCCACCTAATGTCATATATCTTCATTACGTTTACACCATGTTTCTAAAGTGTCATCTCTACCAGCTGTCTCCCCATTCTGACCCCTCTTACTCCTAGCTCCCTGGAACAGAGCCCTGTCTGACTATGAAAGCTCCCACTGACGTCACCAGTGACCTCCATGTGGCTAACACAGTGAATGCTTTCAGGCTTATCTTCCCAGTTTTGCAGCAGCAGATGACACTGACTGGCCACTCCCCGCTGTGGTTCTGTTTCCTTCCCAGCTCCCATTTCCTCTGGCCCCATTAAGTGTTTTGTTCCCAGGGGCTCAGTTCTTGGCTCTTTTATTTCTTGCTCCATACCCTGTCTCTAAGTATTATCTGTTTCAGCTTAACTAAAAATCCTGCTGGCATCCCAGGCTGCTCCCCTATGCCCTAAAACCACAGGACCAGGGCTTCTGTTTCACCTTGATAACCCTTCCACAGAGGCCAAACTCAGTGTGCCAATCAGATCTTATCCTTTACTGTCTCCATCTCAACATGTCTCAACGCCTACTCCTCCTCTTGTATTCCTTAACTTAGCCAAGGATACTATCACCTGCACAGTGGCCCAAGTAAAAATGTCGTCAAAATTTTTGGTGACATTTTTTCTTCCACCTTATATCTAACTAGCCACCAAATCCCATTTATTATTGCTAGGCTTCTCTCATGTCTGTTCTTTTCCCTCTCTGTCTTCATTGGAATTGAACTGTGTTTTGACTGGTTAATTACAGTGGCGTCTTGAATGCCTTTCTTTTCACCCAATGAGTAGTATTTTTTAAATAAAAAGATAATGACATCTACTCTGCTTTAATTCTTCAATGGCTCCTGATGCTTAGCATGACTGTGAAGACCTTTTTTTTTTTTTTGAGACAGGGTCTCACTCTGTCGCCCAGGCTGGAGTGCAGTGGCGTGATCTCAGCTCACTGCAGCCTCTGCCTCCCAGGTCCAAGCTATTCTCCCACCTCACCCTCTTGAGTAGCTGGGATTACAGGTGCCCATCACCATGTCTGGCTAATTTTTGCATTCTTAGTAGACATAGGGTTTCAAGACTGGTCTCGAACTCCTGACCTCATGTGATCCACCTGCCATGGTCTCCCAAAGTGCTGGGATTACAGGTGTGAGCCACTGCGCCCGGACAAAGACCCTTCTTGATCTGAGCAGTGATGACTTTTGTAGCCTCATTTCCTGCCTCCATCCCCAGTCTGTGTCCACCTCCCCACCTGACATTATGCACGAGTAACACTGACACACATGCCCTCCTGAGAATCAGTCAAGCTCTTCCTCCCCTCTGAATCTTTACCTCTGTTCTCTCTCGCCTACTTGACAACCGGTCCAACCCTTCCTTGTTCCTATTTTGTGCACACTTCATTATAGACGTTACCTTTTTGCATTACAAATACTGGAATATCTCTTTATAGCTCCTAATTAGACCATGAGCATCCAGAGCACATGAATTCTTAGGGTCAGAGGCAGATCATATAGGCGACTCTCTGGGTTTAAAACCGGAGATGCCAGCAAAGGGCATTCTTGGCACCATCTTTCCCTCCCGACTTTCTGAGGAGGAGCTCAGGAACCATGGGAAATCAGGCAGATGGTGTTTGGGGAGAAAAAAGAGCTGCCATGATATACCCAATGGGTAGATTTGTATTTTGCCCCATCAGATATCTTAAAACCTGCAGGTTTTAAAATTTAGTCAAGAAGTTAAGACCAGCAACCCAGAAGGTGCCCTTGAATGTTTATATCCAGCCTTCGTGGGCAGTGTCTATTTGCAAATCTCAGGGTTTTAACTCTATTTCTTCCATCTCCTTCAAAGAACCCCTGATCCTGAATTCTCCCAAGGAATAAAATCCTGATCACGGCACTCATGAATAACTAAGAGTGGGCTGTTATTACCTGAGCTTGAATAAAGGTTTTTTTTTTTATTCCTCCAAGCTGTTCCTAGCCTCCCAGAGGTACATAATCCATACTGGAGTCTGGGTACAGAGGGGTTGAAGTAAATGATCTTTGATGAGCTAAAACATTGGAATTCATGGAACTTGGAATAATCTCTGACAACTACAAGCTTGTCCTGAGACATTTAGTAGAAAGGTAAATGATAGGGTGGGGTTTCATCTTTGTCTTAACTTGAATATTTAATGCCTAGAAATGGCCTTTTAACCCTCTCGAACAGGTGCCACCACCATGTGAACATGACCGGGCTAGCCTGCTGGAGAATGAAAGACATGTGTCCTGACCACCCTGTCACCTAGCTGATAGCAAGCTCTTCCCAGAAAAAAAGAGCGACCTGAATGACTTGCATTGTCTGCAGGCTCATGAGGGAGCCCAGCTGACACCAGAATAATCACTCAACTGAGTTCAGCCTAACTGATGACCCTCAGTATAGTGAGCTAAATAAATGGTGGTTGTTTAAAGCTGCTAAGTTTTGGGATAGGCTGTTTCAAAGCAAAAATGAGCTACTGGTATCTGTGTGGCTCATTTTCATGCCATAGCTCCAATGACTGACAAGGAGTGGAGCTCCTTGGAAATGGTCAATAAAAGCACAAATGGAGCCAAGTCTCAGGTTCATAGGTCACTTAACTAGAGAGAATCAGGGACGGAATGGAGGAGTGGGCTGATGCTGCCAATGAATTCAGAGCTGAGTCCAGCAGTCAGGATTGTTTTTATGCCTGCAAAGCCCCAGACCCACCTCGTTTCCCTTAGGGGCAGGTTGGGTGGCTCCTTTAGTTCTAGTCTCTGCAAAACAACAAGCAGTGTTTTGTGTTTCAGTCAGAAGGGAACTTAACATTTTACAAGACAGCCACCAGTCTTACCACAGGAGTTCTTAATTTGTGGAGTTTAAGGGGCCAAGTGGGAACAATGGCAGAAAGAAGAAAAGTGTCTTTGGAGTGAAGCTACTCAGAGATGCCAATGCCTTCTCGCTTGAAGGGCAGAACATGAAAAGTAGTAATTTGCTCTGGCCCAGCCAGGGGATCGAATGTTAAATGTAAACAGCTGTTTGCTTTGTAATGGTCTGGTCTGGAAGGCTCCATGACAGGAGCGAGGCACAGAATTTTAGATCTGGAATGAGTATTAAAGATTGTCTTGTGGGAAATCCCTGTCTTCCACTTGAATGCTTCATTTTATTTTTATAGTTACTTACACAAGCAATACCTTGTATACATTCAACCCACCCTCCAACTGTGTGGGTTATGCATCCTGTATTCAACCAACTGCAGATAAAAAATATTTGAAAAAAGAAACTAATAAAAAAACATAAAAACTAGTACAAATAGGAAATACACTAGAACAACTATTTAGATAGCATTTACATTGTATTAGGTATTATAAGTAGAGATAATTTTAAATACACAGGAGGATGTACATAGGTTATATGCAAATAGTTCCCCATTTTCTATCAGGGACTTGAGCATCCTGACAATACTGAGGGATGACTGTATTCTCAATGTGCAGCATTCCCCCTTCATGCCATGGTATCTAAGCCCACCCTTGAAGAAGCAGCTAGTGAGCATCCTCACAGCCCATTTCTACAAAAATGGATATATATTCACAGATCTACTTTTCTATTGCAACATTATAGGATTATATAAAACATGCTGTTTTTAAATTTGATTTATTTTTTTACCAACTGATATGTTTTAAAGATCTATCTGTGTATATACATAGAGGTTGAATTCTGTATATATACATACAGGTTGAATACAAAGGCTGCATAGTATTCTTTCATATAATTATCCACACTCTATTAAATACTCCATTTTTGATGGGGAATGTAGATTGCTTCCACTTCTTTGGCTATTGTAAATCTCAAAGCAAGAGGCCAGGACTAATGGCTCATGCCTGTAATCCCAGCAATTTGGGACACTGAGGCAGGAGGATCACTTGAGGCCAAGAGTTCAAGACCAGACTGGGCAACAAAGAAAGACCCCATTTCTACAAAACAATAAAATTAAATAATAAAATAAAAATAAAAAAATAATAAAAATTAGCCAGTCATGGTGGCGCTCATCTGTAGTTCCAGCTACTCGGGACCGGGAGGATTGCTTGAGCCCAGGAGTTTGAGGCTGCTGTGAGCTGTAAACACGCCTGCACTCCAGCCTGGATGACAGAACAAGACCCTGTCTCTAAAAAATCCAAAAAATTAAAATAAAGCCAGAAACATTTTTGTGCATAACTCTTCGAGCATTTCTTTCTTTTTTTTTTTTTTTTTTTGAGATGGAGTCTCACTCTGTCGCCAGGCTGGAGTGCAGCGGCGCGATCTCAGCTCACTGCAACCTCTGCATCCTGGGTTCAAGCAATTCTCCTGCCTCAGCCCCCCGAGTAGCTGGTTCTACAGGCGTGCACCATCATGCCCAGCTAATTTTTGTACTTTTAGTAGAGACGGGGTTTCACCATGTTGGCCATGATGGTCTCAATCTCTTGACCTCGTGATCTGCCTACCTCGGTCTCCCAAAGTGCTGGGATTACAGGCTTGAGCCACCGTGCCTGGCTCCTCTTTGAGCATTTCTTTAGGATTCCTAGAAACAGAATAGATAGAACAGATGGCATATATATTTCTAAAGTTTGGCATAATTTGTTTTTAAATAATCTCAACTTGGTGCCTGCTCTAGGGAAGTTATTTAGCTACCTTTTCCTTTTCTTCAGTCAATATCTATCTATGCAGGTTTTGCTTCTTGTTGAATTAATTTTTAAAATGTATTTTTCCCCAGGAAATCATCCATTACGCACAGATTTTTGAATCTGCTGTTATTATGTTTTTATACATGTAGTGTCTTAATTTATAAAAGTCGCCTCTTGGACTCATCATCCATTTTTGTCATCAATATTGTTCATGTCTTCTAAATTTGTTTCCTTGATTAGATTTGCCAGAGGTTTGTTTGTTGGTCTGTTAAATGAACAAGTTTATTGATTATTCTTTTGTTTTCTAGCCTATTAATTTCTGCTTTTATCATTATTAAATTTCCCTACTCCTTTGGAACTAGTCTGTAGAGCTTTTATATAATTTTCTGGGTATAAGGCTCGGTTCATTTATTTTTAAGAGTTTTAGTTTTCTAACATACGCATTTAAAGCTGTAACTTTTCCTTTGAGAGCTGCTTTTGATGTGTGGTATTCTCATGTTTGTTCACTTTTAAATAGTAATAATTTCCATGTTAATTCTTCCTCTTATCCAAAAATTATATTTAAGACTATTTAAATATTCCTAAGCAAATAGATTTTTTGGCTATCCTGTAAATGTTGATTTCTAATTTTATAGCATTGTGGTCAGAGAATATGGCCTATATAATTTCTGCTTTGGGGAATTTTTTTTGTTGAGATATTACTTGTGTGTTTGTGTATGTGTAAGGGGTTTAATGCATGGTCAACTTTCGTGGAAATTTTATGTGAGTTTGATAAAACTTCCTTGTTCTCTTTCTTTTCTCATAAAGCTTATTACTACAGCATTCACATTCTCCACGTTGGCCGGGTACAGTGGCTCACGCCTGTAATCCCAGCACTTTGGGAAGCCGAGGGGGGCGGATCACTTGAGGTCAGGAGTTTGAGGTCAGAAGTTTGAGACCAGCTTGGCCAACATGGTGAAACCCCATCTCTACTGAAAATACAAAAATTAGTCAGGCATGGTGGCACACGCCTGTAGTCCTAGCTACTCAGGAGGCTGAGGCAGGAGAATTGCTTGAACCCAGGAGGCAGAGGTTGCAGTGAGCCGAGATTGTGCCACTGCACTCCAGCCTGGGCAACAGAGTGAGACTCCATTTCAGAAAAAGAACAAACAAAAAACAAACAAACAAAAAAACCCCAAATTCTCCATGTCTTTAAAGTTTTGCTTAATTTATGAGAGAGACAAACAAATATTCCTCTCTGACGGTAAACTTGTAGATTTCCCCCCCTTGAATTTCTATCATTTTTGCTTTGTATATTGTAAGTGTAAAGGTTTATGTCTGATGTATCTTTTGGTAGTTGGGCTTTTTATCAATATGAAATACTACTCTTTTAATGTCTTTTACCTTGACTTTAATTTTATGATATTAACACGTTTTATTTTTGTTTACAATTTTCTTGAATTATCTTTTGTATTTCTTTATTTTAAACACTCCCACTTAAGAGAAGCCATATAAACTAGTGAGTAGGATTCAACGCCCATCTTTGTCATTACCTGGTTCAGAAGCCTTTAGCAAGTTACTTGAACCCTTTGTGCCTTAGTTCCTCCCCTATAAAATGAGAATAATAATAGTTCTAGTTCATAAACTTGTGTGGATTAAACATAGAGAACAATGTAAATGCTTAGTAAATATTAGAAATTATTATTTTATGTGTGTCATCTTAAACAACGTATAGCAGGATGTTTAAAACCCAATCTGAGAATCTCCTTTTTTTAAGTGATGAATTTAACATATTTATATTTTTTAAATGTTTTTAACAGTTTTAAAATTTACCTACTTTAAGTGTACAATTAAGTGATGTTTAGTAAATGCAGAGTTGTACAATTGTTTCTTCCTTCCAATTTTAGAACATTTTTATCATTACAAAAATATATCTTGTACCCATTTGCGCTTACTTTCCATTCCCACTCTCAGGCCTAGATGACTGCTAACCTACTTTCTGTCTCTATAAACTTTTCCTTTCTGGACATTTTACAAAAAGGAATCATATAATATAAGGCATCTTGCCGGGACAATTAGGGAAGATTGTGTTATAAAAAAAAAAAAAGCATCCAGATTGGGAAAAAAAAAAAGAAACAAAACTATCTCTATTTGCAGATGACATGATCTTGTATATAAAATTTTAAGAAATCCACTAAAAAGCTATTAGAACTAATAGTTCTTTTTTAAAAAATCTGTCATGATGCTTATTTTTTTAACTTTTAGGTTTGGGGGTACATGTGCAGGTTTATTATATAGGTAAACTCATATCACAGGGGTTGGTTGTACAGATTATTTCATCACACAGGTATTAAGCCTGGTACCCAATAGTTAATTTTTCTGCTCCTCTCCCTCCTCCCACCCTCCACCCTCAAGTGGGCCCCAGTGTCTGTTGTTCTCTTCTTTGTAGAACTAATAGTTCTGACAGTTTTTTAGAGCAAGGTTGCTGGGTACAAAATCAATATACAAAAATCAGTCGTATTTTTATATACTTGCAGTTAATCTAAACATTTAAAAATTTCATTCACAAAAAGAATACAAAACTTAATACATTTAACGAAAGAAGTACAAACTTATACTCTGAAAACTATGAAACGTTGTTGAAAACATTACTGTTATATGCCTTTTATTATTGAATTGTAAATGTTCTTTATATATTCTTGATATAAGTATCTTACCAGATATATGATTTGCAAATATTTTCTCATGATCTGTGGCTTGTCTTTTCATTTTCTTAATGGTGTCTTTGAGGTAAAACATTTTTCATTTTGGAGAAGTCAAATTTATCAATTTTTTATGGATAGTTCTTTTGATATCATATTTAAGAAATATCTGTCTAATGCTAAATTATAAAGATTTTTTTCATGATTTAAAAGTGCTATGACTTTAGTCCTTATATGTAGATCTATGATCCGTTTTGTATTAATTTTTATTTTATGGTGTAGGATAACAGTGTAAAATCATCTTTCTGCATGTGGATATCCAGTTGTTTGAGTGCCATATGTTAAAAAACTATTCATTACCTATTGACTTGCCTTGACACATTTCTTGATCATAAGTATAAAAGTTTATTTTTGTATGCTCAATTCTGTATGTCTATTCTTTTGCTTGTACCATACTGCCTTGGTTATTGTAGATTTTTAGTGAGTTTCGAAATTGGAGCTTGTAAGCCCTCTTATTTTGTTCTGCTTTTTAAAGATCCTTTTGGTTATGCTGAGTCATTTGTATTTCCATAAAAATTTTAGGATCAGCTTGAAAATTTCTGCCATAAAAAGCATAATTCAGCTGAAATTTTGATAGAAATTGTATTAAATCTACAGATTCAATGAAGGATTGATGTTAATTTTTTAAATATTTTGGTAGAATTAATCAGTGAATTGGCCAGGCATGTGGCTCACGCCTGAAATCCCAACACTTTGGGAGGCAGAGACAGGAGGAACACTTGAGCCCAGGAGTTCAAGACCAACCTGGGCAACATAGCAAAACCTCATCTCTACTAAAAAAAATAAAAAATTAACCGGGCATGATGGCACACACCTGTAGTCCCAGCTACCGGGAAGGCTGAGGTGGGAGGATTGCTTGAACTCAGGAGTTCGAGTTTGCAGTAAGCAATGATTATGCCCCTGCCCTCCAGCCTAGACAACAGAGAGAAACCCGGTCTCAAAAAAAAAAAACAAAAAACAAAAAACAAAAAACAAAGTAGTGATGCCATCTGTACTTTTATTTATGGGGAAAATTAAAATCTATTTAAACTTTCTATTTCTTCTTGAGTCATGTTAATATGAGGCAGTACTTCTCCATTTGTTATATGCTTTTGGTCAATCTCCAGAATCTTTAAATGATTATTTATTACAACTTTTTCCAGTTTTACTGTTTATTTTTAATGAAAGGATTTTCCAAGCTTTTCCCTCAGCCCTTTCGGAAGTCCTCTCCTCCTGTCCCCATCATTTACATTTATTACAATTGCTTATACAAACACAGACTTTATTCCTGACATCTAACTTTAGTTTCCTATGTACCATGTTTTCTTTCCCCATTCTGCCTTTTAGTGAATTAATTGCAACTTCTTTTATCCTTTTCCTTCTTAATGATTTGAGCATTTATATACTGTTTCTCATCTCCTACTGGTTACCCTTAATTTTTGAACAAATACATTTAAATATTTTTTGATCAATGTCTAAAGTCAATCAGGGTTTATGTCCTCTCTCCAAATAAGAATGAAACATTAGCATATTTTTATTCCCCTGGTCTCTCTACCATCTTCCTCTTCACTTCTCTGAAATCATTTCTCATGTTGAGATTATTTGGCATTTTTATCTTTAATTTTAATTCTTTTTATGTGTATGCCTTTTTAGATCGCTATGGATTTTGTTTATTTCTTTGTCACCATTCTTTCCTCACTGCACCTCAGACACTCACTCATTTCTAGTCTAGACTTCATCCTTCATAAGAAGCAAATCATGATCTAATTCTTTACTTTAAATATTCCACTATCTGATTACCATTGCCTTTTACTTCTATCTCACTACTCTGGTTCTCTCATGGCAGAAAATACCTAAATTTACTGAAACGTCTAAGTCTTTGATTTTTACCTTTACCATCATCCTTCACTATTTTCCTATCTCCACTTGTTAGGTTACACGGACAGCACAGTATAATCATCCCCTTGGACACACCCTTTGCTCCTCTGTCCCTCCATTATTACCCCTGGAAACATGGCCTGGTTAAACCCAGTTTTCTTCTTATTCTGTTTGTAGCCAAGAAGCTAAATATTACTGGAGAAAATTATGTTAACTTAAAATTTACGACCTCAGATCTCAAAAGGGCACTCAATCCCTTCAGATACTCCTGCTACTCTTCCCCAACAAACTTATTTTTCTATTCTCCCAAACAGCTGTGTTACTTCTTTTCTTAAGCCTCCAATAGCCTCTCACCTCTCATGGCCTCAGTTTCAACTTCATAGAGAAAAATGATTTTATTAGATGAGAATTATCTTATCTTTCTACCTTCTGGTCTACGTCTTAGTTGATTTTGTGCTGCTATAATAGAATACTTAAGCCTGGGTAATATTTTTAAAGAGCAGAAATTTATTTCCTCTAGTTCTGGAAGCTGAGAAGTCCAAGATCAAGATGCCAGCAGGTTTGGTGTCTGGTGAGGGTCCAGCCTCTGCTTCCAATATAGCACCTTGAATGCTGCATTCATTAGAGGGAAGGAACCCTGGATCCTCTCATAGCAGATGTCAGAAGGGCAAAAAGGGGTAAGACTCCCTCCATCAAGTCTGTTTAGAAGGGCACCTAATCCCTTTCATGAGGGAAGAGCCCTCATGACTCAATCACCTCCTAGAGGCCACACCTCCCAATGCTGTTGCATTGGGGATTAAGTTTCTACATGAATTTCTGGGGACATTTTCAGACCATGGCAGTCTCCTACTCTGCCTGAATTTGTACCCCACTGTTACAATGGAAGACTTGTGTTATCTCCTTTCTAAGCTTTGCATTCTACCCTGGATCCTATCTGCCTTTTGCTGAAGGATTTCCCTACTGTTAAGTGTCCACTTTCTCTCCTACATGAAAACTTTTTCCTTTCAACTAGGTTATTCTTATATGTACATACCTTAATCTTCTATCTTAAATAAAACCCTCTTGACCTGGCATTGGCTTCCAGCTATCTACCTCCTTCCCTCATTTCTCTGTTCCCGTCACAACAAGACTCATGGAAATATCTGAATACAAACAAACCTTTCAAATTCCTTGCATCCCGTTTTCACCTCAGTCACTCCATCCACACTTTCATTCTCATCAATCCACACCAAAAAGGCTTTTACTAAGACCTACATCTTCTGATTCTGAGATAACACACTCTTCTTGTTTTTTTGTATTTTTTTTTTTGTTTGTTTGTTTTCTACCTCACCCCATTTCTTAGTCTACTTTGCTGGCTGCTGCTTCTGTTCCAGATCTCTAAATGTTAGAATGCCCAAAGCTCTTTCCTTGGCCCTCTTCTCTATCCAGATTCTATTGTTGATCTCCTATAATCTCATGTATAATGAAATGTATGTGTTAATGACTCTAAGATTTTAATCAAGCAATTGGTTCTTTACTCTGGGTTTTAGACTCATATATTCAACCACCAACTCAACATCTTCACTTGCTTGTCTATTAGACATCCCAAATTTTGTATGTCCAGAGAGAGCTAGTGTTTACTATACTCCCCATTCTAGCCCCAACTGTCCCCTCTAAGTCATCCCCATAGTACCACATCTCAGCACCATTCCTGTATTTATGGTACCAGAAACTTAGTTCCAACTCTTCTATTTTCCTCACACTTCAATCCATTGGCAGGTCTCTTTGGCTTTACCTCAAATCCATATATTAAATCTGTCTACTTTCTTCACTACTTTCACTTTAGTCCAATTTACCTTCATTTCTGCCCAGCACAACATTAATAGACTCCTTAGTGGTCTTACCACCTCCATTTTTGTCTCTCTAACAGTCAGGATAAAATTCATACTGTGAAATATTTCTGAGTCACAGAAAAGTACAGAATAGCACAGCAAACTTCTATGTAGCCATCATTCAACATAAGGAATAAAATATTATTGACACAATCAAAGGCTCCTTGAGAACCTGATTCTCTCTTTCTTACTCACCTTTAATTTGGTGGACACATATCTTTATACTTTAAATACACACACATATGTGTATGTATATAACCATTCCCTGTCATTTGACAGACTTACCTTCTGATACGACAACCTACCATGCTCCCTGCCTGTCCTTGAAAATCAACACTGGACCATTTTTGAAGACACAGAAGGTTTGAGAGAGGTGATTTTAAATATATTTCATCATAAATAGGAATCCTGAGAGCAACTTCCTACATCCTTATTCTACCTCTCTACTCCAATACGAATGGAGATTTGGGATATGTATGTATATTTATGTGTGTGTATATCTATATATATACACACACATACCCCTAATCAATATGTAGTTTTGTTTCCCATGTCTTAAAACTGTATATAGACACCATGTGTCCAGAAAAGATTTAAAATAAATACATATTTTTTAAATAGTGACCTGACTCGGAAGACCTCCAAATTGCCAAGCTTAAGCTCCTGTGTTGTTCTTTTCCTCATCCCTTGGCTTGACTTTTTTTTCTTAGAGATGTCTGTGGCATAGCTGAATGGCTGCAATTCCCTCTCTCCTCTTACCTCAGGATTTCTGGATCCAAATCTGTGCTCCTCATCAATTTGCAGAGGGCCTTTTGGCTCTCATTGCGTGCATGGACCCACTATTTGGCTACTTCTGACTTTTCCCTTTGTTCCCACTTCTCACTTATGTTATTTGAAATTATGTATTTCTGTAAGTTGCTGCAAACTTTTTCTTATTATTGGGCAAGGCAGAGATAGATAAATAAATGAGTAAACCTGACACCTCCCAGAGGAAAGAGAAGAGTTCGAGACAGATCCCTGGCATGGTTGCAGCAGTAAGCCCGCTTTTTTGCCTTAGGATTCTGTGCTATAACTGACCAGGTCACCTTGTACTGTCACAGAGGCTAATTTGATGTTTTAATAACACTTCAGGATTAACTGCATTATTCAAAACCATGCTGTAAAGGAACATGAACCATAAACCAGCTGCTCAAACACCTTATCACACAATGTCATCGAAGACATCCCAAGTCTCCATTTGCATTTGAGTAGAAAGGTAGAATAAGGATGTAGGAAGTTGCTCTCAGGATTCCTATTTATAATGTAATATATTTAAAATTGCCTCTCTCAAACCTTCTGTTTCTTCAAAAATGGTCCCAGTGTTGATTTTCAAGGACAGGCAGGTAGCATGGTAGGTTTTTGCATCTGAAGGTAAGTCTGGGATGACAGGGAATATAGCAATTGTCTTTGGACATGACAACAGTCATCATGGGAGAGGAGAATCGTCTGCATTTTATTTATCAAGGCAATCACCAAGTCCTTCCCAGGGTTCAAGGGGAAGGGAAATATACTCTACTACTTGATAACAAGTGGCAAGGTTCTGAAAGAGCATTTGAGACTGGAAATATTGCTGTGGCCATTTTTGGAAAACACAATTTGTTAAAAGAGTAAAACGAGACATAACTATAGTTAAAATAGAGATGTAGGAAACCTAAGAAAATACTAAAATACAATGTCATTAAATTTGAAAACTTAGATGAGGTAGCTAATTTTCTAAAATATAATTTACTGAAATTGAAATAGAAAACATGGAGTAAACCAGTAACCATTACATAAATTGAATCTGAAATCAAATCTAGATTTTTTCCTGAGTGGCCCCATGGGGCAGATCCAGACCAGAGGGTTTGGTTCAGTCTCAGAAAGGAACTTCTCATGGTCAAAGCTGGCCAAAGCTGGAAGGCTTGTGCTGGATTGGATGCCTTGCTGATTCTATTTAGCACTTGTCCTTCAGTATGCATTGCCCACTGTATGCCCCTGCATTCTCTGCCTGAGGGTTTTCTCTGGCTTCAGAGGTACGCACCACCTATGCACAGAAGTGGCCAGAACTGCTAGGGAGTCAGTGCTCCCAGGAACAGTTCACAACCAAAATGCTGAGGAGTTGGTGGATAAATGCTCTGTCTTCCTTGTGCATCAGGTGGGGTATGATCTGAGGCATGCTCTTTGCACTATTCCAGAGTGTCTTATTGAGCCTTAGAGATCACAGTAGGAACACACTCATCAACCACCCTGTGGTGGCTGCCTTCCCCTCCCTGCCTCATTTCCCCACTCTATCACTCTGGATACTGAGTCTACTTCCAAAATAAACCAGTGGAACTAGAATTCTTGTCTCAGAGTCGGTTTCTGGGGGAAACTCTTGTGAACATGTTATTAGTTACAGCTTGCTTTTACCTCTTAGGGGAGATTGGTACCTGGTTATAGGAAGGCTGTCAACCGTTCATCTTTGGAGAGAGGAAGTTTGGTAAAATTAATTAAACAAATATTTATAGTATGCTTACATCAAGACTCTGAGATGGTTACTAGTGGACTCTCCTCTCCAGAAATAGATAGTTCACCAAGCATCACGCTCTAGAAATTGCAATGGAATGTCATCAGTGCTATAACTGAAGAAGGATCACAGGGTGATGGTATCACTGAGAAGGGAAGGAATCATTCTGATTAGCAGAATAAGGAAGGGTCCAAGGAAAAGTGACAATTGAGCCGGGTCTAGGAGACATCAAAGTTCAACAGGCAAGGAGGCAAAGAGAACAGAAAAAAAAAAAAAATCTTCACCAGGAGGGAAGGATTATCAAATTTATCTTCTGTCAGATTGATCATACATGTTCAGAAATAATTTAAATAAACAAGTAAAAATAAGAGAAATGATAAAAAATACAAATAAGCATGTAAGTAAATAATTTAAAAAATAATATCAAATCAAATAGTGGTAATGACTAAAGGTGTAGAGAGGTTAATGGCATTTAACAACACATGTATTGACAATTCAAACAAAAACCTTGCAAAATTATAACATACAATTTGTTGCTATTTCATGTCTTGAGACAAATGAAAAATGAGACTGATGATTGAGGTCAGCTGTGTACTTGAGTTGGCAAAAATAAAGTCCCCATCATCTGTGAAATAAAGACATTACCCATCTCTAAAATGTTTACAGATATTCTTATTACGCACTAATTATTGAAGATGGAAAATTCTGAAAGTGCTTAAGAACTCCGTGAAGACATTATAACAATGTGGATATTTGGGGCAAGGGCATGTGAATTCTCAAGGGCTGTCTCATTGCCCTCATTTATACTGTTTGGATTTTCTGATGTGACAGTCGAGAGGGGGTAATGAAAGGGGCTATGAGCTGAGAAAATCTGAGAATTCTTGAGTGCTCCCTTGGGCTACTTAAGTGAATCAATGAAAAAAAAAAGATGTATCTCTTCTGATATCTTAAGTGTTAACTGGGGCAGTGTGCCTAAGAAGTAAACAGAAGTGAGTAAACACAGACATCTAAGATGCTGGGTGAGTTACTGCTGATGTAGTTCATTCTGATTTTCATATTTATTGTTAAATGCATACCTTATCGTTCAGTAGTCTGGAATTCTGGCAGTCCTATTTGAAAGGCAATATTTTATAACAAGCATTAATACTAGTGAATTTGAATTCCATATTGTGACCTGCGTTTCACCCTTTGCTCACAGCTTTCCCCATTGGTCAGTGATGGGTGGGGGAGTGGGTAAAACACTGGAGCATCTCTCCTCAGTGGCATATTGTGCATCTTTTCCTGTCTGCCCTGGGGCACCTGCTCAGCCATATTGATGCTCAGAAGCCAGGAAGTATGAGGGAGTTAGCACCCCATGGGGAAACCCTTGATAACAGGGACAGAAACTAGCATTCTTTCCTTCTCTACTACACTTTTCCCAGGGCCCCTTTCCTATTCTTTGGGATAATTTTCTAAAATGTGCAACTGGCATGTAAGCCCTGGCCCCAGACTGTGCTTTTGGGGGTAAACTAGGCTAAGATATACACCAATTAGTTATATTCTGGACAAGTTATTTTTGCTCACTGAGCTTCTGTTTCCTCTCCAATTAAATGAAGGAATCAGGCTTGTTCATTCCTCCCAGCTTTAACAGTCTATTAGATAAAAGAAAACTGTCAAGAATGCCTGAAAATCCCATCTTCCTCAATAATTTTAAAAATCAACACTCATGATTTAACTACAATTCAGATAAGGTTTTAGGGTTTTAAACACTTCTGTTTCTCCTTGTGTGGGTGCTACAGTTCTCTGAGTTATAGCTTTTGTTATCTCCTCAGCTCTTCAGACCTTATCCTAAAGTAGTGAAAAAAAGAGGTATCTATCAGGGACCATAGCAATGCTGATTGTTGTAGGTCTATGCCCTTACTACTTTTCTGCCCTTCACAATTACTGCTACAGTGGAAAACTCTGGAATGGGGTTTGGTCTCTGTAAATGATGGCAGCATTGCTGAGTCTGATGGTCATGACAGGCCCGGAAAGAGGTGATATGCTGTCAACGAACACTAGTTTTGATCACATGGAGCAATGAAGAAATGAAGACAAACCAGAAATTCTCCACTCACAAATTTCACGATCAGTGTTCAGAACTAGGAACATTGGACCGGACACGTTTTAAGAAGCAGCAGATTCCCATTCAGTTACAAACTTTAAGGCAGTTTACGATTGAGACTAAATATTTAGTACTAAGAGTGATGTCAGTAAGATGGCAGAATACGACTTTCCACTGCATGTCCCTTTGCAGAAACATCAATTTGAACAACTATCCAATGCACAAAAATATCTTCACAAGAGCTAAAGAATCCAGGTGAGAGATTCTAGCACCTGGATGCAGTGCAGAAATAACAAAAGACACATTGAAGAGGATAGGAAGGACAGTTTTACATTACCTGTGTTACCTTTTCCCCAAGCCTGGGCAGCACAGCAGGGAGAGAGATATCATCTGCATGGAGGAAGGGGAGTGAAGTGAGCATCCAATTTTGCTGTGGACCTTGGCCTGAGGCCCACCCCAGTGAAACACAGTGTCAGGTGAGCACTCATAACCCCAGAATAACCCAGTGCCAGGCTGGCCTTTATATCCTCAGGCTCCAGGTCTGCCTCAGTGGCTGTGATGGTTAATACTGAATGTCAACTCGATTGGATGGAAGGATGCAAAGTATTGATCTTGGGTGTGTCTGTGAGGGTGTTGCCAAAGGAGATTAACATTTGAGTAAGTGGGCTGGGAAAGGCAGACCCACCCTTAATCTGGGTGGGCACAATCTAATCAGCCAGGATATAAAGCAGGTAGAAAAAATGTGAAAAGGATAGACTGGCTTAAGCTCCCAGCCTACATCTTTCTCCTGTGCTGGATGCTTCTTGCCCTCGAACATCAGACTCCAAGTTCTTCGGCTTTGGGACTTGGACTGGCTTCCTTGCTCCTCAGCTTGGAGATGGCCTATTGTGGGACCTTGTGATTGTGTGAGTTAATACTCCCTAATAAACTCCCATATATATGTGTATCTATCTATCTATCTATCTATCTATCTATCTATCTATCTATCTATCTATCTATCGCTCCTACTAGTTCTGTCCCTCTAGAGAACCCTGACTAAATACAGTGGCCCAGGCTCCAGGCTGGCCCTGCAGCTATAGGCTTCATGCTCCCCTCCATAGTCCCAGGCTCCAGGCCAGCTCCAGTGCCAGACTTGTACCCAAAGACCCCAGTTCCAGGCCAGGCCCCATAGCACCAGGCTTCAAACTCACCCTAGTGCCAGTCCAGCTCCTGCAGACCCAGCCTCCAGGCCTTCCTCAGCCCCAGTCTAGGCTCCACAGCCCCAGGCTCCAGGCTGGCACCTACGGCCTAATGCTCCAGTGGACTCAGCATCCAGTCCTGTCCTGGTAGACTCTGGCACTAGGCTGGCCCCTGCACACCTAGGCTCCAGAACCACTCTCATGGACCCAAGCACCAGGCTGGTTACCGTGTACTTAGTTTCCAGGCTAGCACTTGCAGACCCTGCCTCTAGGATAGCCCCCAGAGGCTCAGGGTCAAGACCAGCTCCAGTACCAGGCCATCCTTTGTGGATTCACCTAGGCTTCAGACCACCCCCATGGATTTAGGCTCTAGGCATAGCCCCTGAAACCCGAGCACCAAGCCCACCCACCTACTGACCAAGGCACCAGGCCAGCCTGCCTGATGACTCCAACAGCAAGCCCACTTGCAGGCCTCACTAGATGGCCCACTCAGAATTTCTGGATGAGCTGACTGGTGAAAGATTTTGCCTGCTGAAGCCAGTCTGTAAAGATTAGAATAGGTGTCCACTTCTTCATATGTGCACATACCAACATATAGCCACAAGGATCATGAATAATCAGGGAAACATGATACTACCAAAGGAACAAAATATAATACAAGTAACAAACCCTAGAGAAATATAGGTGTATGAACTGCGTGACAAAAATTCAAAATAATCATCCTGAAGAAGCTCATTGAGCTACAAGAGAACACAGATATACAACTAAACCAAAATTAAGAAAAGAGTACACTAACAAAATTAGAGGTTCAACAAGGAGATATAAACCATTAAAAACCAAACAGAAATTCTGGAGATAAAGATCACAATGACTAATTGAAAAATTCCATAGAGAGCTTCACCAGCAGACTTAATCAAGCAGAAGAAAGAATCAGTGAGCTTAAAAACATGTCATTTGAAATTACCCATCAGAGGAACAAAAAGAACAAAGAATAAAAAAGAGTGAAGAAGGCCTATGAGACTTAAGAAACACCATCAAGTGAACCAATATACTCATTCGTTATGTGAATTTCAGAAGGAGCAGAGAAAGAGAAAGAAGACAAAAGCTTATTTAAAGGAATAATGACAGAAAATCCCCAAAATCTGGAGAGAGAAATAAACACGCAGATCCATGAATCCCAAAGAACCCCAAATATATTAAATGTAAAGAGATATTAACTGAGACACATTGCAATGAAATTCTTAAAAGTTAAAGACAAAGAGAAAAATTTGAAAGCAGCAAGAGAAAAGCAACTCAGCACATACAAGGGAACCCCCATAATACTTAAGCATATTCCTCAGCAGAAACCTTGCAGGTCAAGAGAAAGTGGGATGATGTGGGTGGTATATTTAAAGTGCTGAAAGAACAAAACTGCCAATCAAGAACCCTATACCCCTCAAGTCTGTCCTCCAGAAAGGAAGGAGAGATAAGAACTTTCCCAAACAAACAAAAGTGGGAGTTCATCACCACTAGACCTGTATTACAAGAAATGCTAAATGGAATTCTTCAAGTTAGAATAAAAGGACACTAATTAAAAACAAGGAAACATATGAAAATATAAAACTCATCATGAATGAAATAATACAAATTCACAATACTGTAATAATGTAATGGTGGTACATAAATCGCTTTTAACTCTAGTATAAAAGTTAAAAGACAAAGGTATTAAAAATAGCTATAGCTACAACAATTTGTTAATGGATACGTATTACATACAAGATGTAAATTGTGGGGAGGCCAAGGTGGGCGGATCATGAGGTCAGGAGATCGAGACCATCCTGGCTAAAACGGTGAAACCCCATCTCTACTAAAAATACAAAAAAATTAGCCGGGTGTGGTGGTGGGCCCCTGTAGTCCCAGCTACTCGGGAGGCTGAGGCAGGAGAACGGTGTGAACCTGGGAGGCGGAGCTCGCAGTGAGTTGAGATCACGCCACTGCACTCCAGCCTGGGCGACAGAGTGAGACTCCATCTCAAAAAAGAAAAAAATTAAATTAAATTAAATTTAAAAATTAAATAAATAAATAAAAAGATGTAAATTGTGACATACAATAACATACAATGTGGTACAAGATAAACTGAAGTGTAGAGTTTTGTATATGGTGAAAGTGAAGTTATTTATCAGCTTAAGTTAGACCGTTATAAGATGTTTTATATAAGCCCCATGGTAGCTACAAAGAAAAAAGAAAATATGTACAAGATGCAAAGAAAGGAATGAAAGCATACCACTACAAAAAACAAATGAACAAACAGAAACCAAGAAATGAACCTACACTAAATCACAAAGGAAGACACTGAAAAGGAAGAATGGAACAACAACCACAAAATCCTACAAAACTACCATTGATAAAATGGCAGTAGTAAATCCTTACCTATCAACAATTACATTAAATGTAAATAGATCAAATTCTCTAATTAAAAGATGGAATGACTAAATGAATTTTAAAAACAAGATTCAACTGTATGCTGCCACAAAGGACTCACTTTAATTTTAGTGACACACATAGGCTGAAAGTGAAGGGATGGGAAAAGATGTTTCATGCAAATGGTAACCAAAAGAGAGAAGGATTGAGTATACTTATATGAGAAAAAATAGACTTTAATTCAAAAATTACCACAGGAGACAAGGTCATTATATAATGGTAAAGAAGTCAATTCATCAAGAGAAATAACAATTGTAAATATATATGCGCCCCAAATCAAAACACCTAAATAGATAAAGCAAATATTAACAGAAATGAAGCAATAGAGTAATAGCAGGGGCTCTCAATACACAATTTTTAATAATGCGTAGATCATCAGGTCAGAAAATCAATAAGGAAACAGAGGATTTGAACAATATTATAGACCAAATGGATCTGACAGACATATACAGAACATTTCATCCAACAGCAGCAGAATACACATGCTTTGCAAGCACACATGGAATATTATTCAGGATAGATCATATGTTAGGCCATGAAGCAAGTGTCAGCAAATTCAAAAGACTGAAATCACATCAAGCATCTTTTTTGACCACAATGGTATAAAACTAGATAAAAATACAGGAGGAAATTGGGAAATTCACAAATGTGTGAAATTTAAACAGTACACTTTTAAATAACCAATGGGTCAAAGAAGAAATCAGAAGGGAATTAAAAATATCAATACAAATGGAAGTGAAAACAACATATCAAAACTTATGAAATATAGGAAAAGCAGTTCTAAGAGGGGTGTTTATAGCAATAAATGCCTACATTAAGAAAGAAGAAAGATCTCAAACAACCTAACCTTACACCTCAAGGAACTAGTAAAAGAAGAAGAAACTAATCCTGAAGTCAGCAGAAGGAAGAAAATATAAAGATCAGAGCAGAAATAAATGAAATAGAAATTATAAAAACAATTTTAAGAAATCAATAAAACTGAGAGTTAGTTTTCTGAAAAGATAAACAAAATTTAGAAACCTCTAGCTAGACTAAGAAAAAAGCAGAGAAGACTCAAATAAGTAAAATTAGAAATGAAAGAGGAGACATTATGCCAGATACCTCAGAAATAAGAAGGATTATAAAAGACTGTTACAAGTAATTATATACCAACAAATTGGATTGTCTAGGAGAAATGAATAAATTCCAAGAAATACACAACATACCAAGACTGAAGCACAAATAAATAGAAAATCTCAACAGAACAATAATGAAAAAAGAGATTGAATCTGTTATTAAAAACCTTTTAACAGAAAATTTCAGGACGTGATGACTTCACTGGTAAATTCTGTCAAGCATTTAAAGAAAAATTAATGCTAAATTCTTCCTAAACTCTTCCAAAAACTTGAAGAGGAGGGAACACTTCTAAACTCATTTTATGAAGCCAGCTTTACCCTGATACCAAAGCCAGACAAGAATGCTACAAGAAGAGAAAATTACAGGCCAATGTCCCTGATGAACATAGATGCCAAAATCTTCAACAAAATATTAGCAAAACAAATTCAACAGCACATGAAAAGGATCATACACAATGATCAAATAAGATTTATCCCTGAGATGCAAGGATGTCTCCACACATGCACATCAATCAATGTGATACACAATATTAACAGAATGAAGGATAAAAAAATCATATAATCATGTCAATAGGTGCAGAAAAAGCATCTGACATTCTTTCATGACAAAAACTCTGAACAAATTGGGTATAGAAAGAATGCATCTCAACATAATAAAGACCATATGAGAGGAGTCAAAAAGTCTGTGGAAAAATGGAAATAAAATGTAAAAATAAAAAATATCAACTTTATTTCTCAACATAAGTTCCATCAAGGTCAAGAAAGTTTTATAAGTGATAGTACCAGCTATTTAGTTCATCCCTAAAAAACTGAGTGTCCTGGGAATTTAACCATGGCAATGCAGCCTTTTTTACATTATTAACTGAAGAAAAATGGGTGCCCCTTACAGATTTTTAGGAAATAAAAAGACTTTCTAAATAGGAAATAAAAATATTTTCTTACTTTCAGGGAATAAAAATATTTGTTAGGAAACAAAAAGACGTCTGAAGGAAACAAATCAGGATTTTAAGGTGGAATGCCTAATGATTTCTCAACAAAACTTTTGCAAAACTACTCTTATTTGATGAGAGAAATGAGCAGAAACATTGTGTGGTGAAGAAGGACTCCCTGGTGAACTTTTCCTGAGCATTTTTCTGCTAAAGCTTCGGCTAACTTTCTCAAAACACTCTCATAATAAGCAGATGTTATTGTTCTTTGGCCCTCCAGAAAATCAGCAAGCAAAATGCCTCGAGCATTTTAAAAAACTGTTGCTGTGACTTTTGCTCTTGACTGGTCTGCTTTGCTTTTGACTGGATCACTTCCACCTCTTGGTAGCATTGCCTTGATTGCTCTTTGTCTTCAGGATCATACTGGTAAAGCCATATTTCATCTCCTGTTACAATTCTTTGAAGAAATGCTTTAGGATCTTGATCCCACTTATTTAAAATTTCTATTGATTTTGGCACCCATCGAGTGGAGAGTTTGCTCAACTTTAATTTTTCAGTCAGAATTGTATAAGCTGAACCAATTGAGATGTCTATGATGTTGGCTATTGTTTGCACTGTTAATTATAAGTCCTCTTCAATTAGGGCACAAATAAGACTTTTTCCTTGCAAATTGATGTGAGTGGTCTCCTGTTGTGGGCTTCATCTTCAACATTGCTTTGTCCCTTCATAAAATAAACTATCCATTTTTAAACTGCTGATTTCTTTGGTGGGGATTGTCCCCATATAGTTTCCATAAAGCATAAATGATTTCACCATTCTTCCACCCAAGCTTCATCATAAGTTTGATGTTTGTTCTTGTTTCAGTTTTAGCAGAATTCATGCTCCTCTAATAGGGGCTCCTTTCCAAGTAATGTCTTATTCTTCTTAGTACCTCAAACTAGATCCCGTTCAGACATATTATAATAAGTTAGTACAAGTTTGTTTTGGTGTGAAAAAGATTTGAAACACATGCGCAGTGTTTTCATAATATGCATTTTCCATGAACTTTTTGAAAATCCCATGGTTAACATCATACTCAATGGTGAAAAGTTGAAAGCTTTTTCTTTACAATTGGGAACACAGGATGCCCATTCTCATTCTTTCTAATTAATATAGTATTGAAATTTCAAGCCAAAGCAATTGGCAAGAAAAGAAATAAAATTGGAAAGGAAGAAATAAAACAGTCTCTGTGGATGGCACAATCATTTAGAAAACCCTAAAAACTCCACCAAAATACTGTTAGAACTAATAAACAAACTGAGTAAAGTTGTAGGATATAAAAGTGACTTACAAAAATTAATAGTGTTTCTGTACATTAACAATAAACTATTTTTAAAAAATCAAGAAAAATCTCATTTACAATAGCATAAAAACACTTAAGAATAAATTTAACCAAGGAGGTGAAAGACATGTACACTGAAAACTATAAAACATTGACAAAAAAAGCTAAAGAAGACACAAATAAATGGAAAACTATCCCATGTTCATGTACTGGAAGTATTAATATTGTTAAAATGTTCATATTACCAAAAGTGACCTAGAAGTTCAATGCAATTCTTATCAAAATTCCAGTGACTTTTTTCACAGAAATAGAAAAATCAATCCCAAAATTCAGATGGAACCAAAAAAATACCCTGAATAGCCAGAACAATTTTGAGTGAAAAGAACAAAGCTGGAAACATCACACTGCCCGATTTCAAAATTACTGCAAAGGTATGCTAATCAAAACAAAATGATATTGTCATAAAAACAGATATATAGACCAATGGAACAGAGTAGAGAGCCCAGAAATAAATCTACACATTTAACATTAACTGAACTTTGACACATGTACCAAGAACTCAATGGAGAAATAATAGTCTCTTCAATGAATGGTGTTGGGAAAACCGGACATCCACGTAATTGGACACTTTGTACACCATGCACAAAAATCAACTCAAAAGCAAATAGAGACTTAAATGTGAAATCTGAAACTATGAAACTACTAAAATAAAACATAGGAGAAAAGCTTCCCGAAATTGGTCCAGGCAATGAGTTTTTGAATATGACCCCAAAAGCACAGGAAACAAAAGCAAAAATACACAAATGGGATCGTAACCAACTAAAAAGCTTCTGCACAGCAAAGGAAGCAATCAACAGAATGAAAATACAACTTATGGAATGAGAGAAAATATTTGCAAAGCATATATCTAATAAGGGGTTAATATCTAAAATGTATAAGAAATTCAGAATTCAATAGCAAGAAAATAAATAACCCAACTAAAGCATGGGCAGAGCAACTGAATAGACATTTCTCAAAAGAAGACATACAAATTGCCAACAGTTAATTGTCTTTGCAATTGGCTTGTGGCTACCTGAAAATATCTTAATTATTTATTGACTTGTTTGTTTTCTCTCCCTGCCCACTAGAATGTGGGCTCTGGGAGAGTAGGGACCTGTGTGTTTTGTTGACCATAGTGTCCTCGACAGTATAGACAGGGCTTAAGATTTAGTGCTCAACAAATATGGATTAAATTTGTTCACCAAAGTCCTCCAAAAAGGGGGTATTACTCATATCCATAAGGGGTATATGTCAAAAGGAACCCGAAAGTTAAAAATCTGGCTGATTTTGGAGATGAAGGGGCGTTCTTGTCCTCAGTAACTCATTTTGACACAGGTTCTTGTGCAGCGAGAAGCCATGGAAAACAAGGTGCCAAGCTCTTAGCTCATACTATTCAAAACAGAGCATACCCTAATACTAGGGATTTGGAAAAAAACTTGTGCCCACGGGCTGCTCTGAGGTGAACCAGCTGGCAGGCTATGTGCTGTTATGCGCACCTTGAAGATGCTTAGGGTTCTCCCTGTCCCATTCCCAGATGCTGTCCAACACAGCACCTGGGAAGTTAGGAAGAGAATGACAGTCAGCTGACCATGGAATTGGTCCCCAGAGGTTGAGCAAGGAAGTGACCAGTGGCTGGTCCCACCACCTATTCTTGGGGTTGGGCCAGGCTGAGCTGGTGTTGGGTTCAGTTGTGAACCAGAATTTGTTGCAGCAGGAGCTGGGGAGCTCAGCTTTTAATTTGAATCAGTGAGAGGGTTGGACTGATTGATGTCGAGGAAGTAGAGCTTGGAGAGTGGGGCAGACACCCAGGTGTGCCGGTCCTTTCATCTTCACATCAAATGCTACCTGGTGAGTTACAGGGCACAGGCTGGGGGTGTGGGGGCCGAGGGGTAGGCAGCTGCTGCTCAAAAGCAGAGACAGGCCACATGGCTGAAGACAGATCCTGGCTTCCTGTCAGACAGCTGCCTGCAAATAATAACCTGCAATTTCCTGGGAGGGGCAGACAGGTAAGAGTCTCTTAGTAGATGAAAGAGCTACGACTGATAATATAGGTAATGGAATTTTAACAAATTAATTCATTTATTACTTATTCATTCATTTGTTAATTTAACAAGCCTCTGCAGCCTAGCTCCTAAAAGCACAGTCCATGCACCAGCAGCATGAGCATCACCTGGGAGAGCTTGTCAGAAATTCAGGATCTCAGACCCCACCCCAGTCCTGCAGAACTACAGTCTTCATTTAAACAAAACTCCCAGGGATTCCTTAGCCACCCAAAAGTCAGAAGGCCTGATCTACAGGATAACTGCTGCACCCACTACTGGGTAGGGCCCTACAGGGATGCTGGAAGGGTGCATCTGGCAAACATCACTCCCTCACTGGGAGGCACTTTGAGAAGAAGGGCCAGGTGCAACTTCCTGCAGGTGTTACTTTGAGAAGACACATTTCACACCTGGTTCATTTCTATCCAAAGTTCATGTAACATCTGCCTACTTCAACGAGATAGGAACACAAATGACAATAACACATAGCAGTGATGATACAGCAGGGGAGGTATGAGGGCCTTTTCTTAATGGCATTTGAAATGAAGTTGCCAGTGGCCCCAGTCCCTTCTCTTGTGGCCTCTCCCCATCCTGCTAAAATTCCCAGTGTCCTTTCATCAAAGAAAACCTATTCTTTATGGAACGAATCTACCAAGAATCACTTACACCTCTGTGCGAATTCAATCAATGAATATTTGCATTTCTATACTTTTGATACCTGTTCCAGCTGTGCCAGAGTTTACAAACTCATGGGGGAGGAATTTGTGTGCAGAAAAGTTACACTGTTCAGGCAAGCCTTGCCAGCTTAGAATGCAGGTCCTGAAAACAATGCTGTCAACACAGAAATCTAAAAAGCAGTTTACCATTTATAAAATTATTTCCTTAGGCACCAACTTTATAGATGAAAAGACTGAAGTTCAGAGAGGCTGTGACTTGCCCAAAGTCACACAACTAGTAAGTGGTTAAACTGAGATTTCAGCCTCGTCTTCAACTATAATTTTTTTGTTCTTTATACTGTTTAGGCGCTTCTATATCAGGAGAATTCTTGTCTATCCAAGAATACCAAGTCCCTCTTCTCTATTTTTCATTACTTCATGCAAAAAATATTTTGGTCGGCACCTTTTTGTGTTTAGAGTTGAGAAAAGAGGACAAGTAAAGGGGAAATATTTCTCTCTCTTCACCCATCCAATTGCTATTTTCAACCTCAAGAACCTTACAGACCAATAAAGGAGAAAAGACATACTGAGAACACTGTATCATATTCCTATTCCTCTGGTAGGGACTAAACTTGGCTTCAACATCCAATTTTTTGGCCCCATAAAGTCTGACGTCCTCCCAGTGACAAACACTAATTTTCAGAGTTACCCTCTCTTGGGGCTCTTTACTGCCAACTCCTGAATCAAGTATGCTAACAACATCTCATTCTGCGTCAGTGGACACATGGAACTAAGCCACTTTACCACAGTCCAGAAAAAATCCACTTGTGCCAAGCATTTTGTGAATTTAGATAATGTGTTGAAAGCTGAGAGTCACGGAGTGGCAATCGCCTTGTGGGTATGTGGTTGTTCTTCCTTTCCTCCGTCTATCCTGCTCACCCACTCTTCCCGACTCTGGGAAGCCACAATTCTTCCTCCTTGGGGGCAAGTCATTCAGCCATCTCCTAATCCTCAAGTTGTATAACCCAAATGTATCATAGCACTCAGAAGGAAAAAAGGACTTTCCCTCTGCCATGAGAACTTTAGATTGCAGCTGATATTTTATTTTTAAATAAATGATTTTATTAACAGGTAATGTGCACACATTAGAAGCACATCATTTGATAATTTTCCACAAAGTGAACACACCTGTGTAACCATTAGGCAGACCTAGACACAAGGCAAGAGCAGCATCCAGAGCCTCCTGTCTGAGACAGGTGGTAATTTTAATAGAAAATTCTTGCTATTATACACATGAGAGGAACATGGAAAGTGCCATGAGAAGTGAACAATATCTTGCCAGAAAATGGAGGAGACTTTGACCTGGGTAAAGGGAGCAAAGAGGGCTCCAGACTCGAACCCTGCAAGATGGATGGCATTTGGTCCAACAGAGAAGGGCTGGGTGCATGAGTGGGATGTGCCTAGTGGCAGAAATGGCTTGACTGTACAAAAGTGCATGGAGGGTTTCCACTATCAGTGAGGAGCCCAGTCTGGTCTGTGTCTGGAGGTGGGGAAGGGTGGGGTAGAGTGTTGGAGAAGCTAAGGCTGGAACCACGTTGTGAAGGATCTGGAATGGCAGTGTCAGTGTTGTCCAGTGGTTTTTGCACAATTTTAGATATATCTGCTAAGACTCAGTGTTGCAACTGACAAAAAAAAATACCAGGTTTGTTTAAGGAAAAAAAATGCTGTATTGCCTCAGACATTACTTGATCCAGGGTTCAAATGATGACTGAGACTACTTTTCCTTGCCTCCTTTTGTTATTTTAACTGTGTCCTTGGTGTTGCCACCTTTTAATGTGGGTTTCCCCAAAGCAGACCCTGAGGCAAGAATTTGACTGTGATTTGGAAGATGCAGGAGGTACCAGTGAGAGTGTGGGGAAGTGAGACAGGGAAGGGAAGATAGCCAAAAAGCGGTGCAGGATCCAGCCAGCTCTCCCTGTGGGTATCTGGAGCTTAATCCCACAGTGCAGCTCTGGGAAACCTGGTGGATTGCATGCCTCAGTGTTACCCACCTGAGGGGCGAGGCAGCTGGGGCAACAATTCCCATCAGTCGATGGTAGAGGGCCTCCCTGAGGGAGTATTAATTCCCCGGCGCTTCCAGCTGCTGGGCACTCAGGCAGTGCAGCCTTCGGAGAGTTCTGAGAAAGCCCATGGGCAAAGAGATGCAGCTGGAAGCGGCTGGCACCCTGAAGCGGAGAGAACCCGTAACAGCTGCCTGACAGCTTCAGCCTCTTCTTCACTCTTAGTAGGCTCTGCCTTTACACACACACACACACACAAACACACACAAACGGCAGCCCCATGTCTTGGGGATGGAAATAAGAGATTTTCTTTCCCAATAACTGAACAAAAAAACTGATCCTGGCTTTCATTTTATCCAAATTGGGTCACTTAAATGACTCCCTGAGGTCAGCGGGAGGTGATACTTCTAGGAAAGGATCCTCATGCAGTTAACTGACTCGGCAGAGGAGGGAGGAGAATGAGTCCACAGGGCAAAACAAGGAGTCCGGCTGGGGTGTCATGGGAGTGTCCCGTAGACAACTGGTGTGTGGTACTGAAGCCTGAAGCCTGAGGAAGAGCTTGGACTGAAAACATTTAAGTGTGTGTGTGTGTGTGTGTGTGTGTGTGTGTGTGTGTGTGTGTGTGTCTTCATTTGGGTTTCTGCAAGGTAGACCCTGAGACGAGGACTTGGGTGCCGGTTGTTTATTTGGGAGGTGATCCCAGAAAGCAGCCATGAGGGAGTGGGAAAGTGAGTCAGGGCAGGAGGAGAAACCCATTCAAGGGGCATTAATGAGCACAGTGCTCTGCGGGCAAGTGGGCTCCCTCCCGCTGGGGCCCTCTGGGAACCAGGGTAGAACATACCTCAGAATTTCTCACCAAGGTGTAGCAAACTGGAGTTTCCTTCACTATCTCCCATCCCTCATTGTCTGAGAAACTTTCTGAGGCATCTACTCTCCCATCTTTCAGACCTAAGCTGTATGTGGGCCCGGCGTGTGCCTGTGGCCGGAGAACGCCCCCAGGTCGACAGGTACGGAGGCCCAGGACGGAGAGCCTCAGCAGGTGGGCATCCACCGGCTGCAGGAGTCCTCCAGCGTGCAGCGAGGGTATGTGGCTGGGACACCGTCCTCATCTGCTGCTGTATCCTTCCTGTCCTTGGTGGAACCCCCTGGTGGGCGGGGAGGGCAGAATTCCCCCACCCCTCACTCCCGGTGCCCACCCCTTTTCATCTTTGAATTCACCATTCTCTGCTCCCAGGTAGCCCAGAGCCCCTGTCTTCTCTAACATGACTGTCTGTACCTCCACATTGGCCCCGGCTGTGCGTGTTCTAGTTAGTAAATGCAGCTCTTTGATAAACTCCCACATTACAAAGAATCCAGGAATAAAGGCTTGGGGTTGGGGTGTGTGTGTCAAATGTTACTCCAAGAATGTCCCTGGGAATGGAAATAGCAGTTATGTGGGCAGGAAAATGATTATGTGATCTGGCCTGTGTCTTTTGGTTTAATTAAATCAGTGATACTCAAGTGGCCTAGAGGGTGTTTTAGAAGGTTCTGGGGAGCCTTTTTCAAACCAGACACTTCCTCTAATGGGTCCCACTGCAGAGGTGGGGGGGTGGGGACATGGCCTCCTCTCTGCCTCCCTGGTGGAGAATCCCTGTGTGTAATTTGGGAAGTTACTGATGGGTGAACTTTGGAATGTAGACAATGTGAAGGCAGAGGGAAGGCTGAGAATTACTGGTTTGAAATACAACCCTGGATCCACAAGTGTGGCAGAGTGGGAGAAACTTGTGGAGAGAAGACATATGTTTGAATTCAGAGCTGACTAGCCACTGAGCTTCTCTGGGCCTCTGTGTCATTATCTGTAAAATGGGAATGTTAATGCAAATGGCCTGGGGTTGTTGTGGGAATTCAGTTTCTGGCATATTTGATTGCACTTTTTTTTGTTTTTGTTTTTGTTTTTTTTTTGCTGTTAACTCTGAGTGATCTTTAATGCAGAGCCCCTAATCCAGTGTGACTATGGGATAGCAATCTCCTGGTCCCTCCCTTCCACCCACATTGCTGACCTCCTGCTAGGCTGGTCAGTGTCTGCCTCACAGCACAGCTGGAGGCCCCTCTGTTGTTATCAAAAGCGTCCCTGATGCTGGGGGGTGGTTAGGGGCGTTCCTCATCACCTCATGGTCACAGGCCTTGTAGAGCCACCTCACTCTTTTTGGGCGGAAACCTTAGGAGAGCAGGAGGTGCCCCAGAGGCTGTTTCAGATGTCCCAAAGGCTAGAATGTGGATAAGGCCTGCTTGTGGGTGTTTGTCAGTAAAGACGTAGCTGAGGCTGGACTAGCATTCTTCCTTGAGCATTCTTCCTTGCAGAGAGAGGGGAGTGAGAGCCCTGAGCAGATCACCTCCTCAGAGACGCCTTTCTGACTCTCCCGCCACTCACCTAGGACAACACCTCCCTTGCTTTGAGCTCTACAGAGCACACTCTCACCAAAGAACTGCCAGTCTCTTCCATTACATGCTTTCTCCCCTTCTTATATGCCTTTAATTAATACTAAAATCATTGCCCTCAAACATTCAATATAATCTATAGTTTTAAAAATACAATAAACAAAGAAAATAGCACACACACAAAATAGCACACATGAGAAAATGCCTTTTACTTTCCAAAAAAGACGCTGATTACTGTGGATTCTCCAAGAAGCCTGGGTAAGTTAACAATTACTCCTAAATGCAAATGCAAACACAAATGTCGTCAGAGTGAAAAGCCACTTGCTATCGTTTGGAGGAGAGGAAGTGGGTGGAAATTCCCAGGAATTCCCTTGGTGAATCCTGCAGAGGCATTGCCTCAGGGAGACTGACCCCAAATATAGCAGGTGCAGCTGGCCCCAGGCTGGAATGCACTCCTCGGCTGTTCTTCACCCTGAGCCAGCAGGGACTCTGCCTGATACTGCACTCTCTCTTTTCTGCCTCCTGGATCAGGGTGACATGCTTTGAGCCTTTTTTTTTTTTCTTTAAAGCTCTACGTGACAAAATAAAAAGGAAATCACTGAGCCCTCTTTCCTCCCCTATTTGCTTTACCTAGTGAGAGCTAAGGACACAGTTTTGGCTCTTTTTTGGTAGATTGCTCCATGCACACATGAATTCACTAAGAATCGAAGCAGAAAGCTCCTGTGATGAGAACCTGCTCAGTTAAAGTCACCCTAGTGCGGGACCTTTAAGACTGCCTGTTGCAGAAGAACTCTACTGAGATGAAGATGCGAAGTAACTATCTAGTACATTCCACTGCTGAAACAATGGTACAACCCTGGGCATAATCCATTCTGAAATAAGGTGCAACATAAATGAAGAAAAAAAGTACGTAATGTTAGCTACATATTAGTACATATCATTCTCTGTATTTGCTGGTTCCACATCCATGGATCAAAATCTGTAGATACCGAGAACCGACTGTATCTATTTTCCATCCATGGTTGGTGGAACCCACAGACTGGGTTGCAGGGGTCTGACTGTACTGTGCCATTTTATGTAAAGGACTTGAGCATCAGAGGATTTGGTGTCTGCAGGGGTCCTAGAACCAATCTTCCACAGTTAGGGAGGGCCGAATGTATATTTAGCATTTACATGTGCAGTGTATTTTCAGAATGGTTTGCAAGTACTCTGAATTCAGGAACTCAATATGTGTGATGCACACCCATATTCAAATTTTTCTGTAATAGGATTTGCTGAAAGGGGGAGAAAAGATTGGATTATTCACAAAAAGCTGTTAGAAAGAAAGAAATGATATTGTACTCCAACACCACACCATACACAGAAATATATTCTAAGTGGATTAAGAAGTTAAATCTAAAAGAAAAAGTACAGTCATGCACTGAAAATGATGTTGCAGATAACAATGGTGATTATAATGGAGATTATAATGAAGGTGAAAAATTCCTCTCACTGAGTGACGTGTGGCCATCATCAAGTTGTAGCACAACATTACTCACATGTTTGGGGTGATGCTGGTATAAACAAACCTGTGTTGCCAGTTGTATAAAGGCATAGCACATACAACAATGTACACTATGTAACACTTGATAATAAACAACTGTGTTACTGATTTTTGTATTTACTATACTATACTTTTTATCATTAGTTTAGCGTGTACTCCTTCTCCTTATATAAAAAAAAGTTAACTGTGAAACAGCCTCAGGCGGGTCCTCCAGGAGGTATTCCAGAAGAAGACATTCTTATCATCAGAGATGACAGCTCCATGCATATTATTGCCCCGAAGACCTACCAGTGGAACAAGATGTGGAGGTGGAAGACAGTGATGTTGATTATCCTGACCCTGTGTAGGCATGGGCTAATGTGTGTACTGGTGTCTTAGTTTTTAACAAAAAAAGCTTAAAAAGTAAAAAAAAAAAAAATTATAGAATAAGGATATAAAGAAAGAAAATAGTTCCATATAGCTAGCTGTACAATGTATTTGTGTTTTAAGCTAAATATTGTTAAAAAAAAAAAAGGGTCAAAAAGTTAAAAAAATTCAAAAACTTAGGCTTTTGTGTTTATGTGCAGTGTTTATAAAGTTTGCAGTGGTGTGATTTCTTGGCCTTCCCATTCACTCACCACTCACTCACTGACTCACCCAGAGTAATTACTAGCCCTGTAAGCTTCATTCATGGTAAGTGCCCTATATAGGTGCACTGTTTTTAAATCTTTTGCATCATATTTTGACTGTACTTTTTCTATGTTTAGATGTGTTTAGATACACAAATCCTTACCGTTGTGTTACAATTGCCTAGTATTCAGTACAATAACATGCTGTATAGGTTTATAGCCTAGGAGCTATAGGCTAGACCATAAAGCCTAAGTATGTAGTAGGCTGCGCCATCTAGGTTTGTGTAAATACACTCCATGATGGTTGCACAAAAATAAAATTGCCTAATGGTGCATTTCTTAGACTGTATCCCCATTGTTAAGGGACTCATGACTGTATAAAGGTATTAGAATAAAACACAAGATAGTTTCTTTTAAAAAAATTTTGGATGAAGGAGCTTAGCAACATTGCAAGAGACAAGGTCAATATACAAAAATTAACCACATTTTTACACACTAGCAATGAAAAACTGAAAAATTGAAATTTTAAAGAGTACCATTTTTAATAGCACCAAAATGTGGATACTTAGGTGCAAATTTTACAAAGTATATTCCAGTATGCTGAAAACTACAAAAAAACTGATGATAGAAATTAAAGAAGTCTCCTAAATAGAAATGTACTGTGTTCATGAATTAGAAGACTCAGCATAGTTTAGATATCAGTTATCTTCAAGTTGATCTGTATATTCAGTGCCATTCAAATCGACACCCCAGCAGGCTTTTTGTAGACATTGACAAACTATTCTAAAATGTATATAGAAATGCAGAGGAACTAGAAGAGCCAAAACAATTTTGAAAAAGAACAGGGTTAGAGGACCGACACTACTGGATTTCAAGGCTTATTATAAAGCTACGGTGATAAACAGTGTGATATTTGTCAAAAGTAAACATGAAGATCAATAAGACAGAATATAAAGTCCAAAAATGGACCCGCAGATATATGCTTGATTGATTTTCAACAAAATTGCAAAGGAAATTTAATAGAATAGGCATTGCCTTTTCAGCAAATGATGTGGGAGCAATTGGACATCTACATGCAAACAGACAAAAATCCCTGATCCATATCTCACACCATAAACAAAAACCAACTCAAAATTGATCATAGATCTAAATGTAAACCCCAAAACTATAAAGCTGTAGCGGAAAATAGAGGATAAAATCTTTGTGAATGTGGGTTAGGCAAAGATTTCTTAAATATACCACCAAAAGCAAGATTCATAAAAGAAGAATAATAAATTAGACTTTATTAAAATTAAGAACTTCTGCTCTTTGGAAACATTGTTTAAGGTAATTGGAAGACAAGCTATAGACTGGTAAAGAATATTTGCAAATCACATAGCTGATAGAGTTACTGCATATATTCAGAACTCTTAAAATTCAACAATAAGATAACAAACAACCCAATTAAAAATGAACAAAGAAGTGAATGGACATTTTACCAACAAGATATATAGATAGCAAGTAAGCATATATCATTAGAAAAATGCAAATTAAAATCATGAGATATCCCTACACAACAATTAGAATGGCAAAAGAAAAAGAAAGTAGAGAGAAAGAAAGAATTTTAAAAAAGGAAGGAAGGAGAGAAGGAAAGAATGAAGAAAGGAAGGAAGGGAGGGAGGAAGGAAGGAAGGAAGGAAGGAAGGAAGAAAAAACATCATTAATAACAAGGAAAAAGAAACATTATTAATAACAATGTGGAGAAACAGAAACTCGTATTTTGCTCGTGCAAATGCAAAATGATGTAGCCATTTTGGAAAGCATTTTGACAGTTTCTTACAAAGTTTAATAAAGTTTTCATATGACCCAGCAATATCACTCACAGGTATTTACCCAAGTGAACTGAAAACTATGTTGACACAAAAACCTGTACATGAATGTGTATTTATAATCATCAAAAACTGGAAAGAACACACAAATTCTTCAATGAGTAAATGAATAAACACGCTGTAATACTTCCAACTCAGTAAATAAAAAAGAATGAAGTATTGATTCACATAACAACATGAATGTATTTCAAATGCTTTATGCTACATTACAGAAGACATACTTGAAAGGTCATATATTCTATAATTCAATTTATATGACCACTTAGAAAAGGCAAAACTGTATAAATAGAAAACATATCAATGGTTGCCAGGGGCCATATGTGTGAGAAAGGTTGACTACAAGGTGACATATGTGTATTTTTATTTTTGGGGAACTGGTTTTTTTTTTAATCTTAATTGTGGTGGTGGTTACATAATTCTATGCATCTGTTAAATCTCACAGAACTGTTCAATAAAATATCTACATTTTACTACATGTAAATTTAACCTAAAAGTGAAACAATAAGGTAAGACTACAGCATAGAAAATTTTACAGCAATGGGAAATATCAATATCCTACAAAGCAGGGTAAAGGAAATTCAAATACACTGTAGAACAAAAATCAGTTGGTGAATATTTCTTGGAAGGCAGTTTGGCAGTACATCTTAAAATTTTAAAAAACATGTACTTTTCACAATAGCCACTTCCACTTCTGGGAATGTATCCTACAGACATGCTTGCACATGTGCACACTGGTGCAGTCAGGCCTGCAGGGAATGTGGTCCACCTGGTCTTCTTAGCTTGGGAACAGCCAGGAAATGGCATCTTTACCATGGGTATTGGTGAGACAGACACTATGGGTTCCCCACTCATATCCTCTTGGGCCTTACTGTTGTAGTGCATACCAGCCTGTCTTCCAGTTGCCTAAGGTTTTTCTCTGGCATGAACTAAGACCCCCTACCCCAATAGCCCTTGAATAATTAATGACTGATGGGAGCTGGTGTGTAAATACTCCTGAGGGCAGAGGGCCAACTCTGAGGTGTGCTTTCTATGTTGCTTCCAAGAGTCTCTCATTGAGATTAAACTTCAGGTGCCAATGATGGTGATTGGCTTGATAACAAATCTGTTGTTTCTTTCCCCTCCCTGCTTGATTCTCTACTCCTGGGATTATGTCTCACATAAGGTAATTGTGGTTGAATCCTTGTCTTAGGTTCTGCTTCTTTGGAAACCCAACTAAAACAATTGGGTTCCCCTAGAAGAAACACAGTGGTGGGCACTACCCTTAAATGGCTTCCTCATTGGTGAGCATCAGTGATGGGCCAGAGAAGAGGAAAAAACAGCTGTTTATGAGCATATGAGGGACCCTTGCAGTTTGGAGGAACAGGGGATGGTTTTGCATGAGGTATGGGCTTGTGCTGCTGAAATGGAAATGACTGCTGTCATTAGGACCCCTCTAGCCCCCACTTTGCTTACATTGCTGGTCAGCAGGACTTAAACATATGCCATATCAGAGTTCCTCACAGTCCCTGATTTAAATAAGACCAAGACAGCTGAACGTGTGGTATTACTGAAGGTGCACTTTCCCCAAGCACCATCAGTCACTGCTCAGAGATTTAAATTTCACAAATGGAATCTGCAGCTTGTGAACTACTGCTGTTTAAGTTGGATATTAATAATTTGTGCTCCTTCTACTACCAAAAAAGAGTTTTGAAAAATTGCTGCTTAGGTTGTGAATTTTATAACATCCTGGGCCAATTCATCTTCTAAGGTTACCTGGTCAAAGCACCTGCTATTCACAGCACCAAAGATTAGATTTTCATAATCCACAGTGGGCTGACTCAAAAGAGAAGCCATGAATTTCAAGCCTATCCAAGACTGCTTGATTTAGGTCTTGTTCTTTCACAAACAGCAACCTTTGCTGAATTACTTCAGTGACAACTGGACTCTTTATGAAGACCATCCTGTCTGGAAGATGATACAAGGTCAGTGATATCATTGAAGACACTTCTGAGTCTCTGCAAATATATTGTGTTCTCACCACTGACAATATCAGAGTGGAAGGCCTATTCGAGGTCAACTAGTTCATGCTCGATCAGATGTTGCTAAGCCACCTGCCATACTGGTCCTGCATTTCACTGGGCTAGTTTCTCTAAGATACAGCCCATGGGATGATCAATTAATACTATCAACTGTGTGGCTTGATGCTGTAGATGGTCTTGATTGACAGGTGTCTTAATAGGTGTGGGTAGGTGGCAGGTAATGGAATTTGTTTCATCAATTTGGTTTATTCATAATCTGTAGAAAGGATAACCCCTCTACTTAAGAGTGACTTTCACAGGAAAACTCTGTATGATTATAGAAGACAGTTTTTGTGATATGTTGGCCCTATAATTCATCCAGGTGTTGCACCTGATAACATTTCAGGTGGTTTGGAATGAATTCTCACATATAGCATGACTAGTCAACAGATTTTGATGAGAAATCCATCTAGGTTTCTGCGAAATGAGTGCAAGGAAAGAATTTCTTGATATAAATCTATCTTGATATAAATCAATACATATTTATCGATCTATATAGTTTGGAATAGGCTGTAACTTCTTGTTAACAGTAGTGTCAATCAGATATTAGAGTTATAAAACTTAAAGGTATGTATGACCTCTGCATTGCATAAACTAAAACTTTCAGAAAGACTTAGACCTTTAAGAAAGGTCATTCAGTGGCTGGGTCTGTTGGGACAGAGTGAAGCAGATAGTTGCTCAATCCTAGTAACTCTCCTTTGAAAAATAACCTTTTGTTTTCCCTTAATTACAAGTTTCTTTGCTTATTAAAAATTTAGATATGATTTCATCCCTTTACATAACCTATCCTGAATGTAGAGTAGGATAAGAATGGTAGGTGCCTAGCTGCAAAAATTCAGATGGGCTTGGGGTGAAACACACACAAACCTCAAAAACAGGCTTGGAGGAGATAGAGCTAGGGAAGAATGCAAAGAATGGGAATGGGGGTCAGGAACACGACTCTAGGGCAGGGACTTGCCAGGACAACCCAGACTTTGGACAAATAGTAGGAGTGTCCAAAACAGCAGAGGCAGGAGGTGGTACTC
Organism: Homo sapiens; assembly: GCF_000001405.40. NCBI lineage: Eukaryota > Metazoa > Chordata > Mammalia > Primates > Hominidae > Homo > Homo sapiens. The sequence goes on along the minus strand of NC_000003.12, from coordinate 40,989,887 downwards.
TAAGCACGAGTATGATTAACACACTTAGACATGAGTCCCCTAACCAGGCTGACTAAGAATTGCAGAGGCCCCAGTGGACAGGGCCATCTGGTCACTTGCCAGAGCAAGGCTCCGGTGGACCCTCAGCAGGCTCAGGGCTCAGACCAACAAAGTGGAAGCTTAGGAACAGGCTTATGGATAACAGAGTGTGGGAGGTTGGCCCAACACATTGGACATTAGTGAAAGGCTGCAGCAGGGAGTTCTTTGGTGGCCAGAGAACTCATCACAGCAAACGTCAGGCCTGTGGCTTAGCAGGAATAATGCCAACCCACATGCTGGGGCTGGGGTTGCTGAAAGGCTTTTTGTGATAAAGCATGTCCCTGATTGGCAAAGGACATGCCCTGCATCTTGAATGGTGGGGCCTTCTCACAAGAAGTTCAAGTATGGCCCAGGTGCCCTTAGGGCTTCCTCATAAAGCAAACACAATGTAGCATGCTGCCCCTCAGAACGTCCGCCTGTCCTGCTCTGCCTCACCCTTGCAGCCTCAGCCACACTGGCTTGTTTGTTTTTCCTTAGAAAGTCTAATCACTATTCTGCCTCAGGGCCTTTGCACTGGCTGTCCCCTCTGCCTATACTCCTCTTCCCACAAATATCTGCTTAGCTTACTCCCTCACTTTCTCCCAGTTTCTGCTCTAATAAACCTCTTAAGAAAGGTCTTTCCAGACCATGCTTACTAAAAATAACACCTTTTCTTTCTCTAACATCTTGGCTTGGATTTTTTTTCTTGATAGCACTTACAACTCTTTTATATTATATCACCTACTCATTGTACATTGTCTATCTCCTGACTCTAATAAAAACACTATAGAGTAGAACTTTATATACCATCATATCTTCAGTGTGAGCTTGGTACAAAGAGGTGCTCAAGAAAAATTTGTTGAATGAATGCATAAACAAATGAACAAGGCATACGAGTGTGTACCATATGTAGTGAGTGGCTATGGTGGTCATCACCAGCACTCATGTGGCTTGATCATGACAGTTAATGAAATGGGGTTGCCTAAAGTTGCCAGTGGTCCTAAGAAAGCCTTGCAAGACTCCATAAAATGTGAGGTTGCTGAGTGTTGTGAGGAGAAGCTTTCAATTCACAGCGAACCCTCCTACTGCATGGTTCTCTCCCCAGCTAGTTTTTCCATCTGCTGTGGACAATGGCAGCCCTGATTGACACAAGCACTCCTAGCAGGGGCTGGAGACTGGCAGGCACTCAGGCAAGGTGCAACCTTGGGAACAACCAGGGAACTGCATCCACAGAAAACAAAACCCTCTAATTTGTATTCTCAGCAAGATTCAAGGGGACAATGCACTTATGAAAAGGGAGAAATCTGAGATCAGGATAGATTGGTTTCTGATGAAAAACATGAATTCCTTAATTTAGAAAACCATCCTGGACACCATGAATAGCGTGGTGAATAAGGTAGAAAAGAGACTCATTGATTTTGAAGGATGGTTTGATAAATTATCTGATTATTCAGAAATGTAAAAAGGTTTCTTATAAGTGTAAAAAGATTGAGATCATGAGCAAAAAGATGAAAGTCATAAAAAATGAATTCAGGAGGTATAATAAAAGCCATTTTCTTGAGGTAAAAAAGACTAGAATCTTCAGATTAAAAGGGTTTACTAAGTATCTGAGACATTAATGTAAAAGAAGGCACACTTAGAAATATTCTAGAAAGTTTAAAAATTTTTAAGAATAAGGGAAACAGATCTTACATGTAACCATCTAGATAAAACAAACAAAAAGATAAAGCTGACAACTCACTTATTTTCTGCAACTCTAAAGATCAGAGGAAGGCTAGGCGCAGTGGCTCATGCCTGTAACCCCAGCACTTTGGGAGGCCAAGGTGGCAGATCACAAGGTCAAGAGATCAAGACCATCCTGGTCAACATGGTGAAATCCTGTCTCTACTAAAAATACAAAAATTAGCTGGGCATGGTGGTATGTGCCTGTAGTCCCAGCTACTAGGGAGGCTGAGGCAGGAGAATTGCTTGAATCCAGGAGGTGGAGGTTGCAGTGAACCAAGATCACACTACTACACTCCAGCCTGGCGAGGGAGAGAGACTCTGTCTCAAAAACAAGCAAACAAACAAAAATCGGAGGTAAATGGGACAATGTTAGAGATGGCAATCGAATAATTCTGAGCTGAGGCAAATAGAGAACTTCCTAGCCAGACAAGGTCTCTGAAAGGATGCAGCTCACCTTCCTTTCTTAATTCTGTTTTCTCAAAAAGCAGTCTAGTGATGTTAGAGACAAACGTGACAAAGAACTCAAATATGAGGAAAATAGGATGTAAAAGAAATGTGCACATTGGGAGGCTGAGGCTGGTGGATCACCTGAGGTCAGGAGATCGAGACCAGCCTGGCCAACATGGTGAAACCCTATCTCTGCTAAAAATACAAAAATTAGCTAGACATGGTGGTGCATGCCTGTAATCCCAGCTACTTGGAGGCTGAGGCAGGAGAATCACTGGAACCCTGGGAGGTAGAGGGTGCAGTGAGCCGAGATCGTGCCACTGTACTCCAGCCTGGGCAAGAGAGTGAGACTCTGTCTGAAAAAAAAAAATGATATAGCTTAAAGTTAGAATTATTGTATAAATAAGGATATTTAATTGTGTAAGGAAACAATACAATTTTAAAAATAATTTTAAAAAGAAAGAGATTTCTAATGTAACAGTATTAGTAACTTGGATTTAAAAGCCAAGGTTATACTAAAAAATCTTGGGAAGTTGGAGGTGTATATAGGTGGGAAAGAAATGGAACTATATGGAGATCTTATTTTTCACGGAGAGTGTCGAAAGGTCCTGCATAAAAGAATATAAGATCAAATATTTTTTGAACTGTAAGGATAGCCATGAAGCCAGCAAAAATAGAATTCATGACTTTGAAATCACTAGGGTAAAAACAGCAAATAAACAAAAGACATTTGGCAAAACATAGGAAGAAAAGAAGCAAAGAGGCATAAAAAACAAGGCATAAACTAAGATGAAAGAAGCAAGAGCAAACATGTCAATCTTCACAATAAATGTAATAATGAATACAATAAAAGCAAAGACTCCCAGATTAGATCCAAATGCAAGTTGTTTATAAGAAACATGTCTCAAACAATAACCGAGACATGAAAATAAGTAAGTTAGTAAATAAGGAAATAAATGAAGGAAGGAACAGGCAGGAATATTTCAGAATAAGGCACACAATTAAAAAGTAATCTGTTTAAAATGAAGGCTTGTGGAAGGAAGTCTTGCTATTCCACATAATTCCTCTTCGCAAGAGCATCGTATTTATGCAGAAGAAATATAATGATGAACCACTGAGGTGCTGCTGGGATCCCAAGGGCAAGCTTAAGCCTCAGAAGATGCTTACTAACCTGCTGTGCAGAACCCAGAAGAGGACTTTATCTGGATCTTAGGAGACAACTAGAGAGAGAAGAGAAGGAGCCAGCAAAATCCTGGCAGGCTGTGCTCTATGTGATGCTAACTTCTTTCTGCACTCCTGGAAATTTCAGTTAGTTTAGCCAAAATCCCTGCTTAACCCTGGGCATCAGTAGGCTCTTTGTGGAAGTGGGTACGGGAGCTTGATGTGATGTCTGAGTTGATTCAAGATGGAATATTTAAAGCAAATTCCAGATGCAGAAGGGATCATAAGGAAGCCCCAGCAATTGTGGCAGTATTGGTGGAGGCAGGGGGAATTCTTCATAGTTTTCCACAGGGCACGGATTTGGGAGTTTGACGCTGATTTGCTGACATCTGGATTACACCAGTAGATGCACTATAATGAAGATGTAAAAAACACACAAACCAGACACAAGCATAAGTTGGGGACTGGAATGAAACAAATGCAGGCTCCAAGCTAGCAATTACAGCATTCATACCTAGAGATGATGGAGTACAGAGCCATGGCTAAAAAGTGTGTGTCCCTTGCAGCTGTGCTTGGGACCTGTGAGGCACTCCATAAATGACTGCTGTTGAAGTTGGGCCTGCAGCCTCAACTGAAATAAGTGTGCAGCAGACAATGTCAGTGATCTACCCAGATCCCCTCAGGATCCCTTTCTACCATTTTTACGTGCTCCATGTCTGTGGTATATCTTCACTTCCAACAGCCAGCACCTGCAACCTGCAGTGTTTTTATGGGGGATTGCCCCCAGGCTGCTGGAGCCCACTTGGGCCACCTGTAGGAAAGGCTGGAAGTTCCTAGGAGTTTACTTCTCCATCATGGCCCTTAACCAATGGCTAATGAGTGTGGGAGAATTCGAGCCCATTCCCTTTTCTGAGGTGTAGCTTGTGCTCCAGAGCAAAACGTACATGCCAGAGCTCCCATGCAGGGTCAAGCTGAAACTATCTTCTGTGGGATCTTGCCTGAGACAGCTCCCTTGTTTGGCTTCCTCCCTGCTCTCCCTTATCAGGTTCTTATCTCAGGATCTGCTTCTAGAGAATCCAACCAAAACCTGGTGTGTCTGGCCTCTTGCAGCTCTGGCTCTGACTCTAATGAAATTGCCTCCCTTTGCTTTGGCTGCTTGCCAGAAAGTAAGCTTATGATTTGTTCCTCAAGTAGACTCTGTCACTCATAGAGAATGAGTGAATTGGCCTACAAACACTAGCATGAGGGTGTACGCTCATGTTAGCACCTTGCTCATGGAGGGCCTGTAAAAGAATATGCCCATCCAGCATCCTGAAGAGTGTAAAGCCACCACTGAGGCTTTCAGCTACTGGAGTCCCTCCTCAGCTATACCATGCTTCTCCTCTTTAGGAAGCATTATTCTTCGTTGTGGGGGACTGTCCTATGCATTTTATAATGTTTAGTAGCACCATGCTAGATGCGAATCATATTCCACCTCTCCGATCAAGTTGTGATAAACAAACATGTCTCCAGACATTGCCAAGTGTCCCATGGGAGAGAAATCACTCCTGGTTGAGAACCAGTGATCTGTACTGGTCCCCAGGACTATGGCTGGTGCTACCACCACACCTTCTCCCTGGAGTGAAAACCCACTTCTTCCTCCTAAAGACACGATTTATTAATGGTAAGAGGTAAAATATTAATTTTACCAATCAGAGTTGTCCTGAGTGAAGCCTGATACTTTAAAGTTATGGAGCTCCCTGTTATGGCAGATATTTAAGAATAGGCAGAACAAACAGCCAGAAGAGATACTGAAGGGAGAATTCTGTTTTTGTTGGGGTTTTGGTTGCACCAGAATGTAAATATGCCAAGAACATCAGGTTTGGGGCTCTAGAAAACACAAAATATATGTGGAATACAGTCTGTGTGGGAAAGCTATCATAAGCAGGAAGGCAGGTTCTATCTAGAAAAGAAAATAGGATTGAATATAATGGATCATAGGTTGAGTTAGATCTAATACCAGGAGACCCAGGATGGCTGAAGAGATGGAAGAGCTGGGAAAGACAAGATGGGAGCTAATGCGAGTGTCCAGAAATTCAAAAAACCTAGATAAGTTTGAGCAGGCAACTGCATTTCCAACCCAGGAGATTAATGTAGACATCTGGGTCTCCATTAACTCTTAGATATATGGGTCTCTATTAACTTTTTCTTAGACATGTGGGTCTACATTAACTCTCCCAAGGTGGGCAGGAGCTAACACACTTTGTGTGTTAGACTATGAAGTTCAAGCTTTGTCTTTTAGGCAAAGAGGAGCCACAGACTAGCTGTAGATAAGTTGCTAAATTTGGGACATGAGGAGTGGTGGGTCAACTTACATCTGTATATCACACAGAGAAGCCCTTGTAATTCTGGTCAGGCAGCAATGCATGGAAGATCAGTCACAGCACTTCTACCTGACTTCTCATTGACTTCACTCATAGGCCAAAGTCATAGGTCTGCTCTTGTCAAGCTTACCAGTGGGTTTCATCTTGGAAAACTATGGGTAATTTTCTGTCTTCATCTTACTTTACTTTAAGCATTTTACGCAGTAACACTGTCCTAGATGGGCTTTCATTATATCATCTTCTCCAGAGTTCTTTTCCTTTTACATTAAAATATTTTAAACATACAAACAGCATAGGAAGTATGTTAGACACCCTTACAACCACTACCAATATCAAACAGAAGTTTACATTTTGTCGTATTAATTCCAATTCTATTGTATCTTACATTTCCCTTCTGGATTTAATTTTCCTCATCCTAAAGTGTCTCTCTGGTTAATTCAGGGAAAAATCTCTGAGTGGCGGATTCTCCTATGTTTTGTTTAAAAATGTCATTATTTTGCTCTTACTCTTGACTGATACTTAGCTGAGTATAGATTACTTTTATAGCTGACTTTCAGATTAAGAATGGATTTTCCCTTGGTTATTCTATCATATGACACCAATCTATTGTTGTGGAAAAGGCTATCATCAGAATAAATATTTCTGTGAACACTCCATCTTCCTTCTCTGGTTGCTAGGGTGGTTTTCTTTGTTTTTGGTACTCTGTAGTTTTGCAACAATGTGTTAGGTGTAGATTTATTTATTCTGCTTGTAAACTTTTCCAGTCTGAGAATTCATGTTCTTTGTCAATCTTAATTTTTTCTCTTTTTCGAATATTTCATTTCCTCTTTATTTTTTTTCTCTGGAACTCCTTTTAGATAAATGTTGCACTTTCTCATTTTGTCCTCAAAATCCTTTACCTCTCCTTCACGTTGTCAGCATTTTTATGTTTCTGGGCTGCCTGTAGGTATTCTCCTTAGATTTATCCTCTAGACAACAAATTCTCTATTCAGCCACAAATAACCTGATCTCTAACACAACCTTCAGCTTTTAATTTTAATGATGGTATTTTTTCCTTCAAAAAATTTCCATTTGGATACTAGACTTCTGCTTTCAGTCAAATAAAATAACAGAGACGAGATTTACCCTCCTGACAGAATAAACCAAAATAAGCAAACAAACAACAAACGAAGTTTTAGGAAGTCTTAGACGAAGTATAAGAAGTAATGGTTTACAAGATACTGGACCTTAAGCAATGAAAAGCAGTGGTCCCTGAGAGTCAGAAGGCAAATGAGGTGAGTCCCAGCTTACATCTTGAGAGGGTTTCCAGCCACAGAGCAGGAAGAAGAACAACGATGGAACCTGAAGGTCTCCTTGAGTTGAGGAGATAAAGCTGAGAGTTTAGGGAGACCAAGATAGCTAGAGTTTGCAGGATACGGGACTAAAAACAGGGGAGAGCTGCATAAAAGGAAAGCCCCAGAGATCTGTGGAGGGTCCCTCTTGAATATTCACCAAACTGTGGATCAGTGCAAAAGTGTAGGAAAACTACCCAAGACTAAGGAAAGAACTACCTGAACAGATTAGAGGCAAAAGTGCCTTGTGCCCGCGCAGGCTGGGAATAGTGCCTATTTCTACCAGCTACCCTGGAAAATGTACGACAACATTAGCATAAAGGCCAGCAAGGAATAAATTGAAGTGGATGATTGTACAGTTCTTACACTTTACTTGAAGTGAGCATCATATTACCTGAAGGTAGACTATGATCACTTAAAGAAGTAAAATATAAACTCTAAAATAATAAAACAGAGTTATACCTAATAAATAAAAAAGAAGATAAAGTGAAAGCATAAAAAAAAGAATCCTTCCCCTAATAAATGTCAGAATATGAAGGAAAGGAAACAAAGAACAGATGGGATAAATAAATTTAAAAAACCAACAGTAAGATGACAGACTTACAATTAATAACAATAACCAATTAAATGTAAATGATCTAAATACTCCCATTAAAATAGACATTGTCGGGCTGGGCATGGTGGCCCATGCTTATAATCCCAGCACTTTGGGAGGCCAAGGCAGGTGAGTCACCTGAGGTCAAGAGTTCAAGACCAGCCTGCCCAACATGATGAAAGCCCATCTCTACTAAAAATACAAAAATTAGCCAGGTGTGGTGGCAGGCGCCTGTAATCCCAGCTACTTGGGAGGCTGATGCGTGAGAATTGCTTGAACCCGGGAGGTGGAGGTTGCAGTGAGCTGAGATCACGTCACTGCACTCCAGCCTGGGCAACAGAGAAAGACTGTCTCAAAAATAACTAACTAAATAAATAAAATAAAATAGAGGTTGTCAGATTGGATAAAAAGAGCAAGTCACAGCTAAATGCCATTTAAAATAAATGCATTTTAAATATAAAGATATGAATAGGCTAAAAGTAAAAAGATGGAAAAAAGTTGTGCTAACACTAGCCAAACAACACTAGTGAATACTGTGCTGACATTACCAAAAAAAAAAAAAAAAAGAAAAAGAAAAAAAAGGCTGGAGTGAGTGGCTGTATTAAATGTTAGACAAAGTAAATTTTAGAGCAAAGAATATCATAATGATAAAGAAGTCATTCATGAAAGTCATTCATAAACCTAAATGTTTATATACCTTATAATAGAGCTTCAAGCACAAGAAGCAAAAACAGAATTTCAGGGATATAGAAGACACAATTTACAATAATAGAAATCTCAGTAACATTCTCTCTCAGTAATTGACAAAACAAACAGAAAATTAGTAAGAATATAAGAGAGTTGAACAACACAACCAACCAACTTAACCTAACTGACATATATAGAATATTCTACTCAACAACCAGAATACACACATTTTTTTTCAAGTGCCTATAGAGACTACCAAGATGGACAATATTATTCTGGGCCATAAGACAGGTTTTGTTAAATTTGCAAAGTTTTGAAGCATACAAAGTGTTTTCTGATTACAAAATATTAAATTAGAAATCAATAACAGACAGACATCTGGAAAATCTGCAAATATTTGGAAACTAAGTAACACACTCCTAAATAACTCAAAGAGATCAAAAAGAGAAATTAGAATGTATTTTGAGTTGAGTGAAAATTTAAAAACTAACATATCAAAATTTGTGGGAGGCCACTAAAGCAGTGATTGGAGAAAAATTAATAGCAGTAAATGCCTATATTTGAAAAGGTGAGCTTAGCTTCCATCATAAGAAACTAGAAAAAAAAGAGCAAATTAAACTCAAAGTAAGCAGAAGAAAGAGTATCATAAATATCAGAATGGAAATCTGTGAAATAGAAAAGAGAAAAATAATAGAAAACATCAATTAAACCAAATGATATTTGTTAAAATTACCAATATTTAGAATCAGGGAGGTGACATCATTTCAGAGTCTAAATTGTTCAGGAAAAACCCTCAAACCACATTTTTCCTCTGCTCTCACACCACAACAATCGTCAACACAGAAAACTTCTGTGACCAAATGTGTGGAGGTTTTTCCCCACACACCAAGCAGCGGATACCAGCTGGGTGTTCAATTCAATTCCGACACTATCTACCTGGAGTGTCAGATGCACCCATCCCTTCTTCAGACACTCGTAGCAAGTCTGGGCCTCTGGAACTTCTGAACAACCAACTTCAAGTTGAGGTTCCTGTGACCCCCTTCTTTGGGTTCTATTAATTTGCTGGAGCAAGTCACAGAACTCAGGAAAATACTTACTTAGGTTTACTCCAGTTTATTATAAAAGACATAACAAAGGACATAGATGAAGAGATGCATAGGACAAGGTATGGGGGGAGGGGCATGGAGCTTCCACGCCCTCCCTGGGCACACACCTTTTAGGAACCTACAAGTGCTCACCTATCCGGAAGCCCTCGGAATCCTGTCCTCTTGGGGTTTTATGGACACTTCATTATGTAGGCATGATTGACTAAACCATTGGCCATTGGGGATTAACTTAACCTTCAGCCTCTCTCCTCTCCCAGGAGGTTGGAGGTGTGGCTAAAAGTCCCAACCCTCTAAACCTGCTTCTGTCTTGGATGACCAGCCCCTCCCTGAAACTGTTAGTTAACATTAGCATACAAAAACACAGCACTTTATAGATTCCAGTGATTTTAGAAGTTGTATGACAGGAGAGGGAAGGAGAATGCTGTAGTGATTGTGTCCCTGAGTCCAGGTGTCCCTGAGGTCCAGCTGCCCTGTTGCCCTTCCCTTGCTTTGACTACCCCAGTGTGTTTCCAATGAATCACTATTTTAATCCACGTTGGATCAAGTTTGGTTTTGGTAACTTGCCGCTAACAGAATCCTCAGAATACAGTTTTTAATACAATTCTAGAGAGTTAGAGTCTTACAGTTATGCTTCCTGTCTCTGCTGAGACTAACCTTGATCTTGTAGGTGGAAGAATCAGAGGACTCAACTATGGGATGCCAGGGACAATGAAGGCAAGGAAATGAGCCAGGACCAAGAGGGGACAAGGAGTTATATTTCCACTGCTCAGGTAGTGGCTACGCCTGCAGCCTTAAGGGTTCAGCATCAGGAGCAAGGTCTTTCAGTATCCCATCCAGGTGGCTCCTCTCACATTTAGAGAAGTTGTGTGGTACAGTGGAAAGAGTAGTAATTTGGGACCAGTACTAAGCCAGAGTTCAGATACCAGCGCTGCCACCTGCTAGTGGTGTTATCTGGGGTAATGTATTTGGCCTCCATGAACCTCAGATGCCCCCTGTGAAATGGTAGTAATTGTTTCCCCAACTAAACCTTTAAGGCTAATCTTACACTGTATGTACCCTTGAGCTTTGTTTATGCAAACTCATCTATTGAGTTTTTCTATGATTTCTTCCCTTTCTCTGCAGTACTGTTGGGTTCTTAGGCCAGGACTCTTTGTGTTCATTGAGGAATTTGTCTTGTGTACACCCTTTGGCTCTTTCCAATTCTGGAGTTCAGAGTCCCAGACCCCAAGCCCTAAGCCACCCAGTTCCATTCTTGTCCAGCCTGTGAGGGGAGTTGCAGGCAAGTTGCAGGCAGAAACAAGACCAACTTTATTTACGATTATGGGGCCTTAATAAACAATACGTATAAAACACCTACCACATGGTGGAGACCTAAGGGATATCATTTTCCCTTTTCTTCAGTCTAAGGGAAGAATGTGGATGAAATCTGAGTGAGCCGAGTTAAATGTCATGCTAAGTATCCATGTCTACACTGCAAATCCAGATGTGGTTTGTCCATTGCTGCTTTTCAAATGTCATACTCTGATGGGTAACATCACAAAATGCTGTTTGGGCTCTGATGTAATGGTGAGAACTATTTTCAATGGAGAGGAATTTAATCTCATTATCACCAGCAGTCTGGTTGGGGTTGATGGCCCTGCCATAGGATTGCAGACCCCATCAACAAAAGAAGGTGTATCATTTCTAGGAGATACATGATTGCCACTGCAAAATTATTTTTAGGAAGTTGCTTTTTCTGTACAGAACATTCACCTGAAAATAGCTGTGAGCATTGTGGAGGCAGCACGCTGCAGAGTACTGAACTGAAAGCTCAAGCCTAAAGATTTATGGTGCAGATTTTACTTCTTCTGGATTTTGTAATGATACAAAACATGTTGATAACAAATAGCAGCTGTAAGAAGGTTGAGAATATGATCCAAATTCAATTAACTCCTTGCCTTTTATCCACGAAGAATCTAATTATTATGCACCTAAAGGCAGGAGGGAAAAAAATTACTGTTTGTCCCCCTCTCAGATAACAGTGGATCATTCTATTGTATTTCTACTAAAAAGTGTTTTCCTTTTTTCTCTCTTACTAACCGAGTCCTGTTTTGTTCGGGCAGCAGGTCATGCAAGCAAGTCTTGGCAATCTCATTCCCTTTTGCTAGTGATTGGTCTGGGGTGGGCATGAGAGAAAGGCTGTCAAAGGAGATGGAAGGGGAAACGTCTAGGGACTTCCTGGGTTGGGGGAGAAGGATGGGGAAAAAAAAAGAGCATCAGAAGCAGAAACCCTTTTCCACTGCCTTTTCCCTCCTACCTTTGGAGCAGAGCATGAGGATATGTTTCCTGAAGTTGCAGCAGCCGTCTTGCCCTGTAAGACCACTGCCTGTGGAAGTAAAGCCAGCATATGGAAGAGGCAAGGTGAAAGTCTGGGTCCTGCATGACACAGTGAACTGCTAAGTCAGACCTTGGACTCCCTATCTCTGGACTTCTCTATAATTAAAGAACAAAAATCCTAATGGATTAAGCTACTGAAGACTGGGCTTTGGTTATTTGTAGCTAAAAACAATCCTAAGGGATGCACACTCACTGTCTTTTCCCCCACTATCTTATTTGTTCTCCCCATCTTTCTTACTGAATACCTCCCTCCCACCATTTTCATCTGGGCATATGACCACTTGAATAAATGCTCTACTTCCCAGATTTCCTTACAACTGAGTGTGCCCATGTGACCTAGGAGATATTAGCAGATGTGTCAGGTGGCAGCTGCTGGGAACCATCCTTAAAAAAATGGATGCATGCAATTTGCACCTTGTCTCCATTCCTTTCTTTATTCTGCTATCTAGAATGAGACTGTGGTGGCTGAAACTTCAACCACCATCTTGTACTGTGAAGACAAGGGTCTCCATTCTAGGGAGGAAACGTGGCAAGGTGAGAAAACTTGGATTCCTGAGGTCTTTGTAGGGCAGAGCAGCCCTAGATTGCCCATCTCCAGGCTTTAACCATGATAGGAAAATAGGCTTCTATCATGGGTAAGCCATGATTATTTTGGTACTCTGTTAATGTAGATGAACTTAATCCCATTGATACACTAAATGGGCAACTGCTGAGAGGTCTCTGTGCCTATCGTGGTCATTGTACCCTGGGGTCTACAGCAGCCTTCTTGCTTCAGGAAGAATAGGAAGGGGTTGATAGTAAGGAAGGCAGCAAATTTTTAAAGGTTTCCCCCAATTACCAAAGGTGATTTTTTTTTTTTAAACCAAACCAACAGCTTGTCACCAGCAGGAATCAATGCTGGAGGAAGGGTGGTCAGGATGGATGATGAAGAGAAACTCAAAGAGAAGCCTGAAAAGAATTTTTGGCTGATGAGAGAAGAGGCTAGAGAGGAGACGCCAGAGAGAAAAGAAAGATATTAAGGAAAAGGAAAGGTGGCATGCTAAAAACAGAAAGTCCAGTGTTTTCTCTCTTGTCTCTTCCTTTAAGGCTCTGAGATTTGAACTGTGGGCATGAGCCAAGGAGGCCCAGGCACCTGGAGATCCAGGAGATATCAAGGTAACTCTATACAGGGTGTCCAGGAAATGTGGAAGTGACTGAGTGTGAGCTCAGTGAGCATCTGCCCAAAAATGATAATAAGAAATACTCACAATTTCAACCAAGCATGTAAGTTAGGGCATCTATGATTTGGGGTGAGTTTGTTGAAGAGAATTTCCACATCCAACTGACTTCCTGTCTGGTATAAGGAGGTAGAGGCATATTCCATTCAACCAATATTTATTGAGCATCAGCTGTGTGCCAGGCATTCATAGAGCATGTTTTAGATCAGGGATCAGCAAATCTTTTTTGCAAAGGGCTAGATAGTAAAAACTTTAGGCTTTGCAGGCCACGTGGTCTCTGTTGCAGCTACTTCACTCTTCTCTTGTAGTGAGAAAGCAACCATAGCCTCCACTGATCAGCCATAATATGTAACCAAGTGGGTGTGGCTGTGTCTCAATAAAACTTTGTTTATGAAAACAAGTGGTAGGCTGGATTTGGCCTGTGGGCCAGCTGTAATTTATCAATCCCTGTTTTAGATACCAAGCACTGTTAGATACTCTAAAAATAATCCACGTACAATGTTAAACACCTACAACTGGTCTAACATTGTCCTAGATGTTTCAAAACATTGTCTCTCATTATTCTAATGAAAATAAGAATCCTAGAAGTTTTGTGGACGAGGAGACTGACATTTGGAGGTAGTACATAACACAGCCTCAGGCTCACAGCCAGTAACAATGCTGGGATGTGGACCCAAACCTGTATCTCTAAAATCTGTGCTCATATAAATACATCCCTGTCATATTATTTTCTGCTAATGAAATTCTCTTCTCCTAACTGTGCGTCGTGCCTGTGAGACTGTCAGCAGGCGCACCTGACCACATTTCAGACATTCCCCAAGGACCAGAAGAGAGGAACATGCCAGCAAAGCTCATGAAACAAGGCGCTAACACAAACATTGTCTCATTTAACACATTTCCTGCAGACAGAAAAGTCAGTTTCAAATTGTGGGTGGGAAAGGAAGGGAGAGACAATTGGAGGAAAAAAGACAGGCATGAGGCTCTGAGGAATTCCACAGCAGAATAGCCTAATTATAGTGTCTCCTCTCCTGGGCCTGAGAACCCAGTGGGCAGGAAGCTAAAAATACCAAGCCGGTTACCAAGAACCTACCATGTGCTGACCTCGCATTAAGGGCTTTCTTTCTGTGATCTTAGTTAATTCCTACAGAATCTCCATGATGTTGGTACAGGACCCTTTTTCTCAGTGGTGCCAGAGGCTCAGAGAATTGGGTAGATTGCACAAGGCCACCCAGTTAGTGAGGGATAAAGAATTAAACGGACATCTGTCCTACTTCAAAACTCAAGCCTCTCCCCTGTCCCATGGCTTTCCCGAGCCACTCTTGAGGTATAAGATCAATAGGGCTTCTCTGGGAGTGGTTTAATCCAATAGGCTATACTCCACTGATCATAGTGTGTGCATGCACAAGTCCTGGTTCTGCCTGCTTCTTTCTCTGAGAAGAGAAGCAAAATATGCAAGAATGCAGAGAGTATGGCTTCAGAGGGAGGGAGCTGCATCAAATCCTGATATTCCACAAAGAACCATATGAAGGTGCTTCAACAATCCTGATCTCAGTCCCCTTTCTGCAAAAATGAGAATAATAAAGACCCATCTTACAAGGTTGTTGTGGCAATAAGATAGGAAGATGCACACAAACACTTTGCACAATGCTTGGTTTATCTGTGGGGGCTCAATAGTTGTTGGATGAATCTTAAAGTACATTGAATAGCAGTGAACATTTGGAAAGTGGTGTGGTTTATTGGTTGAAGCCTTAGACTTACTGTACCAAACAGATATCCTGGCTCTGCCAGTTACTAATATCTGACCTAGAGAAGGTAACCTAATTCACCAAGCCTTGATTTTCTTCTTTGTAAAGTAGAACAAATACAAGTAACTGCATTATAGGGCTCCAAAGATTATCAAATAAGAAAATCTAGATAAAGGACTGTGCCCAACAAATTGTAGAAGCTCCATAAATGTAGTTATTATTATGTTATGATTATGTTTATTACATATGGGCTCATCTATTAAATTAATAAAGGAGGGAAGGAAGGAATGATGGGAAGGGCTGTGGCTCATGTTCAAGGGAGGGATTTTCTTGCTTCTCTTTGCGTACTCATCCTGATGTAGCATTAAACTGTGTGGACTGCTCAGAGCCAACAGTGGACTGAGAAAGATCAAGGGTTGCAGGGGTGGGGTGTGGTCTGGGCAGAAGCTCTCTTGAGAGAACAAGAAACAAATTAGTTTTCATTATTTTTATTTTATGTATTTATTTTAAATGTATTTATTTATTAACTCAATAACTATTATTGACCCCTTATTATATACGAGGCCCTGTGCTGGGCTCTCAGGATACAGGGATAAATAGAACAGACATGGTCTCACCCCTCATGAAGCTTGCAGTCTAGAGGGAGGGTCAGATATTAAAGAAGAAAACCAAATCAGCATATAATAGCAAATTATGATGTTTGCTATGAAATAAAACAGCTGGATTCAATGAGACAGGATAACAGGAAGGATCATCTTTTGATGGTGAGGAAAGGCCTCTGGGAAGGTCTGAGGAGATGGCACTTATGCTGAGACTGGATGGATAAGAAGGAAATAGCCCCACAAAAGGTAGGAGAGGAGGAATTCCAGGGAGAGGGTACAACAGTGTAGAGACCTTGAAGTCAGAAAGGGTTTGGTGTCACAGGGGAAGAAGGGGCTGGAATGTAAGTAGGGAAAAAGGAGTTTGAAGTGAGGCTGGTGACAGCTGGAGCTGGAGCCCGCAGGGATTTGCTGGCCCCATTAGAGTTTTGATTCTGTTCTGAAGCCATTGGAGGATTTAGACCCAAGGAAGGACAGTCTGCTTTGAGCTTTGGCAAGGCCATTCTGGCTTTCTTGTCAGAGCACAATAGAAGCCGGAAGGCTGGTAAGGATGTGATTTCAAGGATTCAGGTAGGAGGAGGTGGGGGCTGGGTCTAGGGAGATGGCCTTGGAGGTGAAAAGAGGTAAATGAATTTGGAAGCATAATAGGACACGGTGATGGACTAACTGTGGGAGTGAGAAGGAGAGAGAAACTCAGGGACAAATTCCAGATTCTCACCTGAGCAACTGGTGGATGCTCGGTGAGAGGAATGGGTTATAGGTTTCATTTTAAACAAATTAAGTTTGAGATAATATGATATATCCAAATGTGTGATATCATCTAGTGAGTCTAGAGCTAGGAAGTGAGGTCTGGGCTGAAAATATACCTTCGAGACTTGTCAGCATTTGCACGATATTTAAAACCACAGGCCAGCTCAGTGTGTAGGGCTCCAACTGACACCCTATTCTTATTCTCTTTTTTGTGCCAACTGGCCTAGAATTTTAATAGAGCCCTGGCTGCCCTGCTGACCCCAGCATGTTCATGCTGCGTCTACAGTGGCCTATGCCAAGGGGTGGTCCCTGGGGCACACCAGACCTCCTCTTCTTCTCTACAACAGTCTTGTGTTAGCAAGGCCAGTCCAACATGACTGGCACCAGAGCCTTACACTATAACACCTTTCTTCTTGGAAAGGCCCCAGGCACCAAGCGCTGTCTGTGAAGAAGACTGGAGAGCCAAGATGTAGAATTAGGCATGTGTGTGGGCTGAGGGCCCAGTGCAGCACATGGAACTTTGTAGGTGAAGTTTTCTGCTTTCCCTGGTTCTAGATCTTTGTATCTCAGGTCCTAGGCTCTTCCCAGTTCTGGAAGATCCCAGTGTCTTTCTCTGAGCTTCCTTTTCTTTTAGAATTGCATGTTCAAGGACCTTTAACAAATACTCAACTCCCTTAACATTTTTTTTTCTAATTTCATCTAAATGTTCACCTAAGCTGTTCATTCTCTGTCTTCTAGAAGTTAGTGAAACAGAATTATCAGAACCAGGCTCTCTTTTGGATGCAGTTGGTGTTTCTCCAAGGTGCTTATTACCTGTTACGGTTATTGCATGCTGGGACTGAGGTATAAACACTTCTGCTCAGGAGACCGAAGGCAGGTTAGGGGAGGCTGTAGGTACCTAGTTGGTAGAGTTTGCTGCAGAATCCTGGAAACAATATTTGGTCTAGGCTCAGACAGCTCTAGTTCAATGCCAAGATCTGCCTGGTATTAGCTGTATGGCATAGGACATGCCATTTATTGTTCCTTCAGTTTCTGCATCGTAAATAGTGATGATTTCAGGATTGTTGTTAGATTATGAGGAATATGGGAGAGTGCTTTGTACACTGTAAACACAATTACAAATGTAGTATGTTTTTCCTGTGCACACTCAGCAATTTGTATGATTAACTCTTTTGCATCTCTGCTTCTCCCTGTTGCTCTAGTTTGTTCACATCCAGGGGGCTAGATCAGACAAGCCTACACAGCTAGTAGCAGGTACGAGGAGGCATCGGATTGTGGCAGCTTCTTCTCTCCAAAGATGCCTCATGTCATTGTGCTTTCAAGGAAAAACAGCAAAGTATTTTTTTCGTTTTTTTTTAATTGGTATGTTGATATCTACTGGCGTACATTTTGTGTAACAATAGGCAAATATTAGGATTGTTAAGATGTTAGAGTAGGGAGAAGGATGCAGGGAATAGAGGACAGAGATAAATTTTACAGTTTGTGAAGATATGCGTGTTCACATCTTGTTTTGTTTTTCCTTTACCCAAACAAATAAATAAGAAAAACTGCCCACTTTGCTCTCTTATCTACCCTTCCTGTGTTCTCATTGGGGCAGAGCTCTGCTGGGGAAGGAAGCGGCCACAACCCCAGGCATTTACTACCTGTTCTCCCCACCTGCTATTTGAGAGAAGTTTTCAAGCTGAAGTTCGTACAGCTGCATTCACTTGGACATGAATATCTGGGAGTTCACGGGTTTGTCTGCCCCTTTGGCCTGAGAGAGCTGGGCGGAAGCCTCCTTGACGTCTGTGTTGACTCTCTGTTTCTCTGGTTTTTCTCTGGCCCAGTTTCCTGTTCACCTCTGTCCTCTGCTGTCTGGTAGGCTTGACTCATAGGAAACCACAGCCAAGTCACCTAGTGGTCTGAGTCACTGACCTTTGGAGCATCTCTTTCTTAAAAAACAATAAAGACAAAAGTAAGTGCCTAAGTAAGTACTGCATTTTGCAATAGATTTCAGCTAAGTATTGCACTGAACGGTTAGTTCTGGGAAGTCCCCACTTGTGACTTATTTTTGGCAACTGTGCTATAAGCAAATCATTTTATCTCCTAGCAACCGACTTCCCTCTTCCCTCCCTCCCTCCCTCCTTTGTATCCACAAGTGTTTGCTGAGAACCCTTTGTGTCCAGGCACTACATTAGGTTCTGAGCACAAAATGAAGACATAGAATGGTCCTCAACAAGCTGCTGATGCCCATAAGAAAGAGGCCTGCAAACATGTGTAAACAAGTGTGACAAGTTCACCGGCAAGGGGCAGCACAGGGTGGCACTGAACTCAGCCTCGGTATTGCCCTGACCACATGGCTGCATGTGAGCATGCCAGGTGAGGTGAGCAGGAGAGATGTTCTAGGCAGCGTTGGATGATTCTCTGTCACATTCCTTTGTGGTCAACTGAATTGCTCTCTTCAACTGCAGCTTTCACTGAGGCCACTTGAGGTTGCACAACTCCTTCCAGACACAGGTGAGCTCCACAGAGGGAGGATATGGACAAGGGGCTAGATTGGAAGGAAGATGGAGGAGAGTGATCCTTACAGCCCTGACATCGGTCAAGGGAGGCTAATAGCAGTGACCTTCCCCATCAATGTCATGTGGACTGGACAGCAATGACCAGGTGATCCATTGGTGGGGAAGTGTCCCCACAGGGACAATGGGGAACAGTCTATTCAGAAGGGACAATATGCTCGTAGCTGATGCTTTTGGCACCCTGTAACAAATCCCCTCAGCACACCTATGATTTTGTCACAGATCTGGTAGAGAGTGCAATGTGGGTTCCCATGACAATGCCCTCTTGAAACATGAAAAATGCTTCCCTGTTTTTTTGCCTCAAAGCCATCTCTGAAACTGGGAGCCCAGTCAGCCCCCAAGCAAGTACAACCTGCAAGTATGGAGAGGTAACGCCCTAGGAGCCATCTCTAACCAGTGAAGAATGAGAGCCAGTAAGCAAGTCTAGCCACTCCTCTTTTGGAGGGAACATTCTAGAAGGCATTCTGCACACTTGCCAAAGGTCACAGAAGAATTGAGCCCCTGTTGCCCAAAGCAGCAACCTTAATGATGCACACTCAGTGGCTTTTCATTCTTCCCTGTCTCACTCTCTCCCTTTTCTTTCACCTCTGCTTTTTGGGATCTCCTCCCAAATAAACCACCTGCACCAAGTCCTTGTGTCTAGTCTCAGGCTGTGATTTTAAGGGAGCCCAAACTAAGAGAGCAATATTATTAAAATTAAAGTTTTGAAATGAAAAGCATTTGAAGGTCCACTAGCAGTCTCCTTAAAATACCACCTACTACCTTTTGGTATTACCATTTATACCTGAGCCAGAGGAAAGGAGAATTCCAAAAAAGGCCTTAAAAACCCTCTGACCCACAGGAAATAGCTGCCATCTAGTCAGGCTGGGCAAAGGGCTTAGTAATACAGAAAGTGAAAAGGGGCTCATGGGGGCCTTAGCAGGGTGACTCAATTTAGTGGGTGAGAAGGAATTCTTGTTTAACTTAGGGGAAAACTACTGGGTAATATTCTTTTCCCTAGTCATAATGGTTACATTAAAAAAAAAAAAAACCCACATCGCTAGAAGGGCTAATGGTTAAGAAAAGATTGGGACAATGAGGCTCTATATGAACTAAAACGCTTATATTGTTACATTCATAAAAGCATGTTGAATTAAGAAAATAACAGGAATTTTATAGTTTGAAAATGAAAATAAAAGTTAATAGACACAAGGCTTCAAGATGGCTGACTAGAGGCATCTGGTACTTGCTTCCTCTGCAAAGAACTGAAACAGTGAGTGGATAATCACACTTAGAATAGATCATCTAAGAGGGAACACTGGAATGCAACAGGAAAGCGATAGGAAACACCTAAAGCAAGGAAGGAGAGGAAAGCAAGGCAGCCTGATTGGCTAGGAGTATGGAGAGGCTCTCCAATGCAGGAAAAGGGTAAGTCAGAGACCCCCAGTGGTCTGCATTCCCAACACAGACTCCTGCAATCCTAGCCACGAAAGAACCTCTTGACCACCAAGGCTGAAGTGCAAGCTGCTGCACATTTTCATGAGCCCTGAGGATAGACACTCCCACCTGCCACTGCCGCTTGGGGCTGAAATACATGCTCCCCAGCCACCTGCCTACTGCTTCTGCCACTCAAAGCAACCCTTCCCTCCCTAGGAGGGCTGCAGTGAAGCTGCTGCCACCTGCACTCATGTAAGCATTCCTCCAGAGCCTGAAAATCACCCAACCCCTGCCTACCACAGCCAGCACCTGCATGTGCAACCAGGTCCTCCTGGCCCAGCTTCACCCTCTCCAATGCCCAAGCATGCTTCCCGGGGGCCTGAGGATTACCTAACCCCATCCACCATCATTGATACCTAAGCACTCCTCCAGAGGGCTTGAGGTTGAGCCCACCCAATGTGTCACTACCACTACAGCTGGCACCTACCCACACATGCCACATATGGGCCTGGGGACTGGCCCACCCATCCTGTTGCAGCCACCCGCAATACCAGTGCAGGCTGCTCAGGAGCCAGACAGTTGTTCCACCACTGATACTGCCATTGCCCATGTCATGCTTGCTGTTCAGGGTCTGAAGCCTACTCACCCATCCACCAGGTCCATGATGGCAACTACTAGCACCTGAGCAAGTCCTCAAGGGGCCCAAGAATTGACCCACCTGAACCTGTGAACACTGATGCCAGTGTATGCTGCCCTAGGGCCCAAGGACAGGAATGCTCAGTTTGCCACTGCCATTGCTGAAGCCCATGGACTGATTTACCTGGTGTTTCCATCCTCAGCAAAACTTCACCACAGCCTCCATTAACAACTGCACCCTAAGCCACAAATACCACTGAATGCTGTTTATAGCCAAATAAACCATATGAAGACCACACTATTGCAGGCACTCAGAATCAAAGCCAAAGTGCCCTACCCAGCTAATACCATAGACACACGTTCAGAAAAAAGTCCTCCCCTACAAAAGGAAATACAAAAAGTTGGTAGAAGTAACTATTACACCAGATGCACAGATAATGTAAAGAACACAAGAGACAGAAAAAAGCAAGGAAATATGACACCTCCAAATGAACACAAAAATTCTCCAGCAGTAGATTTCAATGAAAAAAATTTATGAAATTCTGGAAAAAGAATTCAAAATAATATGATTAAAGAAACAGTGAGGTATAAGAAAACACAGATAAATAATATAAGAAATCAGGAATGTGATTCAGATTCTGAATGAGAAATATACCAAAACAGATAGCTACCATCAAAAAGAACAAAATTTTAGAACTGAAAAACTTTGCATTGAATAAAATGCGAAATACATTTGAAAATTTCAAGAATAGATCAGATTGAACAGGAAAAAAAAAGTCAGAATTAAAGACAGGACTTTTGAAATAACCCAGTCAAACAACAATAAAGAAAAAAGAATGAACAAAGCCTACGTAACATACAGAATACCATAAAGCAATCAAAAAAATTTCTGGTTTAGAATTTCTTAGAATTTCATATTGCCTTGCTTTTTCATGTTTCTTGTGTTCCTACATTTTTGTCTGTGCGTCTTGTGTAACAGTTACTTCTTCCAATTCTTTGAATTTGCTTTTGTAGAGGAGAACTTTTTTCTGAAGATACATATGATGTTGATTGGGTAGGGCTCTTTGGCTTTGATTCTGGGTGCATGCAGTAGTATAATCTTCATATGATTTCTTTGGCTATAAACAGAAGGCAAAGAGGAAATGAAAGGGATGGAAGACCTATTTGACAAAATAATAACTGAAAACTTCCCAAGTCTAGCAAGAGATTTAGATATTGAGATACAGGAAACTCAGAGATCCTCAAATAGATACAATTTAAAAAGATCTTCATGGCACATTATAGTCAAACTGTCAAAGGTCAAAGACAGAGTATTCTTAAAACAGCAAGAGGAAAGCATCTAGTCACTTATAGAGGAACTTGCTTCAGACAAACAGTAGATTCTCAGCAGAAACCTTATAGGACAGGAAATAATAAAATGATATATTCAAGTGCCAAAACAAAATAAACCTGCCAGTCAAAGATACTATACCTAGGAAACTTATTCTTCATAAATGAGGGAGAAATAAAGTCTTTCCTAACAAGCAAAAGCTGAGGGAACTTATCATCACTAGACAAGCCCCAAAAGAAATGCTTAAGGGAGTCCTACAGCTGGAAGTCAAAGGATAATATCTACCATCAGAAAAATAATGAAAGTATAAAACCCACTAGTAGAAGAAACTCACAAATAAAGAAGGGAAAGAATTCAATTGTTACCACTATAGAAAACCACAAAATCACAAGGATAAACAATAAGTAAAAAGAAAAGAATAAAAGACATATAAAGCAATCAGAAATCAATTAATAAAATGATAGGAATAAGCCATCACATATCAAAAATAGCCTTGAATATAAATAGATGATACAGTTAAAAGATATACACTGACTGAATGGATTAAAAAATGACCCAACTATATGCTGCCTATAAGAAACTCACCTCACATGTAAAGACACATAAAGTCTGAAAGTAAAGGAATGGAACAAAGATATTCCAAGCAAATGGAAACCAAAAGTAAGCAGGAATAGCTATTCTTACATCAGACAACAGACTTTAGGTCAAAAACAATGAAAAGAAACAAAGAAATCTATTATATAATAATAAAGGGATCAATTTAGCAAGAGAATATAACAATTCAAAACAGAGACACACCCAAAAATGGAGCACTCAGATATATAAAGCAAATATCATTAGATCTAAGGGGACAGACAGACTCCTATACAACAATAATAGGGACTTGAACACCCTACTCTCAGCATCAGATAGATCATCTAGACAGAAAATTAACAAATATACATTGAATTGGAACCACACATTAGACTAAATGGATGTAACAGACATTTATAAAACATTCCGTCTAACAGCTACAAAACGCACATTCTTCTCATTAGCACATGGAACATTCTTTAGGATAGACCGTATGTTAGGCCACAAAACAGGTCTCCACAACTTAAAAAAAATATCATATAAGTATTTTCTCAGACCACAGTGGAATGTAACTAGAAATCAATAGCAAGAGGAACTTTGAAAACTGTACAAATACATGCAAATTAAACAACATACTCCTAAATTATCATTTGATCAGGGAAGAAATTAAGGAGGAAAACTTTTAAAATTGTGGAAATAAATGAAAATTGAAACATACTATACCAAAACCTATGGGATGCAGAAAAAACAGTGCTAAGAGGGAAGTTTATAGCAATAAACACCTACATCAAAAAAGTAAAAAGATTTCACATAAACGATCTAATTATGGACCTCGGGGAACTAAAAGGCAAGGACAAATCAAACCCCAAAGTAGTAGAAGTGAAGAAATAATAAAGATCATAGCAGAATTAGAAATAGAAACTAAAAAATAATGCAAAGAATCAATGAAATGAAAAATTGGTTTCGCCTGGGTGCAGTGGCTCACACCTAGGACTTTGGGAGGGCAAGGCGGGAGGATTGCTTAAGCCCAGGAGTTCAAGACCAGCCTGAGCAACATGACAAAGCCCCGTCTCTACCAAAAATACAAAAAATTAGTGCATGTCTGTGGTCCCAGCTACTTGGGAGACTGAGGTGAGAGAATCACTTGAGCCCAGGAGGCAGAGTTGCAGTGAACCAAGACTGTGCCACTGCACTCCAGCCTTGGTGGCAGAGGGAGACCCTGTCTCAAAATAAATAAATAAATAATAAAAAATAAAAGCTGGCTTTTTGAAAAGATAAATTTTATAAACCACTAGCTAGATTAACCAAGAAAAAAAAAGAGAGAAGACCCAAGTAAACAAAATCAGAAATAAAAAAGAAAACATCAGAGGTGATACCACAGAAATACAAAAGATCAAAAGAAACTCTTTCACTAACAAACTGAAAAATCTAGAGTAAACGAATACATTTCTGGACACATACAACCTACCAAGGTTGAATCAGGAAAAATAGAAAAACTGAGCAAACTAATAATGAGTAATGAGATTGAAGCAGTAAAAAAAAGTCTCCCAACAAAGAAAAGTCCAGGACAGGATGGCTTCACTGCTGAATTCTATTAGCCTTACAAAGAACTAACAACAATTCTCCTCAAACTATTCCAGAAAAACTAAAGAGGAAGAAATTCTTCCTAATTCATTCTAAAAGACCAGCATCACCCTGGTACCAAAACTAGACAAAGACTCAACAAAACTACAAAACTACAGGTTAATATCCCTGATGAACATATATGCAAAAATTCTCAGGAAAATACTAGCAGAACAAATTTAGTAGCACATTAAAAAGATCATTCAGCCAGGCGTGGTGGCTCACGCCTGTAATCTCAGCACTTTGGGAGGCTGAGGCAGGTGGATCACCTGAAGTCAGGAATTCGAGACCAGCCTGGTCAACATGGTGAAACTCCCATCTCTACTAAAAATACAAAAATTAGCCAGGCGTGGTGGCACAGGCCTGTAAGCCCAGCTACTTGGGAGGCTGAGGCAGGAGAAGCACTTGAACCCAGGAGGCGGAGGTTGCAGTGAGCTGAGATCGTGTCATTGCACTCTGGCCTGGGGTACAAGAGCAAAATTCCATCTCAAAAAAAAAAAATTCACCATGATCAAATGGGATTTATTCCAGGGATGCAAAGATTCAACATACACAAATCAATAAACATGATACATCACATCAACAGAATAAAGGACAAAAACCATATAGTCATCTCAATAGATGCAGAAAAAGCAGTTAATAAAATTCAACATCACTTCATGATTAAAAAAAAAAACCTCTCAAAAAAAAAACAAGACTTAGAAGGAACATACTTCAACCGTAAATTAGGACTGTAAATGACAAACCCACAGCTAATATCATACTGGATGGGGAAAAACTGAGTCTTTCCTCTAAGAACTAGAAAAAGATAGGATGCCCATTTTCACCACTACTATTCAACACAGTAATGGAAGTCCTAGCCAGAGCAACTGGTCAAGAGAAAGAAGTACCAGGCATCCATGTTGAAAGAGAGGGAGTCAAAGTATCCCTCTCTGCAGATGACATAATCTCATTTCTAGAAAACCCTAACGATTCCACCAAAAAACTCTTAGAACTGACCAATAAATTCAGTAAAGCTGCAGAATACAAAATCAACATATTTTCAGCTAGCTGAGAAAGAAGTCAAGAAGGCAATTCCATTTGCAATAGCTAAAAACAAAAACAAAAACAAACAAACAAAAAACCTGAGAATAACTTTAGCCAAGGAGGTGAAAGAACTCCACAAGGAAAACCACAAAACACTGATGAAATAAGTTAAAGAGGACACAGACAAATGACCAAACAGCAAGATATTCCATGAACATGGATTGGAAGAATCAATATTATTAAAATAACCATACTTGCAAAAGCAATCTACAGATTTAATGCAATCCCTAGGAAAATAACAATGGCATTCTTCACAGAAATAGAAAAAAAACTCCTAAAATTCATATGGAACCAAAAAAAGCCCAAATAGGCAAAGCTATTCTGAGCAAAAAGAAAAAAGCTGGAGGCACCACACTACCTGACTTCAAAATATATTACAAGGCTATAGTAGTCAAAAAGGCATGGTATTGGTAATAAAAGCAGACACATAGACCAATGGAATAGAATAGAGAACCTAGAAATAAATCCTCATATTTATAGCCAACTCATTTGAGACAAAGATGCCAAGAACATACATGGGGGAAAGGACAGTCTGTTTAGTACAGGGTACTGGGAAAATTGGATAGTCATTTGCAGAAAAATGAAACTGGGCCCTCATCTCTCACCATACACAAAAGTCAACTCAAGATAGATTAAAGACATAAACGTAAGACTGAAAAGTATGAAACTACTAGAAGAAAATATAAAAAAACATTTTAGGATGTTGGTCTAGGCAAAGATTTTATGGCTAAGACCTCAAAAGCACAGACAACAAAAACAAAAACAGACAAATGGGACTTAATTAAACTAAAAGCTTCTGCACAGCAAAATAAACAATCAACAGAGTGAAGAGAAAACCTGTTGAATGGGAGAACATATTTGCAAACTCTTCATCTGACAAGGAACTAATATCCATAATATACAAGGAATGCAAACAACTTACCAACAGAAAAAACAAATAATCCCATTAAGAAGTGGGCAAAAGACATGGATAGACATTTCTCAAAATAGCCCATACAAATGGTCAACAGGTCTATGAAAAAGTGCTCGACATCACTATCAACAGTGAAATGCAAATCAAAATCTCAGTGAAAATGAAATATCATTTCACCTAAGTCAGAATGGCTATTACCCCAAGACAAAAAATAACAGATGCTGGTGTAGATGTGGAGAATAGGGAACTCATACACTGCTGGTGGTAATGTAAATTAATACAGCCACCATGGAAAACAGTATGGAGGTATCTCAAAACACTAAAAATAGAACTACCATATGATTCAGTAATCCCTACTACTAGAAATTTCTTCAAAGGAAAAAAATCAGTATATCAAAACGATATCTACAAGCCCATGCAACAAGCAGTACTACTCACAATGGCAAAGATGTGAAATCAATCTAAGTGTCCATCAATGAATGAATGAATGAAGAAAAGGTGGTATATATACACAATGAAATACAAGTTGGCCATAAAAAAGAATGATTTTATGTCATTTGCAACAACATGGATGGAACTGGAGGTCACTATGTTAAGTGAAATAAGCCATGCACAGAAAGATAAACATTGCATGTTCTCACTAATACGTGGGAGCTAAAAAATGTTGATCTCACGGAGGTAGAGTAGAATGATAGACATCAGAGGTTGGGAAGGATGTGTGGGTGGGGTTTGGGAGGTGAGTTTGATTAATGGATAGAAACATACAGTAAGATTGAAGAAATAAGTCTTAATGTTCAATAGCAGAGTAGGATGACTGTAGTTAACAACAATGTATTAAGTATTTCAAAATAACTAGAAGAGAGGACTTGAAATGTTTTCAACACATAAAAATGATAAATACTTGAGGTGACAGATACCCCAAATATTCTAACTGGATCATTACACATTCTATGCATATAACAAAGTATCACATGTACCCCATAAATATGTATCAATTAAAAAGTTAATAGATAATTTTTTATGTCTTTGATCACAAGATAATATGCTAAAGTAATGAAGGGGTGATATAGGGAAAAGAAAGATTGTTTTGGAAAGAAGAAGTGTCAAGATCCCTTTTCTCCTCTAAGTAACTTTTGAAACACCACATATGGAGAGAGACTCATGTATTTGGTAAGGTGTGGTAATTCCCACCCAAATATTTCAGGACACTCTTAATTTCTTTTAATTTTACTTTTATCATTATAAGGTCAGCTAACACAGTGAGTGTGCTCTGTGTGCCAGAAACTGGGCTATGTGCCTACAGTATTTGCATATTTTGTGACTCATTGATAGCACAATCGTTTTGTAAGGTAGGTCATAGCATCCATAGTTTTATAGATGAGAAAACTGAGGCTCCATTAAGCATGCACTGTGATCTAATTTAATTTTAAAACCTTGAAAGGTTTTTCATATAGATATAGTTATACATTGAAAAAAACTTGTCAGACCACATAAATTGATGTTTAGTTAAAAAACATGATCATTTAAAAAGTATTGGGGTAAACGCTGTTTAAAAACACTTCAAGCAATTTTGCCTTTGGGAAAGGGAATTTATTTTCAGAAAGAAAACAATCCTTTTCTTTAAGAAAATGCTTGAATAGCCCTTTTGGTTATAAATGAGCTCCCTGGTCCTTGTCAAGACAAAAGGAGGGAAATTACTCAGCCTCAATAATTTAATATTGGAGTTTTTGGATTTTCCCTAGTGATCCCAGTAGTCAAGAATTGGGGTGCCAGTTGGTAAAATATACCCAAGGCAGTGATGGTCAGCTTTGTTACTCTTTGGTCTTGTGCAGTATTTCCCCTTTGTTATCTGCAAACATTTAGGGAATCTCCTTATCTATAAAGCCCTGTATTAGTGGTATCTGCGGGGGAGGAAGGGGGAAGCAGCTACATTGATGTCTGGGGCAAAAAAATGCCAAGAGAACACAACAGCCAGTAGGAACAGAGATGAGATAGAAGTCACTAAGCAAAAGCTAGAAGCAGCTTAGAGAGAGAGGAGGCACCTCTAATTCTTCACCTTTAGAAATATTTAGAAAGGGGCTTAATTTATTGCAGAACTAGTCTGAATGAGATTTCAGTTTTGCTTGCTTACGCCCCACCCCCATGCCCAGATATTATAAGAAACGGAAACTCAGTGAGTTCAGAAAGGTCACAAAGGGAACATGAGGCGTTAACATATGATATTGGACTGAACCAATGTCCTAAAAAAGGAAAATAAATGATGATTTTGTAGGAACTTCCCAAACTCACTATTCTTTTACATCAATGGAAAGCCCACTAATTAGATAAGTGACAGCTGAAATTTGATTTTGTTTCTTTTCTTATTCATCACCCTTGTTCGGTAAATGTGAAACATGATGACTCAATAAATTATACCAAGAATGACATCAGCAAAGTAGTGAAATAAGAGGTCCCCAGCTCTCATATCCCTAAAGAAACAATAATTTGATGATCATCCATGGACAAATGTGCCTTTGTAGGAGCCTTAGGATCCAGGTAGGAGGCTGCAAAACACTGGTGGACATCAAAACCCAGGAGGGCCACTTTGAGAAGGCAGGCCTGAGGCCCAGTGGCTGTGGTACGGTCCTGGTTGGGGACCTGGAATCTTTCGTGCCCTCTTATGGACTTGGCTCCTGCCCCACTTAGCTGCAATTTTGCCACCAGCACCATCCTGCAAGGGATCTGATAGGAGCCATACCCAACAGCAACTCTGGTAACAACCATAAAAAATAGAAAAATTCACAAATACATGAAAAATAAACACTGCACTTTTGAACAACCATTGGGTTGAAGAAGAAACCAAAAGGGAATTTAAAAAATACCCCAAGACAGACAAAAATGGAAACACAACATTTATGACATATAGTACTAAGAAGGAAGTTGATAGCAATAAATGCCTATATTAAAAAGAGCCAGATGCAGTAGCTCACACCTATAATTTCAGCATTTTGGGAGGCCAAAGTGGGAGGATCACTTGGGCTCAGGAGTTTGAAATCAGCTTGGGCAACATAGTGAGACCTTATCTCTATTTTTTTAAAAAAATTAGCCAGTTGTAGTGGTGTGTGCCCATAATCCCAGCCACTAGAGAGGCTGAGGCAGGAAGATCACTTGGACCCAGAAGTTCGAGGCTGCAGTGAGCCATGATTGCATCTGCACTCCAGCCTGAGCAATAGAGTGAGACCCTGTCAAAAAAGAAAAAAAAAAAAAGGAAATATCTCAAATAAACAACATACCTTTATATTTTAAGAAACCAGCAGTAGGCCTGGCACAGTGGCTTATTTCTATAATCTTAGAACTTTGGGAGGCCGAAGCAGGTGGACTGCTTGAGACCAGGCATTCGAGACCAGCCTGAGCAACATGGTAAAATACAATCTCAACAAAAGTATAAAAATTAGCCAGGCATGGTGATGTGCACCTGTAGTCCTAACTACTTGGGAGGCTGAGGTGGGAAGATCAACTGAGCCCAGGGAACACAAGGCTGCAGTGAGCCATGATCATGCTATTGCACTCAAACATGATCATGCGAGTGTGGCAGCCAAGATGGTCGAATAGGTCTGCAGCTCCGGTCTGCAGCTCCCAGTGTGAGCAACCCAGAAGATGGGAGATTTCTGCATTTCCATCTGAGGTAACGGGTTCATCTCACTAGGGAGTGCCAGACAGTGGGCGCAGGTCAGTGGGTGCAGCGCACCCTACGCGAGCCGAAGCAGGGCGAGGCATTGCCTCACTCCGGAAGCGCAAGGGGTCAGGAAGTTCCCTTTCCTAGTCAAAGAAAGGGGTGATGGATGGCACCTGGAAAATCGGGTCACTCCCACCCTAATACTGCGCTTTTCCGACGGGCTTAAAAAATGGCGTACCACGAGATTATATCCCGCACCTGGCTCAGAGGGTCCTACGCCCACAGAGTCTCGCTGATTGCTAGCACAGCAGTCTGAGATCAAACTGCAAGGCAGCAGCGAGGCTGGGGGAGGGGCGCCCACCATTGCCCAGGCTTGCTTAGGTAAACAAAGCAGCCAGGAAGCTCGAACTGGGTGGAGCCCACCACAGCTCAAGGAGGCCTGCCTGCCTCTGTGGGCTCCACCTCTGGGGGCAGGGCACAGACAAACAAAAAGACAGCAGTAACCTCTGCAGACTTAAATGTCCCTGTCTGACAGCTTTGAAGAGAGCAGTGGTTCTCCCAGCACGCAGCTGGAGATCTGAGAACAGGGAGACTGCCTCCTCAACTGGGTCCCTGACCCCTGACCCCCGAGCAGCCTACCTGGGAGGCACACCCCAGTAGGGACAGACTGACACCTCACATGACCGGGTACTCCTCTGAGACAAAACTTCCAGAGAAACGATCAAACAGCAGCATTCACAGTTCACGAAAATCGACTGTTCTGCAGCCACCGCTGCTGACATCCAGGCAAACAGGGTCTGGAGTGGACCTCTAGCAAACTCCAACAGACCTGCAGCTGAGGGTCCTGTCTGTTAGAAGGAAAACTAACAAACAGAAAGGACATCCACACCAAAAACCCATCTGTACAACACCATCATCAAAGACCAAAAGTAGATAAAACCACAAAGATGGGGAAAAAACAGAGCAGAAAAACTGGAAACTCTAAAAAGCAGAGTGCCTCTCCTCCTCCAAAGGAATGCAGCTCCTCACCAGCAATGGAACAAAGCTGGACGGAGAATGACTTTGACGAGTTGAGAGAAGAAGGCTTCAGACGATCAAACTACTCTGAGCTACAGGAGGAAATTCAAACCAAAGGCAAAGAAGTTGAAAACTTTGAAAAAAATTTAGACTAATGTATAACTAGAATAACCAATACAGAGAAGTGCTTAAAGGAGCTGATGGAGCTGAAAACCAAGGCTCGAGAACTACGTGAAGAATGCAGAAGCCTCAGAAGCCAATGCGATCAACTGGAAGAAAGGGTATCAGTGATGGAAGATGAAATGAATGAAATGAAGTGAGAAGGGAAGTTTAGAGAAGAAAGAATAAAAAGAAATGAACAAAGCCTCCAGGAAATATGGGACTATGTGAAAAGACCAAATCTGCGTCTGACTCGTGTACCTGAAAGTGACGGGGAGAATGGAACCAAGTTGGAAAACACTCTGCAGGATATTATCCAGGAGAACTTCCCCAATCTAGCAAGGCAGGCCAACGTTCAGATTCAGGAAATACAGAGAACGCCACAAAGATACTCCTCGAGAAGAGCAACTCCAAGACACATAATTGTCAGATTCACCAAAGTTGAAATGAAGGAAAAAATGTTAAGGGCAGCCAGAGAGAAAGGTCAGGTTACCCACAAAGGGAAGCCCGTCAGACTAACAGTGGATCTCTCAGTAGAAACTCTATAAGCCAGAAGAGAGTGGGAGCCAATATTCAACATTCTTAAAGAAAAGAATGTTCAACCCAGAATTTCATACCCAGCCAAACTAAGCTTCATAAGTGAAGGAGAAATAAAATACTTTACAGACAAGCAAATGCTGAGAGATTTTGTCACCACCAGGCCTGCCCCGAAAGAGCTCCTGAAGGAAGCACTAAACATGGAAAGGAACAACTGGTACCAGCCACTGCAAAATCAGGCCAAATTGTAAAGACCATCAAGGCTAGGAAGAAACTGCACCAACTAACGAGCAAAATAACCAGCTAACATCATAATGACAGGATCAAATTCACACATAACAATATTAACTTTAAATGTAAATGGACTAAATGCTCCAATTAAAAGACACAGACTGGCAAATTGGATAAAGAGTCAAGACCCATCAGTGTGCTGTATTCAGGAAACCCATCTCACGTGCAGAGACACACATAGGCTCAAAATAAAAGGATGGAGGAAGATCTACCAAGCAAATGGAAAACTAAAAAAGGCAGGGGTTGCAATCCTAGACTCTGATAAAACAGACTTTAAACCAACAAAGATCAGAAGAGACAAAGAAGGACATTACATAACGGCAAAGGGATCAATTCAACAAGAAGAGCTAACTATCCTAAATATATATGCACCCAATACAGGAGCACCCAGATTCATAAAGCAAGTCCTGAGTGACCTACAAAGAGACTTAGACTCCCACACAATAATAATGGGAGATTTTAACACCCCACTGTCAACATTAGACAGATCAAAGAGACAGAAAGTCAACAAGGATATCCAGGAATTGAACTCAGCTCTGCACCAAGCAGACCTAATAGACATCTACAGAACTCTCCACCCCATATCAACAGAATATACATTTTTTTCACCACCACACCACACCTATTCCAAAATTGACCACATACCTGGAAGTAAAGCTCTCCTCAGCAAATGTAAAAGAACAGAAATTATAACAAACTATCTCTCAGACCACAGTGCAATCAAACTAGAACTCAGGATTAAGAAACTCACTCAAAACCGCTCAACTACATGGAAACTGAACAACCTGCTCCTGAATGACTACTGGGTACATAACGAAATGAAGACAGAAATAAAGATGTTCTTTGAAACCAACGAGAACAAAGACACAACATACCAGAATCTCTGGGACACATTCAAAGCAGTGTGTAGAGGGAAATTTATAGCACTAAATGCCCACAAGAGAAAGCAGGAAAGATCCAAAATTGACACCCTAACATCACAATTAAAAGAACTAGAAAAGCAAGAGCAAACACATTCGAAAGCTAGCAGAAGGCAAGAAATAACTAAAATCAGAGCAGAACTGAAGGAAATAGAGACACAAAAAACCCTTCAAAAAATTAATGAATCCAGGAGCTGGTTTTTTGAAAAGATCAACAAAATTGATAGACCACTAGCAAGACTAATAAAGAAGAAAAGAGAGAAGAATCAAATAGATGCAATAAAAAATGATAAAGGGGATATCACCACTGATCCCACAGAAATACAAACTACCATCAGAGAATACTACAAACACCTCTACGCAAACAAACTAGAAAATCTAGAAGAAATGGATAAATTCCTCAACACATACACCCTCCCAAGACTAAACCAGGAAGAAGTTGAATCTCTGAATAGACCAATAACAGGCTCTGAAATTGTGGCATAATCAATAGCTTACCAACCAAAAAGAGTCCAGAACCAGATGGATTCACAGCCGAATTCTACCAGAGGTACAAGGAGGAACTGGTACCATTCCTTCTGAAACTATTCCAATCAATAGAAAAAGAGGGAATCCTCCCTAACTCATTTTGTGAGGCCAGCATCATTCTGATACCAAAGCCGGGCACAGACACAACCAAAAAAAGAGAATTTTAAACCAATATCCTTGATGAACATTGATGCAAAAATCCTCAATAAAATACTGGCAAATCGAATCCAGCAGCACATCAAAAAGCTTATCCACCATGATCAAGTGGGCTTCATCCCTGGGATGCAAGGCTGGTTCAATATATGCAAATCAATAAATGTAATCCAGCATATAAACAGAACCAAAGAGAAAAACCACATGATTATCTCAACAGATGCAGAAAAGGCCTTTGACAAAATTCAACAACCCTTCATGCTAAAAACTCTCAATAAATTAGGTATTGATGGGACGTATCTCAAAATAATGAGAGCTATCTATGACAAACCCACAGCCAATATCATACTGAATGAGCAAAAACTGGAAGCATTCCCTTTGAAAACTGGCACAAGACAGGGATGCCCTCTTTCACCACTCCTATTCAACAGAGTGTTGGAACTTCTGGCCAGGGCCATTAGGCAGGAGAAGGAAATAAAGGGTATTCAATTAGGAAAAGAGGAAGTCAAATTGTCCCTGTTTGCAGTGACATGATTGTATATCTAGAAAACCCCATTGTCTCAGCCCAAAATCTCCTTAAGCTGATAAGCAACATCAGCAAAGTCTCAGGTTACAAAATCAATGTACAAAAATCACAAGATTCTTATATACCAATAACAGACAAACAGAGAGCCAAATCATGAGTGAACTCCCATTCACAATTGCTTCAAAGAGAACAAGATACCTAGGAATCCAACTTACAAGGGACGTGAAGGACCTCTTCAAGGAGAACTACAAACCACTGCTCAATGAAATAAAAGAGGATACAAACAAATGGAAGAACATTCCATGCTCATGGGTAGGAAGAATCAATATCATGAAAATGGCCATACTGCCCAAGGTAATTTACAGATTCAGTGCCATCCCCAACAAGCTACCAATGACTTTCTTCACAGAATTGGAAATAACTATTTTCAAGTTCATATGGAACCAAAAAAGAGCCTGCATCGCCAAGTCAATCCTAAGCCAAAAGAACAAAGCTGGAGGCATCACACTACCTGACTTCAAACTATACTACAAGGCTACAGTAACCAAAACAGCATGGTACTGGTACCAAAACAGAGATATAGATCAATGGAACAGAACAGAGCCCTCAGAAATAATGCCGCATATCTACAACTATCTGATCTTTGACAAACCTGAGAAAAACAAGCAATGGGGAAAGGATTCCCTATTTAATAAATGGTGCTGGGAAAACTGGCTAGCCATATGTAGAAAGCTGAAACTGGATCCCTTCCTTACACCTTATACAAAAATTAATTCGAGATGGATTAAAGACTTAAACGTTAGACCTAAAACCACAAAAACTCTAGAAGAAAACCTAGGCATTACCATTCAGGACATAGGCATGGGCAAGGACTTCATGTCTAAAACACCAAAAGCAATGGCAACAGAAGCCAAAATTGACAAATGGGATCTAATTAAACTAAAGAGCTTCTACACAGCAAAAGAAATGACCACCAGAGTGAACAGGCAACCTACAAAATGGGAGAAAATTTTCGCAACCTACTCATCTGACAAAGGGCTAATATCCAGGATCTACAATGAACTCAAACAAATTTACAAGAAAAAAACAAACAACCCCATCAAAAAGTGGGCAAAGGACATGAACAGACACTTCTCAAAAGAAGACATTTATGCAGCCAAAAAACACATGAAAAAATGCTCACCATCACTGGCCATCAGAGAAATCCAAATCAAAACCACAATGAGATACCATCTCACACCAGTTAGAATGGCAATCATTAAAAAGTCAGGAAACAACAGGTGCTGGAGAGGATGTGGAGAAATAGGAACACTTTTACACTGTTGATGGGACTGTAAACTAGTTCAACCATTGTGGAAGTCAGTGTGGCGATTCCTCAGGGATCTAGAACTAGAAATACCATTTGACCCAGCCATCCCATTACTGGGTATATACCCAAAGAACTATAAATCATGCTGCTATAAAGACACATGCACACGTATGTTTATTGCGGCACTATTCACAATAGCAAAGACTTGGAACCAACCCAAATGTCCAACAATGATAGACTGGATTAAGAAAATGTGGCACATATACACCATGGAATACTATGCAGCCATAAAAAATGATGAGTTCATGTCCTTTATAGGGACACGGATGAAATTGGAAACCATCATTCTCAGTAAACTATCGCAAGGACAAAAAACCAAACACCGCGTGTTCTCACTCATAGGTGGGAATTGAACAATGAGAACACTTGGACACAGGAAGGGGAACATCACACTCTGGGGACTGTTGTGTGGTGGGGGGAGGGGGAGGGATAGCATTAGGAGATACACCTAATGCTAATTGACGAGTTAATGGGTGCAGCACACCAGCATGGCACATGTATACATATGTAACTAACCTGCACATTGTGCACATGTACCCTAAATCTTAAAGTATAATAATAAAATAAAATAAAACAAAAAAAAACAAAACGTGATCATGCTACTGCACTCCAGCCTGAGAACCTGTCTCAACAACAACAAAAATACTGTAGAACTAATAAATGAATTCAAAGTTGCAGAAACAAAAGCAACATACAAAAATCAGTGAGTTATCTATATATAAACAATGAATTATCTGAAAGGAAATTAAGAAAACAATCCCACTGACAATAGCGAAAAGGAATAAAGTACTTAGGAATAAAATTAACAAAAGAGGTGAAAGACATACAGTGAATTTTTAAATCACTGATGAAGGAAAATAAGGAAGACACCAATAAATGGGAAGACATTCATATTTATGGTTGGAAGAATTAATATTGCTAAAATGTCCATACTACCCAAAGTGATCTAAAGATTCAATGCACTTGTTATCAAAATTCCAATGGTGTTCTTTACAGAAGTAGAAGGAAGTCATCCTAAAATTCATATGAAACCACAGAAAAGCTTGAATAGTCAAAGCAATCTTGAGCAAGGAGAACAAAGCTGGAGACATCATGCTTCCTGTTTTCAAAATATAGTACAAAGCTATATTAATCAAAACAGTATGGCACTGGCATTAAAAACAGACCAATGGAACAGTTAGAAAGCCCAGACATAAAACCACATGTATATGGTCAACTGATCTTCAGCAAAGGTGCCAGGAATACACAATGGGGAAAGAATAGTCTCCTCAATAAATGGTGCAAAAGAGCAAAAAGAATAAAATTAGAACCTTTCCTCACAACATATATAAAAATCAACTCAGAATGGATTAAAAACTTAAACATAAGATCTGAAACCATAGAACAACTAGAAAAAAACATACAGAAAATCTTTATAGCATTTGTCTGAGCAATGATTTTTTGGAATATGACACTGAAAGCACAGGCTACAAAAGCAAAAGTAGGCAAATGAGATTACATCAAACTAAAAAGCTTCCTCACAGCAAAAGTAATAATTAACAGAGTGAAAAGGTAACCTACAGAATGGGAGAAAATATTTGCAAACTATGTTAATATACAAAATATACTAAAAGAACTCAACAACAAAAAAGCCAAATAACCTGATCAAAACGTGGGTAAAAAACCTGAATAGACATTTCTTAAAAGAAGACATGCAAAAGGCAACAGGTATATGAAAAGGTCATTAATTCACTAATCATCAGAGAAATGCATATCAAAACCACAATGAGATATTACTTCACATCTGTTAGAATGGCTATCATCAAAAAGACAAAAGGTAAGTGTTAGTGAAGATGTGGAGAAAAAGAAACACATTTGTACATTGTTCTGGGAGTGTAAATTGGTATGGCCATTGTGAAGAAGAGTATGGAGGTTCCTCAAAAAATTAAAAATAGAACTCATGGTATCCAGTAATCCCACTTCTGGGTATATATATCAAAAGGAAATAAAAACAGTATGTCAAAGGAGATACCTGTACTCCTATGTTCACTGTAGCATTATTCACAGTTGCCAAGATACGGAAACACCCTAAATATCTGTTAATGGGTGAATGAATAAAAAAATATAATTCTATTATAAATATAAAATATTACATTATATATAATACATATTATATAAATATATATTACATGTAATTATCTATTATTTAATTATATAATTACAATTATATGTTATTAATTAGTAATATAATTCTATATTAATAATATATAATATAATTCTATATTAATAATATAATATAATTCTATATTAATAATATACAATATAATTATATATTAATAATATATAATACTATATTATAGATAAATATATAATGTATATAAATATGTAATGAAATATTATTCAGCCTTAAAAAAAGAAGAAAATCCTGCCATTTGTAACAACATGGATGAACTTGGAGGACATTAAGCTAATGAAATAAACTAGACACAGAAAGAAAAATACTGTGTGATCTCACTTATATGTGGAATGAAAAACAGTCAAACCACAGAAGCACAGAGAATGGTGATTTCTAGTGGTTGGGGGGTGGGAGAAATGAGATGTTGGTCAGAGTATGGAATCCCAATTATGCAAGATAAATATGTTCTGAATAACTAATGCATAGCATGGTGACTGTGGTTAACAATACTGTACTGTATACTTCAAATTTGTTAAGGTGGATCTTAAGTGTTCTTACCATACACACAAATGGCAACTGTGTGAGGTGAGAGATATGGTAATTAGCTGAATTGTGGTGATTATTTCACAGTGTGTATGTATATGAAAGCATCAAGCTGTATATCATGGATATGTGCAATTTTCACTTGTTAAACCTCAATACCGCTACACATAAATACACACGCAATAAATTAAGCCTAAATTATTAGTAAATTGTATTCTAGATTTTTCAGGCCTGTTTACACAATTTATTTAAATTACTTGCAAGTGTGCAATGTGAAGTAAACAGTCCTTGAAGCTGCTTGTTCAGTGTTACTTTAAATCCCTCTTTGGGGTCACTTCCAAGATGGCAGAATAGGAACAGCTCCGGTCTGCAGCACCCAGTGAGATCTATGCAGAAGACGGGTGATTTCTGCATTTCCAACTGAGGTACCTGGTTCATTTCATTGAGACTGGTTGGACAGTGAGTGCAGCCCACGGAGGGCAAGCTGAAGCAGGGTGGGGCATCGCCTCACCCAGGAAGCACAAGGGGTTGGGGAATTTCCCTTTCCTAGCAAAGGGAAGCCATGACAAGCTGTACCTGGAGGAACGGTACACTTCTGTCCAAATACTGCTCTTTTCCCATGGTCTTAGCAACTAGCAGACTAGGAGATTCCCTCCCATGCCTGGCTCAGTGGGTCCCATGCCCATGGAGCCTTGCTCAATGCTAATGCAGCAGTTTGAGATTAACCTGCAATGCTGCAGCCTGGCAGGGGAGGGGCATCCACCATTGCTGAGGTTTGACTAGGGAAACAAAGAGGCTGGGAAGCTCAAACTGGGCAGAGCCCACTGCAGCTCAGCCAGGCCTACTGCCTCTCTAGACTCCACCTCTGTGGGCAGGGCATAGCTGAACAAAAGGCAGCAGACAACTTCTGCAGACTTAAACGTCCCTGTCTGACAGCTCTGAAGAGAGCAGTGATTCTCCCAGCATGGCCAGCGTTTGAGCTCTGAGAACGGACAGACTGCCTCCTCAAGTTGGTCCCTGACCCCCGTGTAGCCTGACTGGGAGACACCTCCCAGTAGGGGCCAACAGAGACGTCATACAGGTGGGTGACCCTCTAGGATGAAGCTTCCAGAGGAAGGATCAGGTAGCAATATTTGCTGTTCTGCAGCCTCCACTGGTGATACCCAGGCAAACAGGGTCTGGAGTGCACCTCCACCAAACCCCAACAGACCTGCAGCTGAGGGGTCTGACTGTAAAAGGAAAACTAACAAACGGAAAGGAATAGCATCAACATCAACAAAAAGGACATCTACACCCCATCTGTAGGTCACCAACATCAAAGAACAAAGGTAGCTAAAACCACAAAGACAGGGAGAAACCAGAGCAGAAAAGCTGAAAATTCCAAAAACCAGAGTGCCTCTTCTCCTCCAAAGGATCACAGCTCCTTGCCAGCAACAGAATAAAAAAACTGGACAGAGAATGAGTTTGATGAGTTGACAGAAGTAGGCTTCAGATGGTCGATAATAACAAACTTCTTCTCCCAGCTAAAGGAGCATGTTCTAACCTATCGCAAAAAAGCTAAAAAACTTGAAAAAAGGTTAGACAAATGGCTACCTAGAATGAACAGTGTAGAGAAGACCTTAAATGACCTGATGGAACTGAAAACCACAGCACGAGAACTTCATGATGCATGCACAAGCTTCAATAGCCAATTTGATCAAGTGGAAGAAAGGATGTCAGTGATTGAAGATCAAATTAATGAAATAAAGTGAGAAGACAAAATCAGAGAAAAAAGAGCAAAAAGAAATGAACAAAGCCTCCAAGAAATATGGGATTATGTGAAAAGACCAAATCTACATTTGATTGGTGTACCTGAAAGTGATAGGGACAATGGAACCAAGTTGGAAAACACTCTTCAGGATATTATCCAGGAGAACTTCCCCAACCTAGCAAGGCAGGCCAACACTCAAATTCAGGAAATATGGAGAACACCATAAAGATACTCGTTGAGAAGAGCAACACATGACACATAATTGTCAGATTCACCAAGGTTGAAATGAAGGAAAAAATGTTAAGCGCAGCCAGAAAGAAAGGTCAGGTTACCCACAAAGGGAAGCTCATCAGACTAACAGCAGATCTCTTGGCAGAAGCCCTACAAGCCAGAAGAGAGTGGGAGCCAATATTCAACCTCCTTAAAGAAAAGAATTTTTAACCCAGAATTTCATATC
Source organism: Homo sapiens (assembly GCF_000001405.40). NCBI lineage: Eukaryota > Metazoa > Chordata > Mammalia > Primates > Hominidae > Homo > Homo sapiens. The sequence continues at coordinate 40,949,533 of NC_000003.12, read as the reverse complement.
CAGCCAAAATAAGCTTCATAAGTGAGGGAGAAATAAAATCCTTTACAGACAAGCAAATGCTGAGAGATGTCACCACCAGGTCTGCCTTACAAGAGCTTCTGAAGGAAGCACTAAACATAGAAAGGAACAACCGGTACCAGCCACTGCAAAAACATGCCAAATTATAAAGACCATTGACGCTATGAAGAAACTGCATGAATTAACAGGAAAAATAACTAGCTAACATCATAATGACAGGATCAAATTCACACATAACAGTATTAACCTTAAATGTAAATGGGCTAAATACCCCAATTAGAGACAAAGACTGGCAAATTGGATAAAGAGTCAAGACCCATCTGTGTCCTGTATTCAGGAGACCCATCTCACGTGCAGACACACGTAGGCTTAAAATAAAGGGATGGAAGAAGATCTACCAAGCAAATGGAAAGCAAAAAAAAGCAGGGGTTGCAATCCTAGTCTCTGATAAAACAGACTTTAAACAAATAAAGATCAAGAGACAAAGAAGGGCACTGCATAATCGTAAAGGGATCAATGCAACAAGAAGAGCTAACTATCCTAAATGTTTATGCACCCAATACAGGAGCACTCACATTCATAAACCAAGTCTTTAGAGACCTACAAAGAAACTCAGACTCCCACACAACAATAATGGGAGACATTAACACCCCACTGTCAATATTAGACAAATCAACAAGACAGAAGGTTAGCAAGGATATCCAGGACTTGAACTCAGCTCTGTACTAAGCGGACCTATAGACATCTACAGAACTTTCCACCCCAAATCAACAGAATATACATTCCTCTCAGCACTACATCTCACTTATTCTAAAATTGACCACATAATTGGAAGTTAAACACTCCTCAGCAAATATAAAAAGCAGAAATCACAACAAATTGTCTCTCAGAGCACAGTGCAATCAAATTAGAACTCAGGATTAAGAAATTCACTCAAAACTGCACCACTACATGGAAACTGAACAACCTGCTCCTAAATGACTACTGGATAAATAATGAAATGAAGGCAGAAATAAAGATGTTCTTTGAAACCAATAAAGACACAACATACCAGAATCTCTGGGACACACTTAAAGCAGTGTATAGAGGGAAATTTATAGCACTAAATGGCCACAAGAGAACACAGGAAAAATCTAAAATGGACACCCTAACATCACAATTAAAAGAACTAGAGAAGCAAGAGCAAACAAATTCAAAAGCTAGCAGAAGGCAAGAAATAACTAAGATCAGAGCAGAAATGCAGGAGATAGAGACACAAAAAACCCTTCAAAAAATCAATGAATGAATCCAGGAGCTGGTTTTTGAAAAGATCAACAAAATAGACCACTAGCAAGATTAATGAAGAAGACAGAAGAATCAAATAGACGCAATAAAAAATGATAAAGGGGATATCACCACTGATCCCACAGAAACACAAACTACCATCAAAGAATACTATAAACACCTCTACACAAATAAACTAGAAAATCCAGAAGAAATGGATAAATTCCTGGACACATACACCCCCCTAAGACTAAAGCAGGAAGAAGTTGAATCTCTGAGTAGACCAATAACAGGTTCTGAAATTAAGGCAATAATTAATAGCCTACCAACCAAAAAAGTCCAGGACCAGAAGGATTCACAGCTGAATTCTACCAGAGGTAAAAAGAGGAGCTGCTACCATTCCTTCTGAAAATATTCCAATCAATAGAAAAAGAGGGGATCCTCCCTAACTCATTTTATGAGGCCAGCATCATCCAGAAAGCAAAGCCCAGCAGAGACACAACAAAAAAAGAGAATTTTAGACCAATATCCTTTATGAACATCGATGCGAAAATCCTCAATAAAATACTGGCAAACTGAATCCAGCAGCACATCAAAAAGCTTATCCACCACAATCAAGTAGGCTTCATCCCTGGGATGCAAGTTTGGTTCAACATATGCAAATCAATAAGCATAATCCATCACTTAAACAGTACCAATGACAAAAACCACACGATTATCTCAATAGAGGCAGAAAAGGCCTTTGACAAAATTCAACAGCCTTTCATGCTAAAAACTCTCAATAAACTAGGTATTGATGCAACATATCTCAAAATAATAAGAGCTATTTATGACAAACCCACAGCCAATATCATACTGAATGGGCAAAAACTGGAAGCATTCCCTTTGAAAACCGGCACAAGACAAGGATGCCCTCTCTCACCACTCCTATTCAACATAGTGTTGGAAGTTCTGGCCAGGGCAATCAGGCCACAGAAAGAAATAAAGTGTGAAAAGAGGAAGTCAAATTGTCTCTGTTTGCTGATGACATGATTGTATACTTAGAAAACCCCATCGTCTCAGCCCAAGATCTGTTTAAGCTGATAAGCAACTTCAGCAAAGTCTCAGGATACAAGATCAATGTGCAAAAATCACAAACATTCCTACACACCAATAACAGACAAACAGAGAGCCAAATCATGAGTGAACTCCCATTCACAATTGCTACAAAGAGAATAAAATACCTACGAATCCAACTTACAAGGGATATGAAGGACCTCTTCAAGGAGAACTACAAACCACTGCTCAACGAAATAAAAGAGGACACAAACAAATGGAAGAACATTCCATGCTCGTGGATAGGAAGAATCAGTATCATGAAAATGGCCATACTGCCCAAGGTAATTTATAGATTCAATGCCATCCCCATCAGGCTCCCAATGATCTTCTTCACAGAATTGGAAAAAACGACTTTAAAGTTCATATGGAACCAAAAAAGAGCCTGAATAGCCAAGACAATCCTAAGCAAAAAGAACAAAGCTGGAGGCATCATGCTACCTGACTTCAAACTATACTACAAGGCTACAGTAACCAAAACAGCATGGTACCACTACCAAAACAGATATTACCAAAACAGATAGACCAATGGAACAGAACAGAGGCCTCAGAAATAACACCACACTTCTACAACCATCTGATCTTTGACAAACCTGACAAAAACAAGAAATGGGGAAACAATTCCCTATTTAATAAATGGTGCTGGGAAAACTGGCTAGCCATATGTAGAAAGGTGAAACTGGATCCCTTCCTTTCACCTTATACAACAATTAATTCAAAATGGATTAAAGACTTAAATGTAAGACCTAAAACCATAAAAACCGTAGAAGAATACCATTCAGGACATAGGCATGGGCAAAGACTTCATGACTAAAACACCAAAAGCAACGGCAACAAAAACCAAAATAGAAAAATGGGATCTAATTAAACTAAAGAGCTTCTGCACAGCAAAAGAAACTATCATCAGAATGAACAGGCAACCTACAGAATGGGAGAAAATTTTTGCAATCTACCCATCTGACAATGGGCTAATATCCAGAATCTACAAAGAACTTAAACAAATTTACAAGAAAAAAAGAAGCAACCCCATCAAAAAGTGGGCAAAGGATATGAACAGACACTTCTCAAAAGAAGACATTTATGCAGCCAACAGACACGCAAAAATGCTCATCACTGGTCATCAGAGAAATACAAATCAAAACCACAATGAGATACTATCTCATGCCAGTTAGAATGGCGATCACTATAAAGTCAGGAAACAACAGATCCTGGAGAGGATGTGGAGAAATAGGAACGCTTTTACACTGTTGGTGGGAGTGTAAATTAGTTCAACCATTGTGGAAGACAGTGTGGCGATTCCTCAGGACCTAGAACTAGAAATACCATTTGACCCAGCAATCCCATTACTGGGTATATACCAAAACGATTATAAATCATTCTACTTTAAAGACACTTGCACATGTATGTTTATTGCGGCACTATTCACAATAGCAAAGACTTGGAACCAACCCAAATGTCCATCAATGATAGACTGGATTAAGAAAACGTGGCACATATACACCATGGAATACTATGTAGCCATAAAAAAGGATGAGTTCATGTCCTTTGCAGGGACATGGATGAAGCTAGAAACCATCATTCTCAGCAAACTATCACAAGGACAGAAAACCAAACACCACCTGTTCTCACTCATAGGTGGGAGTAGAACAATGAGAACACATGGACACAGGGCAGGGAACATCACACACTGGGGCCTGTTGGGGGGTGGGGAGCTGGGGGAGGGATAGCATTAGGAGAAATGTCTGATGTAAATGTCAAGTTGATTGGTGCAGCAAACCAAGATGGCACATGTATACCTGTGTAACAAACCTGCACATTGTGCACATGTACCCTAGAACTTAAAGTATAATAAAAGAAAGTAAGAAAAAAAAAATAAATCCCTCTTTGGAAGTCCCATTCCAAGGCACCGACTTCTCCATGCATGCAACAGTGCCTTATGAAGCAATATAGGGGTTCCAGGAGAAGCCAGTCTTTAAAATCCAAGGACTGGGAAGGGCATTTCCACTTCTAGGAAGATAGAGCAGACATATATTTTGTTGTTCCTCCAGCTAAGCACAGCTGAAAACTCTGGACATTATATATAAAACAAACATAAGACACTGAAAAATGGAGAAAAGAAAGCAGACCAACTAGGGACTTTGCAACACTATGAATAACAAGGGGTATGAGTTACCTGAGGTTTCTTTTTGTGTCATAGATCCTAGACTGAGTCCAAAGGAAGTCAAGGGGTTCAGAAATACCAATGGTTTCAGGCAAAAATAAGCTCCCCACAGATTCTGCTCTTTTTTGCCAAAGGACCAGGAAAGGGGCAGTCTAGCAAGACGGAAAACTTTTAAGTAACAATTGCTTTACTCCAGTTAAACGCCTTCGACCCCACCCCCACCCATCTAGCAAAGACCAATTAGAGTCTAGTTTACTACTCTTGCCAGCCTGGGACAAGGCACTTCAACCCCTGGTGGGGTGGGGTGATATCACAGAAGGCAAGTAGCAGAGAATTTCATTTCTGAGTAAAGACTGTCTCCGCAGCCTGAACACACATACATCCGATGACAATTGGAGACTATGGGGTAATCCTGGAATTCCACCTGCACCCATTGAGGAAGATAATGAGGTCCCCCTCTCCCTCCTTACTGAGGTGGTGTTAGAAAAGCCTACTAGAAAGTGAAGACTTTTGTCACTGCTCAACAGTAATGAGTTCACCCTTTCTCAGTGGGAGAAGGTGGGGAAGAGTGATAAAGTGCCATTCCGCCTCTCAGCCAGGACCTAGTGGGGAGACTGAACTTCTAACCTTGCCCAGGGGTAAAAAGAGCTTCCTCCCTACCCCTGGCTTCACTTTTACCTCCACTGGCAATAATGAGACTGTGTCTCCCTTCTCCCATGAGAAGAGTGTAAGAAGAGGCCTTTTAAAATACAAGATTTAAATAAGATCCGGTGTCTTACGGTACCCCAAACATCTAGGTTTCATTGGAACATCAACTGTCTTACCAAGAACAGGAAGATCTTAACTTGAATGATAAAGGAAATCAATAGACCCTAAAACCAAGGTGACACAGATGTTAGAACTATCTGACAAGAATTTTAAAACAGCCATCATAATGATGCCTAAATGAGAAATTATTAACATACTTGAACCAATGAAAGAATAGAAAGCCTCAGAAAAGAAACAGAAAATAATTTTTAAATTGAAAATATTAGAGCCAAAATATACAATAGCAAAAAGAAAAAACTCAGTGAATTGGTTCAACAGCAGAATGGATAAGACAGAGAAAAATATTAATGAACTTAAAGATAAAACAACAGACACTGGCCAATTTGAAAAACAGAGAGAAAATAAGCTGATAAGATAAAGGACAAAAATCAAAGGACCATCTCAATAGATGGAGGAAAATCACTGGACAAAATTTAACACCCTTCATGAAAAATGCTTGACAAACTAGAAATAAAACTTCTTCAACCTGATAAAGGATAACTATAAAAAACCCACAACTAACATTATACTTAATGGTGAAAGACTGAATGCTTTCCTCTTAAGATCAGAAACAAAACATGTTTGTTCTTACCAATTCTATTCAACTGTACTGAAAGTTCTAGCTAGGCCAATGAGGCAAGAAAATGAAATAAAAGGCATTCGTATTGAAAGGAAAGAGTGAAACTATTTTATTTGCAGATGACATGGTCTTGTATATAGATAACCCCATGGAATCCAGTAAAAAAAGAAAAAAAAGAAAAAGAAAGAAAAAAGAAAAGAAAAAGAAATAATAAGAGTTCAGCAAGGTTGTAGGATACAAGATAAATCTCTACAAATCATAGTGTTTACATACGGTAGCAATCAGCAAACTGAAAATAAAATAAGCAATTCCATTTATAATAGCATAGAAAACAAAGTACATAGAAATAAATTTAACCCAAAAGTACAAAACTTATATTCTGAAAATTACAAACCATTGTTGAAAGAAATGAAAGAAGACCTAAATCAATTTTGAAAAATTTCATATTCATAAAGTAAAAGACTTCATATTTTAAGATGGCAATATTATCCAAATCAATCTATAGATCTAACACAATCCCTATCAAAATCCCATCTAACGTCTTTGCAGAAATTGACAAACTGATTCTAATGATTTCTTAGCTATGACAACAAAAGCACGAGCAAAAAAACAAACAACAACAACAACAAAAAAACCGTAGATAAACTTGTTATCACCAAAATTACAAATTTATCCTTTGAAGGATACCCTTAGAAAAATAAAATGAAAACCCACATATTGGGAGAAACTGTTTTTTTTTTTTATATTTATTTTTATTTTTTGAGACAGAGTTTCTTTCTGTGGCCCAGGCAGGAGTACAATCGTGAGATCTTAGCTTACTGCAACCTCTGCCTCCCAGGCTCAAGCAATTCTTGTGCCTCAGCCTCCCGAGTAGCTGGGACTATAGGCACGCACTACCACACTCGGATAATTTTTTGTGTTTTTAGTAGACATGAGGTTTCGCCATGTTGACCAGGCTGGTCTCGAACTCCTGACCTCAAGCAATCTGCCTGCCTTGGCCTCCCAAAGTGTTGTGATTATAGGCACGAGCCAGCACTCCTGGCCTAGAGAACATTTTTATAAATCATATATCTGGATTTGTATCTAGAACATATAAAGAACTATTGAAAGTCAGTAAAATGATAAATAATAGAATTAAAAACAAGTAACAGTTCTGAATACACATTTTTCCAAAGAAGATATACAAATAGCCAGTAAGCAAATGAAAAGATGTAAAGATGTTTGGCATCATTAGTCACCAAGGAAATGCAAATCAAAACTACAATTAGATACTATTTCACACCCACTAGATTGTCTAGAATAAAAAAGTAGGATGTCTAGAATAAAAGAGATAATAACAAAAGTTGGCAGGGATGTAGAGAAAATTATACAGTACTGATGGGAATGTAAAATGATGCAATCATTTTGGAAAACAGTCTGGTAATTCCCAAAATAGTTAAACTTAGAATTACCATCTTATCCAATAATTCTACTCTTAGAGATATACTCAAGAATAATGAAAATATATGTCCACATAAAAATGTGTACATCAATGCTCACAGTAGTGTTATTCGTAATAGCTAAAAGGTATAAAGAACCCAATGCTCATCAACTGATTAATAAAGAAAATATGGTATAGTCATTTGATAGGATATTATTTGATAATAAAAAGGAATTACATATGGATATGTGCTACAACATAGATTAACCTTGAGAACATTACACTAAGTGAAAAAAGGCAGTCACAGAGGACAAGATATTGTATAACTCTATTTGTATGAAATGTCTAGAATAGGCATAAAGGTGTAAAATGTCCCCAAATTGATAGATAGGCTTAACAACTGAAACTACCATTTAACTAGACAAAATTTTTTCTAGCTATGGACAAGATTATTCTGAAGTTTATATGGAAAGGCAAAGCAACTAGAATTTTGAAAAAGAGTAAGGTGGGATGAATCATTCTACCCAATTTCAAGACTTATTACATAGGTACTGCACTCAAGAGTGTGCAGTATTGGTGAAGGGACAGATACATTGATCAATGGAAGAAAATAGAAACCCAGAAGTATCCCTGAACAAGTATAGGCAACTGATTTTGGAAAAGGTCAAAAACAATTCAATAGAGGAAAGATAGTTTTTTCAACAAATAACCTTGTGGCAGTTGGGTATCCATAGACATAAATGAACTTTGACTTAAACCTCACACTCTATGAGAAAATTAACTCAAAATAAATCATATATTTAAAAGCAAAATGTAAAACTATAAAACTTTTAGATGATAATATAGGAAAAATATATTTAGGACCTAAGTCGTGGGTGAAGAGTTCTTAGACATGACATCAAAAACATGATCCATAAAATAAAAAGGTGATAAATTGTACTATCTCAAAATTTAAAATCTTTCTCTTTTAAATATCTGTTAAGATGATAAAAAGACAAGCTATCAACTGTGAGAATATATTTGCAAACCACATATCTGACAAAGGACTCCTATGTAGAATATATGAAGAACTCTCACATATCAATAGTAAATAACAATCCAATTAGAAAATGGGCACAAGACATGAGATATTTTATCAAAGAGAATATATGGTGGCAATAAGCAATGGAAAAATGTTTATATCACTAATCATTAGAGAAATGCATATTAAGAACATGATGAATTATCACTACACAGATAAAACAGTCATTATAAAATGCTAACAATATCAAATGCTAACAAAGATGTGGACAAACTGGATCTCATACATTGCTCATGGGAATGTAAAATGGTATTGTCATTCTGAAAAATAGTTTGGCGGTATCTTAAAAAACTAAACGTACACTTACCATATGACCCAGAAATTGCATTCCCAGAGAAATGAAAGCTTATGTCCACACAAAACCTCTATATGATTTTTCATACAGCTTTAGTCATAATAGCCAAGAACTGGAAACAATCAAAATGCTCCTCAAACAAGTGAATAGTTGAACAAACTGTGGTAATCCATCACAATAAATCCTCCCTCAATAAAAAGGAATAAAACATTAATTCATACAATGATCTAAAGAAATCTCAAAGGCATTATGCTGAATGAAGAAAGCCAATCTCAAGACATCACATACTGTATAATTTCATTTATATAATATTCTTTAAATGACAAATCATAAAGATGGAAAACAGAATAATGGTTTCCAGGAGTTACAGGTGAGGGAGGGTGAGGCAGTGACTGTGATTGTATAGGGGTAGCATGTGGGAGATCTTTGCAGTGATGGAATAGTTCTGCATTTTGATTGTGATGATGGTTACAGGAATCTACACCTGTGAGAAAATATGACATAGAAATATACACACACATTGTACCAATGTCACTTTCCTGGTTTTGGTATTTTACTATAATTATGTTGGATGTAACTCTTGGGGAAAATAGGTGAACGGTACACAACACCTCTCTATCTTTGCAACTTCCTGTGTAATTATTTCAAAATAAAAAGTTTCAACAAAGACTATCCTAACTGAACAGGAAATCAAAACAAAACAAAATCCAAAGGGGCTGTATGACGAGCCTCAAAGCTGTGTGTTTGCAACGTCTTGTCTCCTAAGTAGAGGAATGGAGTGTGGTCCATTGGTGACATTTTTCTACCTTGCAAAAGTGTCAGGGCCTCAAGATTAAATGCTTTGTTTGTGTTTCTAGGTCTCCAAGCAGCTTTGAAGTATTTGGTCTCCGGGGGGGGGTCTGAAGTTCAGCACATTGCTGCCTAACAGTGCCACACCTGTCAGCACACACACAGGGGCAGGCTGCTGGCCTCTCCGGAACACTCCTACTTAGGGAATGTGACCAGGACTTCAGGAAATCCCCCATGTAGGGGAACATTTTCCAGTTGAAAAAGAACTTTAAAAAGTGGAGGTGTGACTGTAGCTCTATTGAACAATTTTCCCAAGTAGAAATAGACACTGCTGTCCCCAGTCTGGTCACATTCCATCTCCTATTCTTGGAAATTCTCTTGTAGGTACACATTGTTCAGACAAGAACCCCATGATGTTTCTCCTCTGGCTCCTGAAATCCATACTTTGGAGTGTCACACCCAGTAAACTTGGAGTTTTGTGGCCTTCGATGACTAATCAGCTGTCTGAACCATGTTGGTTAAAGGACACATTATCCTTTAAGACTTGAACTGGAAGGGAGAATAAATTGAGATTTGTTTAGCCTGGTCTTCTTGATGTCTAAGTTATTCAGCTCAACTCAGTACACACGCTGGCAGGCCTTGTGCTGGGCATTGGGGATACAGAGGTGAATAAAGCACTTGTCCCTGCCTTCTTGGAGTTTGGTGGGAAAACAGACATTGAACAAATAAACACAGGGAAACATGTAGTAGTCCATGCCTTCCAGAACTCACTGCCAAGAGACTGGTAGCAGAAAAATAAACGAGGGAACTGCCAAAGAGGTCAGGGAAAGCTCCTCTGAGGTGTCCCTTCAGCTGAGGGAGATAGAATGAAGAAAGAAAGATAGAACTGTGCTTCGGGTGTGTAGCCAGTATGTGCAAAACAGGGAGGCAGAGATTCAGAATGGAAAGGGAGTTGGTTTGGCTGCATAGTGCAGTGCCTGAGGGCTGTGGTGAGATTTGTCCATTGTTGAGGAGGGCAAAGCCTGCTGCTTCCAACGAGCCATCTCTTAACAAGCATTTGCTGAGACCCCATGGGCTGAACTACACTTTGTGGGGTACAGAATAATGTCTGGGTCCTGCCCTTAAGGAATTTTCGAGGTGCAATTGAAAAGGGTACTTCAAAGAGATGAGTTGTTTTCAATCTGTGAAAGGGTGAGCTGGCATTAGCAGACTGAAAATATCACCAAAAGGTCTCACCAGCATCTGCAGCTGTTACACATTACTGGGGTCCAAAGGTCTGGCCTTGAGTGTCTTAGTTTTTTCTCTTCCAATATTCTTACTTTAAAATAGAAAAAAAAAAAAAAACCTTAAAAACAATCTTGTTTACTTTATCCAAGATTAAAGAGCTTGAACCGACTTGGATGGTCTAAATGGATTTTTAAGTGCTTTATGGACAAGTACCCTTAATTGCTAAAATGCTAGGCTAGGCTTCTGTGACCCTTGCTCAGGGCTTGTGTTGTCTGGGTTTGCTTATTTACTCTCCTTGTTAGAGGTCAAAACTAAGTCTTAGATTAGAATATTTTAATTTCTGAAGCTATGGATTGAAACACATTCTCTAGAGCCATGTCACACTATGAGCAGTCACTTTACATTTTTTTCGTTGAGTAGGCTACTCCAAGGTATAACAATGTCTCCAATTCAACGTTCTGTGCATGAGAACCCAGTGGAGTAGTAGAGCATCCAAGAGGTACAGATCACAATCCACATGTCTCAGGAACAGAGAACAGCCACAGAGAAGTGCTGGAAACGGCCAAACTAGAGTCTCTGGCTTCTCCTTTCACCAATCATGGAAGCAGCTTTGGATGACAGCAAAAGCGCAGACGTTGAAACCCATGTTCTCAGTGCCAACCCCGTCACTGCAGGACAGTGTGACCCGGGGGAGGGGGACACTTCCCTCTTTGAATCTCAGTTTTCCCGTTGGTAAACTCGTGACAGTAACCTGCCTCCATGATTGGTTATGGCATCTGAATCATGAGGGTGAGAGCTCCAGCAATCCCAGCCATCAGACTCAGCAGAGTTCCAGTGAGAGAGTCCCTCCCCAAGAGAACAAGTTTTGAAAAATTTGCAGAAACCATCCTCACAGCGCCAAAATAAATTATACTTAGGACATTTTTCCAGAAGCTAATAAGTACTTTTTAAACACTTCGTGAAGATTTATAGCAATATTCTTGGGAGATGCCTAGGGGGACAGGGCCATTTATACCATTGTTTTGGAGTTGATCGTCTACTTAGCTGATTATTCATCAAAGGTGTGCCATATGGCCTTTCTTTTTTCGCTGCATAATTGCAGCAGTTGTATTTCTCATGACTTCTGCAAGATGGCGGCCAGGAAGTGAACTCTGCACTGTGGACCCATCATGCAGGAATGGGAGACCCAGACAACCTGGCTTTTATAGACCAACGAGATGGTTCTGCAGGACCCCAGATGGCTGAGCTGGTGGCTTAGATCTGGGGACCCAGACGACTGGCTCTGTCAGGGGCTGGAGCCGCCTACCAGATGGGGCAGCCCTTCCATTGTGGCTGCCCAGGCAGTGATTCCTGAGCAGCTTTCACTGATAAGTAACCAAATATACATTGCTCTCTGGAGAACAGGATAAAGACTTTTCTAGAAACCTGCAGGGGAAGTAAAGTGAGATAAAAGCCAAACTATGAAGCAAACATTATTTTGTCAGGCACCATCTAGGTGGTTTTTGTGTTGGACTGGGGGTGGTTCTTGCCCTTGGGAGAGACTCTCTGTGTATCAAGGAGGCAGATAGCAACTTTAATTCTAAAGTGGGGTGCGGCAAGGGGAGCAAGGCAAGTGAGAGACTCATTACTGCCTCTTCACAGGAAGAGGCCTGGGTAGATTGACTTGGAAAGAGTTAGAAGACAGAAGACACCAGACACAGTCAAGGGTAGGAGGCAATGACTCAAGCTTAACTAACCTAGGGGAATTAAGTGAAAGTCTGCATCCTGACCAGAGGATCTCCCCTACAGCTTTCCTTTCCAACCCTCCCCAGAAGGCATGCACTCCTCAGAAAAGAGACTGAAGCAATAACCTGGGAAGAAGATAAATATCCCCAGGCTGAATAATTAACATGAAGATAAGTGGGATTGCAATGCATTGCTGTTGGATCTCATTTCTTTCTTCCTTTTCCTTTCCTTTTTGATTTGGGGTCTCATTCTGTCACACAGGCTGGAGTGCAGTGACGCAGTATTGGCTCACTGCAGCCTCAACCTCCCCAGGATCAGATGAACCTCACACCTCAGCCTCCTGTGTAGCTGGGTTGACAGGTGTACCGACCATGCTTGGCTAATTTTTGTATTTCTTTGTAGAAATGAGGTTTTGCCATGATGCCCAGGCAGTTCTGGAGTTCTTGGGCTCAAGCCAACAGCCTCCCAAAGTGCTGGGATTACAGGAATCAGCCACTGCACTGGGCCCAATCTCATTTCTTACCTTGCTATCTGTGGGCATTATCAACTTATTAGTTATGCCAGTAAAGAATACAGAAGTGAGTATAAACCAATGTTAGAAGGTACTATTTGACCCTTGGTCAACGGGGGAAGAAAGTAGAAGAGCTCCTGAAAATGGTTTTCATGAAGATACATCAAATTCACTCAAATGTCATTTTAGATATGTGTAAGAACTGTGTGGCCTAGAGAATTAGGTAATGAGAGATATGAGAATACTGCCTCTTTGTGCTTTGAAGCCTATGATATAAATGTCTTTATTAACAGTATAAAAGTGCTGATTTCATGTTTTTTTTGACATACCTAAGAGGGGCTCAGTACAACAGTAAGGGTAGAGAGAAGGATCGTTCTGAGTTTCTGCAGCTCCAGGTCTGACAAAATCTCTCATAGGAAGTAACCCTGGCTGCCTGAGCAGAATTTTACTTCTTTAGTGGGTAGGCATCTTTAAACCCCAGCAAGATTTAGAATTAAGAATAGAAAGGCTTAAAAGAATAGAAATCATTGCATTCATATTTTTTGTTAAAAGGCAATCTTTTCATATTTGACATTTTAGGTATTTATAATGCTAGAATTTGGCTAATTATAAATGAAAACCTTGAACTCAAATTTAAAATGTGTACTCAATATTTGTTTTAGATATGTAATTGTAGGTTGAATTAGAATATTTAAATTAACTTTACATTTAACATATACGTAAATTTAATATTTTAAATGCAAAAATTATTTATGTGCTCAGGAAGTTTGTTAATTCAGAAAAAAATAAAATACTTGAAAACTGAATATTTTCAGTTTATATATGCATTTTAAAATATTTAACTGTATCTAATAAATTATGTTTGTAAATAGGAACAAATACTCAAATACCTCTCTGGAATGATTTCTAAGATCTGCAAGACTTATAAATTCAATCATAACATTTGTAAGTACAAGTCAAAATTTACAAAAGAAAGAGGACTTAAAAATTAATGAGATCACATGGACACAGGAAGGGGAATATCACACTCTGGGGACTGTGGTGGGGTGGGGGGAGGGGGGAGGGATAGCATTGGGAGATATACCTAATGCTAGATGACGAGTTAGTGGGTGCAGTGCACCAGCATGGCACATGTATACATATGTAACTAACCTGCACAATGTGCACATGTACCCTAAAACTTAAAGTATAATAATAAAAAAATTATAACTTTAATAAATTGAACATTAAATCTTAAACAAAATACAACAAACCTTTAAATGATACTTTCTGTGAGTAAAAGCCATCCTTGAGGACACTACAAAACTGACAGTAATTTGCTGACATTTTGCAGACTTTGTTAGAATTGTCAGTTCTCCAACTGATCATCTCACAGAGAAATCCTCCAGTTGACAATCCCACCCATGAAGAATCAGACTTTTAGTGTCTCACTTTTATTTATTGAAAATTTGCATTTTTAATTTATTTTCTTTTTTGTTGATAAATAAAAAAGGAATGTATGGTTTACAACATGATATTTTGATTTGTGTATACATTGTGGGATGGCAAAATCAAACTAATTAACAGATGCATTACCTCATGTATGTACCACATTTTTGTGGTTAGCACACAAAATCTATTCTCAGTAATTTTCAAGTTTATAACATATTGGCATTAACTGCGGTCAGTATGTTGTACAATAGTTTTCTTGAGCTTATTCCTGTTATCTAATGGAAATTTTGTATCCTTTGACCAACAGGCATAGAAAGAACAGATGTCACATGATCTCACTTACATGTGGAATCTAAAAAAGTCAAACCCATAGAAGCAGAGAGTAGACTAGTGGTTGGTTACCAGAGGCTGGATATTGGCCTGTAGTTTTCATTTTTTGATGTGTCTTTGTCTGGTTTTGGTATGAGGGTAATATTGGACTCATAGAATGAGTTTGGAAGTATTCCCCCCTCCTTTATTTTTTGGAGTAGGGAACTGGTATTAGTTCTTTTTTAAATGTTTGGGCAGAATTCAGCAGTGAAGCCATTAGGTCCCAGGCTTTTCTTTACTGGGAGACTCTTTATTATGGCTTTGATCTTTTTACTTGTTATTGGTTTGTTCAGGTTTTAGATTTCTTCATGGTTCAATCTTGGCAGGTTGTATGTGTCTAGAAATCTATTGTTTCATCTAGGTTTACCAATTTGTTGGCCTATAGTTGTTCATAGTAGCCACTAACAATCCTTTAAATTTCTGCAGTATCAGCTGTAATGTCTCCTTTTTCATCTCTGATTTTATTTATTTGGGTCCTCTCTTTTTTTCTTAGTCTGGCTCAAGGTTTGTCAATTTTATTTTTCTTTTCAAAAAACCCATTTTTCATTTCATTGATCTTTTATATTGTTTCCTTCATTTCAAATTCATTGATCTTTATTATTTCTTTTCTTCTGCTGATTTTGGGTTTGATTTTCTCTTGCTTTTCTAGTTAAGATGCATTGTTAATGTTACTTGTTTGAAGTTCTTCTTCCTTTTTGATGTAAACACTTACAACTATAAATTTCCTTCCTAGTACTATTTTCACTGTATTCCATCTGTTTTGCTATGTTGTGTTTCCATTAACATTTGTTTCGAGAAATTTTTCAATTTCATTCTTAATTTCTTCATTGATCTCCTGGTCATTCAGGAGCATATTGCTTAATTTCCATGTGTTTGTATAGCTTCCAAAATTCCTCTTCTTATTGTTTTCTAGTTTTATTCCATTGTGGTTAGAGAAGATGGTTGATATTATTTCCATTTTTGACTGTTTCAAAACTTGTTATGTGGCCTAACATATGGGCTATCTTTGAGAATTATCCATGTGCTCAGGAGAAGAATGTGTATACTGTAGCTGTTGGATGAAATGTTCTGTAAATATCTATTAGATCCATTTGTTATGTAGTGCAGATTAAGTCTGATGTTTCTTTGTTGATTTTCTGTCTGGAAGATCTGTCCAATGCTGAAAGTGGGGTGTTGAAGTTTCCAACTATTATTGTATTGAGGCTTATCTCTCTCTTTAGCTCTAATAATACTGCTTATATATCTGAGTGCTCCAGTGCTGGGTGCATATATATTTACAATTATTATATCTACATTCTGAATTGACTCTTTTATCATTATATAATGACCTTTGTATCTTCTTACAGCCTTTGTCTTGAAATCTAATCTATTTTGTCTAAATTTAGCTAGTCCTGCTATTTTTTGCTTTCCACTGGCATGGAAAATCTTTTTCCATCCCTTTATTTTCAGTCTATGTGTATATTTATGGGTGAAGTGTTTCTTGTAGGCAACAGATCATTGGGGTGTGTGTGTGTGTGTGTGTGTGTGTGTGTGTGTGTGTGTGTGTGTGTGTGTGTGTATGCATGTGCATGTTTAATCCACTCTGTGTCTTTTGATTATAGAGTTTAGTCCATTTACATTCAATGTTATTATTGATAAATAAGGACTTACTCCTGCCATTTTGTTATTTGTTTTCTGGTTGCTTTATCATCTTCTCTTTCCTTCTTCCTTCCTTTCTGTCTTCCTTTTAGTGAAGGTGATTTTATTTCTTGCAGATTGTATTCATTGTATGATTTTTTCACTTGAGGTTGCCATGAGGCTTCCAAATATGATCTTGTAAACCATTATTTTAAACTGATGACAACTTAACACTGTCTGTATAAACAAATAAGCACCAAGAAAACTATTAAAAATGATACACTTTAATTTTGCTCCCCCACTTTTTAACTTCTTGTTGTTTCTTATTATGTCTTATTATACTATGTATTGAAAAGTTGTTATAGTTATTATTTTTGATTGGTTCATCATTCAGCCTTTCTACTTAAGAATATTTTACACACCACAATTACAGTGTTATAATATTCTGTGTTTTTCTGTGCGTTATTACCAGCGAGTTTTGTATCTTCAGATGATTTCTATTGCTCATTAACATCCTTTTCCTTCAACTTGAAGAACTCCCTTTAGCATTTTTTGTAGGACAGGTCTGATGTTAATAAAATCCCTCAGCTTTTGTTTATCTGGGAAAGTCTTTATTTGTCCTTCAAGTTTGAAGGATATTTTCACTGGATATACTATTATAGGGTAAAAGATTTTTTTTCCTTCAGTGCTTTATATATGTCATGTTGCTCTCTCCTGGTCTGTAAGGTTTCCACTGAAAAGTCTGCTGCCAGACATATTGGAGCCCCATTGCATGTTATTTGTTTATTTTCTCTTGCTGCTTTTAGGATCCTTTCTTTATCCTTTACCTTTGGGATCTTGATTGTTAAATGCATTGAGGTAGACTTCTTTGGGTTAAATCGGCTTGGTGTTCCTTCTTGTACTTGAATATTGATATCTTTCTCTAGGTTTGGAAAGTTATCTAATATCCTTTGAAATAAACTTTCTACCTCTATCATTCTCTACCTCCTCTTTAAGGCCAATAACTCTTAGATTTGCCCTATTGAGCCTATTTGCTAATTCTTGTAGGCGTGCTTTATTCTTTTTTATTCCTTTTTCTTTTGTCTCCTCTGACTGTGTATTTTCAAATAGCCTGTCTTCAAGCTCACTAATTCTTTCTTCTGCTTGATCAATTCTGCTATTAAGAGACTCTAATGCATTCTTTGTTATGTCCATTGCATTTTCAACTCTAGAATTTCTGCTTGATTCTTTTTAATTATTTCAATCTCTTTGTTAAATTTATCTGATAGAAATCTGAATTCTTTCTCTGTGTTATCTTGAATTTCTTTGAGTTTCCTTTAAATACTAATTTTAAATTATCTGTCTGAAAGGTCACATATCTCTGTTCCTTCAGGATTGGTCCCTGGTGCCTTACTTAGTTCATTTGGCGAGATCATGTTTTCCTCAATGGTCTTGATGCTTGTACTTGTTCATCAGTGTCTGGGCATTGAAGAGCTAGGCATTTATTGTAGTCTTCACAGTCTGGGACTATTTGTGCCTGTCCTTCCAGGCTTTCCAGGTGTTTGAAGGAACTTGAGCCCCAACCCAATAACACTGTGGTTCTTGCAGACTTATACAGGTATCACCTTGGTGGTGTGGGATAACGTCCAGAAGAATTATCTGGGTTACCAGGCAGAGGCTCTTGTTCTTTTTCCTTACTCTCTCCCAAACAAACAGAGTCTCTGTCTTTGATCTGAGCCTCCTGGAACTGGGGTTAGGGGGAACACAAGCATTCCTGTCACTACCACGACAGTGATAGTGCTGGTTCAGACCTGAAGCCAGCACAGCACTGGGTTTTGCCCAAAGCTCACTGTAACCACCTGGTTCACTCAGGGCTCTACAATGAGTAGGTGGCAAAGCCAGCCAGGTTTGCATCCCTCCCTTCAGGGTGGCAACCCCAGGCCTCAGAATTCCAGAAATACTCTCTAGGAACCCTAGAAATTTACCTGGTGTTCTATTTTACTGCAGCTAAACTGTCACTCAAACTGCAAAATTAAGTCCTTTCCACTTTTCCTTCCCCTTTCCAAAGGCAGAGGAGCCTCCTCTCCATGTGGCCACCATGAGCACTGATCCATAGGGCATTCTGCCAGGGCACTGCCAATGTTTACTTAAAGCCCAAGGCCTCTTCAGTCAGCTTATGATGAATGCTGCCTAGGACTCAACCTTTAGGGCAGCAAGCTCCCCTCTGGCCCAGGGCAGGTCCAGAAATGCTGACTAAGAGCCTAGACCTGGACTTGGGACCCTAAGAACCTACTTGGTGCTCTACCCTCCTGGGGCCAAGTTGTTACCCAGGGTGCAATACAGAGTCCCCTTTACTTTTCCCACCTGATTTTCTCAAACAAAAGGAGTCCTTCACCATAGCCACCACAGGTGTGAATGTTCTGGATCACACCTGAAGCCAGTAAGTCTCAGAGCCCAAGGCCCACAGCATATTACCAATGTATTGTTCTTGGTTATTCAGGGACCAGGGGCTCTTTAGTCAGCAGTTGGTGAATCCTACCAGGTCTCTGCTGTGACAGGGCAGCACTGAGTTCAATGTAAAGTTCCCTAGTCACTGTGCTCTCCTTCTCCCAAGTGCACAGATTTCTTTGCACTGCATGGCTGCTACCAGAGGGTGAGGGAGAGGTGGAACAAGCCCTCTCTTAGCCACCCTGGCTGGTGTCTCAGTAGTTTGTGTGCCCTGCCCACCAAGTCCACTGGCTCTGAGCCCAGCTCAGCACCAGGACTTGCATAGGAATTGCAACACCTGTGGCCTAGACTGCCCCTCAAGTTCACTTAGGGCCCCAGAGCACTCCAGCACACAGTGGCAGGGCTTTTATCAAGTCATGCTGGGATAGATAATTCTGTCTGGTTAGGGCCAGTCCAAATGCTCCCTCTGTGGGCAGATGTCAGCTGAGTACAGCCCAGTTCTGCTTTCCACTGTGATGGGGCAGCACTGAGTTCAGTGCAAAACCTCATAATCACCACACTCTCCCTCTTCAAAGCACACAGATTCTCCACACCATGCAGCCACTTCTGAGGAATGGGGAACAGGTGGCATCAGCACTTCAAGACTGTCTTTCTTGCTCTCTTCAATAATTCTTTCACTGATAGAAGTTAAAACCAGGTACTGTGATTGTTCACCTGATTTTTAATTCTTGTGATGATGCTTTTTGTGGGTAGCTAGCTGTTAAAATTTGGTGCTCCTACAGGGGTGACAAATCGTGTAGGCTTCTGTTCAGCCATCTTGCTCTGCCTCCTTCTTTTGTTCATGTTAAAATTGGATTATTTGTGGAGTTTTGTTTTGTTTTTTGCTGTTGAGTTGTTTGAGCTCTTTATGAATTCTGGTTATGAATCCCTTGTCATATGGATAGTTTGCAAACATTTTCTCCCATCCTATGGGTTATCTCTTCATTTTGTTGATTATTTCCTTTGCTGTGCAGAAGCTTTTTATCTTGATATAATCTCAATTGACTATTTTTGCTTTGGTTGCCTGTGCCTTTGAGGTCTTACACAAAAATTTTTTGCCTACACCAATGTCCTGGAGAATTTCCCCAATGTTTCCTTCTAGTAGCTTCATACTTTGAGGTCTTAGATTCAAGGTTTTAATACATTTTGGTTCCATTTTGATTCTGTGTGTGTGTGAATGGTGAGAGAAATGAATCTAGTTCATTCTTTGGCATATAGTTATCCAGTTTTCCCAGCATCATTGATTGAAAAGACTGTTTTTGGCACCTTTGTCAAAGATGAGTAAGCTGTAAATGTGTGGATTTATGTCAGCGTTCTTTATTCTGTTCCATTGCTGTGTGTGTCTGTTTTTATGCCAAATACCATGCTGTTTTGGTTACTATAACTTTTTGATAAAATTTGAAGTTAGGTAGTGTGAGCCTTTAGCTTTATCCTTTTTGCTCAGGATTGCTTTGGCTCTTTGGGGTCTTTTTTAGTTCCATACACATTTTAGGAATATTGTTTTCTATTTTTGTGAAGAATGTCATTGATATTTAAATAGGGATTGCATTGAATCTGTAGATTACTTTGGGTAGTATTGTCATTTTAACAATATTAATTCTTTCAATCCATGAGCATGGACTATCTTTTCATTCTTTTGTGCCCTCTTCTATTTCTTTCATGAGAGTTCTATAGTTTTTCTTGTGGAGATCTTTCACTTCTTTGGTTACATTGATTCCTAGGTATTTTATATTTTTGTAACTGTTGTAAATGGGATTGTGTTCTTGATTTCTTTTTCAGATTGTTTGCTGTTGGTGTATGTAATTGCTACCAATTTTTGTATGTTGATTTTGTATCCTGCAGCTTTACTGAATTTGTTTATCAGTTCTAATAGTTTTTTGGTGGAGTCTTTAGATTTTTGTAGGTATAAGATCATGTCATCTGTGAACAAGGCTAATCTGACTTACTTATTTTTAATTTTTTATTTGGATGCCCTTCATTTCTTTTTCTTGCCTAATTGCTCTGCCCCAATCCCAATTTTAACTGGCTCAACTTCATACATGAAGAAAGATATCAAATAAAAGTAAGAAATTAAAAGGAGTCTGGAGATAAAAGATAATACCCAAAACAGAAGAAAACTCTGAAATAATAAAAATAATTATATCATCCCCAGAGAAGTACATTTACTTAACCAGTTATAGAGTGCCTTTTAAGTGCTTATTATAAAAGCTGAATAAGAGAAGAAATGAAATAAAATGTCACATGTATAAAACATGCATAGGAAATTGTGAAAAAAGATGATGGAAAAAATGGAAAAATGACAAAATACCCAAAGAATAAATTTAAGACATTCAGTATCAAATTGATGAGTTCCAGAAAAAGAGCAAATTGTTGAAAGAAAATGGCTAAAAAAGTGAGATACATTTCTTTTTCATTGAAAGGGCCCAGATAGGGCTCAATACAATGAGTGAAAAAGTATCCTCTCCAATATGAAACTATGAGATTTTAGAATATCACAGGTATATCAGAACTCCGAAACTCTTCCAGAGAGAAAAAAAAAAGACAGAAAACTAAAAGTCAGAATGGCAGGGATGGGTCTTCCTAAGGGCAATACTGGATGTTAGAAGACAAAGAAAAAACATCTTCCAAATTCACCTATAATTATAGAGGCAATCAAAGTATTTAAGTGTGAAGGAGTAATAAAGGCATGGATTGAAAAACAGAACCCATAAGGCATCCTTTCGTGGGAGATAACTGCTTTCGTGGGAGAGGTACTGTAGTAAATTAAGGGAGTAAACCAAGAAATAGGAAGACATGGAGTCCAAGAAATGGTCTCCAACAGAAAATACCACAAAGGGAAGTCTCTTGCTAAGGATTTTGTAGCAAGTCTAGGGAACCAGTCCTCTCGGATCGCAGAAGAGACAAGGCTCCAAAAGAGGGATCTAAAGGGAATAAAAGGGAACTGTTTACTCAAAGGTCATCTGATATTATGGAGTATTCCAAAAGAAAACACTGGTAAGTATGTGATATAAATCAGATGCAGCATGTGGGAAAAAAATATAGTTACATAAAAAAGCCCAGGTCAATGAATAAAACCAGGTGACCATTAACTTCAGGAAAATGAAAAAGAGTACAGGAAAAAATATAATACTCTGCTTTCCACTGTGAATGTCATTTACATAGGCACAATAATGTAAACATTGACTGTATTAAAAAAACTAGTTAGCATTTAGAAGGATGGGAGCAGAGAAGTGGCCTTTGGTGATATTACTATGAAATTTTAAATCATTTAAACAGGGGATCAGTAGATTCTAAACACTGGCAATATAAAATTACTTAGAAATATGCAGGTTAATATCAGGAGAAAACAGTTCAAGGAGGCAAAAATAAACTGCTTCTAGGAAGTGGGCTTGGGGACTGGAAGGGTTGCAGGAGAATTGTAATTCTTTATTCTAAATCTTTTGATATGATTTGACTGTGTAACTATTTGTAGGCACTACACTTGCATTGTAAACCCTCTGTGTACTGCTTCAGGTAGTTTCTACCTCACCTGTGTTATTCAAACCTTAGCTGTGGTAACCAGTTCTACACAGGATCTGACCAGCTTCCTGCAGGTGTAACCTGACAGTGTCTTGCCTCAGATCCATGCCCTATGCTTCTGACTTCATGCTCTTGGGCTTCTCTGTGAAATCCCAGGCAGGAGCCACTGTGGGAACCCACTCACTTCCCACATCTGTGCAACCTGGAAATGCAAGGGAGTTAACGCTGCAGAAGGCAAACTTTTGACCAGTGGAGAGTCCTGAGCTGGTGGATAAACACATCCTCTTTCTTCCTCTGGACAGACAGTTTTGAGACAGGATTCATGGCATCTCCCTGGATAGAGCAAACAGTCACCTGCAGTCATGGCTGAGCAATAGTGCATCTTTGTCCTATCGTCCTCCTTCCCACTGTCACTGTCTGGACACTCATGCCATCCTCTGGATCATAGTCCCAGTCAGCCTTTGCTTTCTTGGCAAACCCAAGAAAAGTCTAAAATGATTAAAAACTTTTAAACAAAGGCAAAAATGGAAAGAAATTAAATAACCTACTTTCTAAAAAAGATCTAAATGGAAGATGATACTATAACAAGGAAATGCAAAGTGTAAATGCAGAATTTTTGCAGCAGTAGATAAATACTTGAAAAGGAAAACTAATGGTTTAGAATTGATAATTTCTTAGCAAAACTGAAAGTTGAAGGAGGAAAGAAATGCTATAATAAGTAAGAAATGCTCCAAAGTTCCCTTCACAAGGAGTGGTAAAGGGAATTGGGCTGGCAAAATGTCTTGTTGGGGACAGAATGGCCATTGTTTCATCTCATATATCAATGGGAAATATAGGCTTAAATATGGTAATGAAGATAGGGAGGAACCCACTAGCAAAATGGAGAAGCATAATAACAGTTGGAAATTAATGGTGGTAGTTGGGGGGTGGTAGTATAGAAAAAAAACTCAGTCAAGCACATACTAACAAAAAAATAAATCAGTAGCAACAAGTATAATAAATAGAAAACATGAACAAAAGGAAAATAAATATACCATTTAAACTAATAATCATAAATGAGTTGACTTCTCCTTTTTCTTGAAAAAAAAAAAGGACTCTCAGGCTACAATAAAACCCCACAAAATTTGCATCTGTATAAAGTGTATGAGACATACTTAAAAGCAAAAAAATAAAGAAATGTTTATTTTAATCTTGATTTTAGAGATCAAAGATATACCAGGCAAATGCAAACAATTAAAAAACAAGAAAGATGACATTTTACTATAAAACTTAATTTGAGGCTTACACCATGAATTGAAGAAAAGAACTAGATTGTTTATGATAAAAGAAATAATCCTTGAGGACGATAGAACAGCTACAGACCTTTGTGCATTCAAAAATATAATAGCAAACTAAAGAGCAAAAACTCCTAGAAATATAAGGAGAATTTTATAAAATCACAATGATAGTAGAAGGTTTTATTACAGCTTTCATTATTCAGTATATTAAGGCATTAAAAATAAGCAATGTAGAAAGCATTTAAATATTACAGCCAACAAGCTAATTTAATAGCTGTCTATGATTTTGTTCACCCTGGAAAACATGTTTAGAAATCAACATATACTTGATCACAAAAGAAAACAAATAAACTATCTCCAATAAGAGATTTTACAGGTCACATTCTTGGACCACACTCCTTGAAGACCGCAGCTGTCTTTGTTTCTTCCTGCTCCCCATCCCCCTCCAAGGGTGAATAAATCAAGCGTTAGGTAGTAATGAGAAGGCAAGAAAGGGAGAGCAGTGGGAACTGAGGTTCTTGGGTGGCTACTATGAGATAGCAGCTTCTATGCATTAGCCACTTTTCCTATTTTTAAAATCCAGTTCTCAACACCTTCCTGTGTAAGGGAATTTCATCCATTTGCAGGGGACGGAGAGTTGTTCTTCTTATTCAGTATTTGCACACTATCAGATCCCTATAAACTCCAGCAAAGTCCATGCCTTCCCTTGAAAGAGAAAGAACTGTACCCTCTGCCCTCAAATCCAAGGCCTCTTTCCTATCTCTGGGTGGCTCTTTTCCACATCAGTGGTAAAATGGGGATTGTCACACTGACCCACTTCTCAGCAGGGCTGTGAAATGCAACGACTAATTACAAAGGCTAATAAAATATTTACAGAGCTTACAGCACACTTTGGAAGTGCAAGGGTATAGTTAATAAAAATAATGACGGTGCTAGACAAACACTGCTCAGAGCCTAGTGCCACTCTCAAGAAGAGTAAACAACTTGCCAGGGTAATTTCAAGCCCTATTGGATGCTTGCAGCAAGTATCACTGTTGTCCAAGAGGAGAGAAAATCTGCCATGCAGGAAATCTTGACTGAAGGCCACAGCCCAGCCATTCAGAGCAATGTGGTTTGATTAAAATGAGCAGTGACCTTTTGTGCAAATGCTGGGATCTCTGGGCTTTTTCAGAATTCAGGGAGGTAGAAGTGAGTTGGCTGCTTGCCACCTTGGGCTCAAGGTCCTAGGCCTTGCTTGTTCTGTAAAGAGACCCTTCTCCAGGAATCCGAAGTCCAGACTGCTCTGGGCTGGCCAGGACCAAGGAAGGGAGGGATCTCTTAGTGGAAAGTATAGAGGCATTTTGGATCTTTGCAGAAGACACTAGAAAGAGCAAGTAGCAGAGCCTATTTAAGTAATAAAAAGAGAGGCAGAGGATCAGATGGTTCCAGACAGGAAGACAGAACCCATGCTAGGAATTTGGTGTAGGGGACTGGAGTTAGTAGAAAAGCTGATAGGGCACATAGAAGGAGACAGTGAGGTGACCTAGAGGTCAGCAACAGTTAAGGTAGGAGGAACGAAGGTGGAGGTGCTGTCACCTGAGCCCTGAAGGTGTGAGCTGGATCCATGAAGAAGATGCTGCCACTGCCTGAGACATGAGAGCCAAAGCCGAGAGATAAGGGGAGAAACCCTGGCTTCTACCCTCCTCCCTCCCACCCTCCAATGTCCTGTCTGTCTTCCTTCCATCAGCCAAACCTAAGCAGAAGCCAGTAGACAAGGAAGCCTAGGAATTGCAGTTTGCATGGCTGGCATCTGCAGCACAGAGCAGGGCAGGGGAGGGCTTGAGGGCTGATAGGCAGGTGCTCAGCACTTGAGGTGGGAGTCGGGGGGTGGGGCCGAACAAGGCTGGCTCAGTTTTATGGGATGCTAGACTCTCACCAAGAACCATGGGCAGCACAGATGGGTATTTAACCCAGGAGTCACTTTCCTCATCTCACACGCTAGACAAAGAGGAGGTTGTGACCTCTGGCCTCCCACCTCCCAGCTACCTAATGACCCATCACCTGGTGAGCTAGGCTGGCCTCATCCACTGCCCATAAGAACAAGCCTACTGGTCAAGGAATATGCTTCTGGCCATTAACACAGGTTGTAAAAGTGCCAATGCAGCCAACCCTTAGGGAGCCTATGAACACTCCCTCTCTGAGTTTGAGTTCCAGCCGGCATCAGAGGCTCACTGCAAGGGTCAATGCAATCCTAACTGGTAAACCAGATTCTAATACTATGAGGGTGTGGAATTCTAGCTACAGAAAGTCACCTGCATGCAATCACAAACGACCAAACCTGACAACAGGGTCAACAACAGGGCAATGTATTAAAAATGGAGGATGTCCATCAGTTGGGCGATCCCAGAAGTCAATCTAGAAAGTTCCACACAAGCCCTTTTTAAATTTTCCTCCCCAAGAATGGTGTTTAAAATTGTAAACTGTCTTATGAATCAAGTAAGGAGAGTCAAGTTCACGGGGTGTTAATTTAATGACTCACTTGGGGCTTTGACTAATTTTGTTTCTGTGACAGTGTGATAATTTTACAGACTCCAAACCAGGAAGTGAGAAGTAATTCATTTCCATTCACTCTGTGTCAACACAACTGACTAGGAACCAAGCATTCCTTTAGGTAGGTTTGCTAGTGGCCAAATTGGAGACCAGAACTCAGGAGTCCAGGCTATGAGTTGTGCACGTGGCGAGGTGGGGAGAGCTATTGTGTTGTTAGTGACCCCGTCCCCCCGTATTCTGTTCAGAGTCCCCTTTTTCTTTTCAAATGGTTTGACAGGAACTGCTCATTCCTGCCTCCCATGGATATAACACTGTTTCTGTTTCTGGGGCTCTAAGAGTTTCAGATTTGATCCTTATCCAGAAGTTCACATAACTCAACTGTTATGTGAGGAGGATCAAATGAGAGAATGCAGTTCCTGGTGCCTCTCACCTTACCTTGGAGCAGGAGTTCAAGCAATACAAACTGCTTTAGCACTTTTGCTGTTGATGCGTTGTTTGAATGGCAGTTGTGCTGGTGAGTTTCCATTTGCCCTTCCAATCCTGCTCATCTTTATGGACTGTAGCAAGCATCTCCTTCATTCCTGTTTTTGTTTGTTGTTATTGTTGTTGTTGTTGTTGTTTTTGAGACAAAGCCTCACTCTGTAGCCCAGGCTAGAGTGCAGTGGCACGCTCTGGGCTCACTGCAACCTCTGCCTCCTGGGTTCAAGCAATTGTCCTGCCTCAGCCTCCCAAGTAGCTGGAATTACAGGCACACGCCACTTCACTCAGCTAATTTTTTGTATTTTTGAATAGAGACAGGGTTTCACCATGTTGGGCAGGCTGGTCTTGAACTCTTGACCTCAGGTAATCTGCCCTCCTCGGCCTCCCAAAGTGCTAGGATTACAGGCGTGAGCCACCACGCCTGGCCCATCCCTGTTTTTGGTGTGGCTATGGGAGGTGCTGGCAGGAAACTGCAGGATGAGGGGAACATTAGGTTGGGAGGTTACCCCTCTGCTCCCTCTCTGCCAAACCACACACGAATGCTGTGGTCCTTCCCCAAAGGCCACAGCTCTCGTGCAGGTAGTCGCACCCTCCCTTTGCCACCTCAGGACTGGGGGAGCTAAGTGCTCCCCACAGCCATTGGCCCCAGGTGCTTCCCTGCTTCCTATTGTCTTCCTAACCCTGTCCTTATCTTCAAAAATTATCCTTTTGTCAGTGAAAAGAGTCAAACCCTGTAATATACTTTAGAGGTTTATTGTGCATCAAATATTAGTGACCAAGGCCTGACCCTGTCCTTATCTATTGTCTTCCTATTGTCTTCCTAACCCTGTCCTTATCTTCAAAAATTATCCTTTTGTCAGTGAAAAGAGTCAAACCCTGTAATATATTTTAGAGGTTTATTGTGCATCAAATATTAGTGACCAAGGCCTGAGGCACAGTCTGAAGAGGCCCTGAGTAGGTGCCCAGGCTGTTGGGCCACAGCTTGGTTTTATACATTTTAGGGAGACATGATCAATACATATGGGGTATGCATTGGTTTGGTTCAAAAGGCGGGACAACTCTAAGTTGGGCGGGGTGAGCTTACAGGTCATAGGTGGATTCAAAGAGTTTCTGGCTGACAATTGGTTGAAAGAATTGTTATTATGATCTAAAGTCCTGGAATCAACAGAAAGGAGTGTCAGGTTCAAGATAAGGGATTGTGGAGACTGCGGTTCTTGTTATGTACATGAAGCCTCATGCGTGGCTGCCCTTAGAGACTCTAGTTGACAAGTGTTTGCTATTCAGATCTCTAAAAGATGTTGGACTCTCAGTTAATCTCTTCAGGACTGGGAGAGACTGGAAGGGGAAAAGATCTAGTTATAGTAATAGATATTCTTTACAGATGCAATCCCCTTGCCCCACCTACCGCCACTGAACAGCTATGCAGGCCATTTAAAAATATGACAAAGAAACATATTCAGGGATAAATTATTTTGATTTCCTTCGTTTTTCTGTCTGGCATGTGGTATTGTGCCAGAGTCAACATTGGAAAGCAGGCCACATTATATAGGGTTAAATGAAACTCCTCTGATGAGATTTTATGGTTTGTAGGGTATGACTCTCCAGTCCCCTTAGATAGGAATTTGGGCAAGAGAAGAAAAAGATCAGAGTTTAGTCCTCACTTTATTACATTCTACATTTGAGGGTGCTCTCCTTCTCCTTTCTGCCTGATAATTGAGTAAGTATATTTCACAATTAAAAAAAAAAAAAAAAACAGCAACAACAAAAAACCCCAAACCAAAATACAGTTTGAAAACTCTCAGGACCTTTGGCCAGCTGTGGCCTGGGCACCACTGTGTCTTTGCCATTTCATCTTTTTAAACTCCCCATTAGTAGGGTTGTGGGAGAGGAAATTGGAGGAATTTGTACCAAGTAAGGTGATCAGGCAATTAATTTATGGCCTATGCATACAGATTTCTGGAACATGTAATATTCCCATCAAGAATATTCTGTCTCACTGTAGCCACAAGTATTCTCATGTACTAGTGCCAAGCTCACAAGTTCCATACACCTCTCCCTGTAATGAAAGATTCTTAAGAGAGGTGCCGTACCCAGACCATTTCTGGGAAACTGGGCACACAGATTTCAGCACCTAGAAAAGTACTGGGCATATCACGGGCACTCAATAGTTATTTGTAGATTAATGAATATATTCTGGGATATATCTACAACCCACTATGGTTGGCATGTGAGGTGGAGTCAGAGACCTCGAGCTTCCCCAGTGCAAACTGTGCCCCTTGTCTCCACGTCTTTGTGTGCAGGACTCATCTGTAGAATCAAAGTATCAATCTTTGGTAGATACTGGCAGAAGCATCCAATTGGGTTTCTGATTTTAAATAGTCTTTTCTAAGGGAATATGCCATGCATTCTTGGGGTTACCATTGCATTGCAAACCCCCAATTCTAGCTTCTGAACTGACTAAAAGAAAAAAGAATGAGGGGACTTTAAATCTCTGCACCTAACTCTACTAGCTCACAGCTGAAAAACCTTGATCACAAGTTGCCCACAGGATGACTCACACTGAAATGAGAGCCTTTTCCCTGCACCATGTGTTTTTGTAATGCTAATTGAATGTGAGGGAACTACCTAAGGACAAGGCTAGCTTTTCAGGTGAAGTCTTTGGTTAGTCTGGCCTGGTAATGACGAACTAGCAGTTCTTAGGACCAACCCTCAATGCAGGAGGCTACTTTGTTCATGTGGTTTGGCTCCCTAAACTAATGAAACTGCTGGCAGAGAAAGGGGAAGAAAGGCCTGAACCCACGAGCAAAAACTAGATGTGGTCCAACCCTGCTCAGTGATGTTTGGGTTTTACAGATTAATTCTGCAGCTATTAAAAATTATCATGATCAAAATTCCCACAGGATAAACAGGACTTTACTACTGAGCATTTGAAAGTCTCTAGGCCTGAATCCCCT
Source organism: Homo sapiens (assembly GCF_000001405.40). Taxonomy (NCBI): domain Eukaryota; kingdom Metazoa; phylum Chordata; class Mammalia; order Primates; family Hominidae; genus Homo; species Homo sapiens. The sequence continues at coordinate 40,919,919 of NC_000003.12, read as the reverse complement.
TCCTTCTCCAACTGAAGCTCGTCTTTATGGGTACTTTTGTAACAAGACTTCTTAAGAACATATATACTATATTTTAAGCAGAACAAACTGTGGTCAACCAAGAGCCTTGGGAAAGCTACCCTCTACCTACCCTCTACCTACCCTCTACCATTTTCCTCAGCTTGCTAGAATCAGCAGAAGGACCTTCCTAGTCAGGTGTGACAGCCTCATTCTAGCAAGCTTGATTGGTACTAGAGTCCTTTTGTGACAGTGGTTGGTTGTAATGTTCTAGATCTTCTTTTCAGAAGGATGATGCATTACTTAAGGTTCTCCAGAGAAATCAGAGAAAAAGAAATAATAGGATATGTGTGTGTGTGTGTATATATGTATATATATATGAATACATATACATACTCGATTATATGTATATATCTATACATAATGCATATTCTATGTGTGTATATATACATATACAGAGAGAGAGAGCACTTCTGAAAGCTCTCTCTCTATAGCTTTTGAACTTTATATTACATATAATAGAGAGACTTTAAGGAATTGTCTCACACAATTGTGTGGGCTAGCAAATCTGAAATTTGTGAAAATTCAGGCAAGAGTTGATGTTGCAGTCTTGAGGGGAATTTCTTCTTCTTCAGGAAATCTCCATCTTGCTCTTAAGGCTTGCAATGGATTATACAAGGCCCACTGTCATTCGGAGGGCACTCTGCATACTTAAAGTCTACTGATTTCATGTTAATCTTCACTCAAAGACAACTGATTGTTAACGTTAATCACAGCTAAAAAGTACCCTCACAGCAACATCTAGGCTGGTGTTTGACCAAACAGCTGGCCA